>NC_000014.9:102641715-102944715 GCF_000001405.40 Homo sapiens
GAAAGTGACGCTTGCACAAGGTTTAATATTTCTTGCCCACTAACATGTATGCTTCAAGAAAGCAGGGGCTATGTGTTACTTCTGTCTAGCCCCCTCCTGTATCTAGCATAGTTTCTTTGGGGTTTGGGTAGTGTGTCAAATACAGTGGAAAGGCTGGTTTTACAAAGATGATTGTTGTATCTTCATTTATTACCTTTGAACTTGTAGCTTCATAGGGAAATCATGGGAATTTGAGCAGCACTGAATCTGCATGTATTAAAAAAACTTGCATCATTTCTGGATTTCATGTGGTGAATATTTGATAGTACCTCTCGTGATTTGATAAGGTCCATTATTTGGGGACAAGGGTGGTTAACATAGGGATTGATGGAATTGTGACTCCATTCTGTTGTGGCGTGTTTAGTTTTTACCTCTTTCCCTTTACTCCTCGTGCCCCAGCTGCGTCTGTGTCCATTGTCCTTTCAGTTTCTTACTCTAATTGAAAGAATACATAGGTAAAGAAGGAATCTGATAGAAGGAATAAACTTCTTTGACGGTATTAACAAGTGTCTGATCTTGATTAGTGTAAGTTGTATTCAGTGCCTCATGTTTCTTACCTTTGAATTGTAGAAAATAAAATTTTAGATCTGGTTAAGATTCTTGAGATTATTTGGCAGGAGGAAATTGAAGCGCAGTTCAGTTCCATAGAATGTTGTTGAATGCGTTTCTTCATTTGTTAAGAGTGATAATATTTGTCTCATAGGGTTGATACAAGGAGGAAGAGATACTCTTTATAAAAAAGTCTTAGGCCGATTTGATGATAATACTAATAGTTAAACTTGTTCAGAAGTTAATCTGGGCTGGGCATGGTGGCTCACACCTGTAATTTCAGCACTTTGGGAGGCAGAGGTGGGAAGGATCGCTTGAGCCCAGAAATTCCAGACCAGCCTGGGCAACAAAGTGAGACCTCGTCTCTATAAAAATTATAAAAATAAGCCGGGTATGGTGGCACATGCCTATGGTCCCAGGTACTCGGGATGCTGAGATGGAAGGATCACATGAGCCCAGGAAGTCGAGGCTGTGGTGAGCTATGATCATTGCCACTGCACTCCAGCCTAGGTGACAGAGTGAGACCCTGTCTATTAAAAAAAGTTAGTCTGTGTTAGCATAGTATCGGCAGAAAAGTATTCTGACACAGTATAGGAGGGATCAGGGTATGGGGGAATGAGTCAGGAAGGCCATTTTAAAGATTTTACAGTGTCCTAAACTTGATAGTGAAGGCTAAGCATTAGAAATGGAAGAGATTGGCTGGGCGCAGTGGCTCACGCCTGTAATCCCTGCACTTTGGGAGGCCGAGGCGGGCAGATCACGAGGTCAGGAGATCAAGACCATCCTGGCTAACACGGTGAAACCCTGTCTCTACTAAAAACACAAAAAATTAGCCGGGCGTGGTGGCGGGTGCCTGTAGTCCCAGCTACTTGGCAGGCTGAGGCAGGAGAATGGCGTGAACCCGGGAGGCGGAGCTTGCACAGTGAGCCCAGATCATGCCACTGCACTCCAGCCTGGGCGACAGAGCGAGACTCCGTCTCAAAAAAAAGAGGAATGGAAGAGATTAGAAAAGATGTGAACAAACCTTATAGAGCTTCCAGGAAAGGAAGAAAGGTAAAAACATTGAGATTTGGAATGTTGAGTAATGGGATAGTATAAACAGTATAGCAGTATAGAGATGTCACTAATGTTTTAGAAACTGAAATAATAGATTAATGCATGGTAATTACCTTGCCAGAACTGAAAAGCGGTGGTAGTGATGCTGGAGGAAGCAGATTGCTGCTGCAGAACTGCAGCAAGGCCTAGGAGGTGGAGGCACCAGGTATCTTCAGAGGCCCAGGTGTGGTGTGGTTGGCCCTAAGCTGATGGGCTGACTGAAAGTCTCCAGGAATTCTTCCTGTCTCTAGATTATGCTTCATTCCAGCAGTCCAGGAATTAGACTTTCCCTAGCCTAGCACAAGACAAGTTTACTTTTGGTAGAGTTTGAACCAGAGCTGTACCCTAGACTTGAAATGGGGAGGACGGGTGGAAACTATCTGGACGTGGTGGGGGAGACGTATCTATGAAGTGAAAGTTTGTATATTGAATGGTCATTCCAGAATTCTTAATAGCCTGGCTTATACTCTCCAGCAAATTAGAAGGTTCTTCTTTGGGAGAAAACTGGCCCAGATGCTAACAATTGAGTGTTACCCTGTATTCCAGTTATTACCGCCTAACAACTGTTGCTGTTACTATTGTCTTTAAACAACAACAATCGTTTTATTATCTCACACTTTCTGGTGATGAGGATTTAGGAAGACATCAGTTGGGCAGCTCTGGCTTGGGTTTCTCTGACTTAAGTTGTGTTCACATGGTGGCTGGAGCTGAACAGTAGGGTGCTGAAGTGGCCTTGGCTGGCCAGACAGCTTTCTTCCTGGTGTCTCAGCATGGGCTGATTTGTGCTCCTCACAACATTATGGCCTCTGACTGCTTACAAGAAAGTGCAGGCTTCCAAAGCAAGTATCGCAAGAAAACTGACTATTAACTGATTCACTTTTCATGACCCAGCCTCGGAAGTCACATAGGCTCCTTTCCGATGTAGTCACAAGTCTAGTCAGCTTCAAGGGCAGGGAACATAGATTCCATCTCTTGGTAGGAGTACAGAAGTGGAATTGCAGTCAGAGTGTAAGGGGTCCCTGTGGGATGACATGAGAAACATTCTGTGACCACCTTTGGAAAACACAATCTACCACATTTTCTCATTTGGTCACAATAATTCACATTCCTCCTTCTTGTCACTTGTGCTCACACCCTCTCCCATCACATCGCTCCCCCTTCCTGCTATGGCATTAACTTCAAGTTCAGCATCTTGTCACCTGAATCAAGCCCAGTTGTGGCCACCCAAAGCTCCTCAGGTGTGGTTCCTCTAGAGCTGAACTCATGTGACGTCAAGAGAAGGAATCTGTTGCTTCCTCTGACTTAAAATGGCAGGACAAGCTTAGGATAATTGCTGTAGACACATCTGCCCAGAAAAGAGGAAACAGGAGGCACAGTAGTTTCTCATCCATTGCCATTCTGAAATTCAGCAGGGCACACGTTACCAATTCCTTGATTTGGTCTCAGTTCTGGTGCCTGGGAATGATTGTTTCAGGCTCTGGTTTCTGCTGAGAATTTTGTTTTGTCTTCTGAGTTACCCTTTTCCCTAAGAAATGGCTGATTTTTATAGCTGAGTAGTTTTCTTAGCCTTTGTGCTTTCGGTAGTTTTGGAGGAACAAAAAAACCTTCCCCTCATTTTGTACTGTTTTTGTCTCTTTCAGTCCAAACTGGTATAATTCCTTTGAAAATTTTGTGGGCTCTCTCTGTGTCAATTTGTAACCTACTACATTAGACAGGAACCACACTTAGCCTGTTTGTGGTAGGTCCTTCATTTCCTTGGGCTCCTTGTGTGTCACCAGCCTTAGTATTCTTAGAAGCCCTGTTGTTTGATGGAGAGGATCTTAAAATCCTTAGAAGGCTCTTGGTCTCTTGGAAAGGACAGTGCAGAACCTTCTTAGATCTTTTTGAGGTTTTAAGAAAGTATTACAGTCACAGTCTGGGTTTGTTCTTTACCACTGAGAATTTTGAGAATTGTTTCTTTTTTTAAAATTCTGCCTGGAAATATCCTTAGGTAGATCATGGAGTTTATTAGGTGCATTTCCTGTTTTCCACATTTCTAAAGGCCACATTTTCCACTACTTAGACAACAGGGGACCCTTTTCCTGTAATGTACAATAGTAGTTTTCATAGTTTCTATTAAGCTTTTCCTGATAGTTTCCTTGTTGAGGCCCTTCAGGCTTTTGCTGATAGCCTCTTAAAGGCCTTGCAATTTCCACCTGCCACCCAGCCCCAAAGCCAGTAGCACAGTTCTGGGTTTTTGTTGCAGCATCTCACTTCCAGGTGCCAAAATCTGTTCCTTAGTCTTGCTGCCTGAAAAATGACCCCCAAAAGTTAGTGACTTAAAATAATTCCGTGATTTCTGTAGGTCAGGAATTTAGGAAGAGCTTGATTGGGCAATTGTGGCTCAGGTTCTTGCTTTGGCTGCAGTCAGATGGTAGAGCTGAAGAGTAGTGCACAGGCAAGGCAGTGTGCACAGCTGGAGAGGGCCGAGCTGAGCCGCCTCCACAAGGTCTCTGTGTGAATTTGTTTGTGCTGCTTCTTCAGGGCACTCAGACTGCCCACATAGCTTTGTGTCCAAATGTATGTCCTGTGGGAGGATGAGCAGAATCTGTATTACCTTTTATGATGACTTAGTCTTGGAAGTTACATCACATCATTTCTGCTCTAGTCAACAACTTGCCTGGGGTTCTAGGGGAGGAAAACAGACCTCATATCTTAGTGTCAGTTGGCCACACTGTAAGAAGGTGATATGGGGTGGGAGATAATGTGATCAGCTCTAGAAAAATGTAATCCACCATAGCTCTTAGTGAAACAGTTACATCCCTGTCTGATCACCTTGCAGGGGAGTCTTGCCATTAATAAGCACCAGCTGTGTATGTGACATTAAAACTTACTTTTTAGTACTTCCTTCTTAACTGTGACTTAACAGTCAAGGATTATCAGGCACATGAAGAAAAAGCCATAACAGTCTAACACAGACAGATAAAAAGAAACCAAGTGAAGAAATAGGAAATACAGGTTGCATAAGAAAAGCTCAAATTTGAAAAAACAAAAAAGCTTGAAGAGCTAAGAGAAAATGCATGACATAAAAGCAAGAAGGTATAAAGTAGGGGTCCATTCAGAGAACAAGAAAGAGCTCTTGGAAAATAGGATTGCAGGACAAATTTTCAATAGGAAACCAAGGAAATCTTCCAGAAAGTAGTAGGCAAAGACAGACAAAAAGAGAAAGACAATGCCTGATTGGCTTCTTGACTGAAACATATTTAGGTGGGAAGAGGAAGTGTGGAAATGTGAATAAGGACTGTATACTAATGATAATGAATTAATATTAATTTTTGCTTAAGTGTGATAATAGCACTGTGGTTATAGAGGAGAATGCCCTTAGGCTTAGAAGATGCATACTAAAGGAACTGTCATGATATTTGCATTTTTCAGATGGTTGTGTGCACACACGTGCGCTCACACACAGTGGGAGAGGGAGGGAGAAGGGAGAGCGGTTATGTACAAGAGAGACAACTAAAGCAATTATGATATAATATTAGTAATTGATGATGAATACAAAAACAAAACAGAAGGGAATACTTTAGAGTTAATGGATTGGTTCAGGAGCTCCAACATCTGCACTGTTAGATGTTCTAGAGAGAGAAAAGATAATTGAGAGGAAACAATATTAAATCAACACATTAAAAATGTTCAGAAGTGAAAATCACAAATCTCCACATTGAGCAGACCCACTGAGTGCCCAGCGCAGGGAATAAAAGAAAAAATAGATTGGTACATCACACTGAGATTTCAGAACACTGAGAATAGAGAAGATCTCAAAATCCTCCAGTGGAAGCAAGTCAAGTTACAGCAGTGGACTGAGAATCTGTATGACACTAGAATCTAGGTGACAGTGGAGCAGTGTCCTCAGAATTCTAGGAGCATACCCATCTAGGATTTTTTTTTCTTCTTTTTTGAGATGGAGTCTCGCTCTTTCGCTGGGCTGGAATGCGGTGGTGTGATCTCGGCTCACTGCACCCTCCGCCTCCTGGGTTCAACCAGTTCTCCTGCCTCAGCCTCCCAAGTAGCTGGGGTTACAGGTGTGGACCACCATGCTTGGCTAATTTTTTGTATTTTTAGTAGAGACGGGGTTTCCCCACCATGCTGGCCAGGCTGGTCTTGAACTCCTGACCTCATGATCTGGCCACCCCAGCCTCCCAAAGTGCTGGGATTACAGGCGTGAGCCACTGCACCTGGCCCAATTTAGGATTCTATGCCAAACTGTAGTATGAACATAAAGACATCTTTATTTTTATTTATTTATTTTATTTATTTTTGAGACGGAGTCTCCATCTGTCGCCCTGGCTGGGGCCCAGTGGCAAGATCTCCACTCATTGCAGCCTCCGCCTCCCGGATTCAGGGAGTTATCCTGCCTCAGCCTCCTAAGTAGTTGGGACTACAGACGCGTGCCACCACACCTGGTTAATTTTTGTATTTTTAGTAGAGACGGAGTTTTGCCATGTTGACCAGGCTGATCTCAAACTTCTGACCTCAAGTGAGCCGCCTACCTTGTGCTCCCAAAGTGCTGAGATCACAGGCATATACCACCATGCTCGGCCTATTATTTTTAATTTGATGGTCATATTATTCCAGATTTGGCCAATGGGATTTCCTTCAAGCTGACTCCTGTGTCCTTTTGACAAATATCTATAATCCTTTATTTATTTTTATTTTTTTGAGACAGAGTCCTGTTCTGTCACCCAAGCTGGAATGTAGTGGCGTGATCTCGCCTCACTGCAACCCCCGCCTCCCGGGTTCAGACAATTCTCCTGCCTCAGCCTTTGGAGTAGCTGAGATCACAGGCATGCGCCACCACACCTGGCTAATTTTTGTATTTTTAGTAGAGACGGGGTTTCACCATGTCGGCGAGGCTGGTCTTGAACTCTTGATCTCAGGTGATCTGCCTGCCTTGGCCTCCCGAAGTGCTGGGATTACAGGCATGAGCCATTGCACCTAGCCCTCTATAATCCTTTAAATGCTTGTTTATGGTATCTTAGAATATTTCAAATTTATCTTGTATGTTCTCTGCCTCATCCTGGAGTCAACTGTTTGTCTAAGGAGGAGCCATTCTCTTGAAGTGGAGAATAGTATTATAGAAACCAATATCTTGGCACTAGCTGTATTTATTGCTGCCAGGATATTGTTGTTTTCAGCCCTCTTAGTGGGCAGAACAAGTAGATCTATGTGTATTTATTTATTAGACATATTTATTGTCTATATCTCTGCCTACACATATATATAACCATGAATTTTACCACAAATGCCACCATTTTGATCCAACATCATAGGATTCATTTTAGCCCTTTTCCTTTCCTTATTTGTAGCTCTCGTCTCTGACAGTGAGAATCTTGGTTCTCATCCTTAATATAGTTACTCATTTGCTTAATCTCCCTGAAAGCTTGGCCCAGACATGGAATCCAGCAAAGGATAAGGTGAAGGGAATTCTTAAAGAGAAATCTTGGGATAATAGCTGTGTAGGCATTCACCAGTTAGTCCAGATTGGTGAGTGAAGACAGGGCTCCAAAGGGGTGTTGTCAAGAAATAAACAACCAATAGATAGCCTGATGTGTTGAGACTTACACATGTAGTAGAAGTTTGGAGGTGAATTAGTGATACATATACAGAAAACCAAACAAGCAAAAAAAACAAAAAAAAAATAGAATTATTAATTCCAGGTAAAAAAATCACACATAATCACACCACTGAACTCTGGCCTGGGTGACAGAGTGAGACCCTGTCTCTTAACAAACATAAATTAAAAATCAGGTAAAACAAATTGTACAAGAATGGACTTACAACAACAGAATGCAACAGGATTCAGCTATGAATAGTATTTACTAGTCATAAACTACGAGAGTGCCATAACACTGAACTTAGGGAGCAATTTAGGGAATAAACTGAGAAAAAAAGTACACAGGGGCCTTAGGACCTAAGCAGCTAGTGTGATATCACTTGTGGATGTTTAGTATGCATTTTGGGTACCAGCCCCTTTTGAACACTGTCTTTGAGGGGAAATTGTCCACTCCACAGTAGAAGCTATTAATATGTTTTCCCATCCTCTCTTGTAGTTTGTCATAGATGTGTGACTTCTATTCCATGCACCAGGGCAAGACTAGGATTAGGAAGCAAGTGATGTGAAGTAGACAAGCATGGCTGCCAGGTTTCAGAGGCAGCGTTTTCTAGCGGTGGTGTCCACTATGCACTGCCAAGTGTCCTTGTGTTTAACACCTGCAGCAGTTAAGACCTCCACTGAAGCAGTTCTGTGGGGTAATTCTGGTGTTGTCCTAGTTGCATGGCTTGTAAATCTGGTTTGATGACCTTCCTGTAGAGCCATTTAGTTGCTTATATTAGCTAGAATGGGCTTTGTTTACTGTAAAAAATCTGGTTGACGAAATTGGCATTAGGAATGATCCTCAAGAAAATGAATTGGTTATCTAACTTGGTTGTGTATGAAGGCAGTGAAGAAAGGTGAGAGCTTAAAGAATCATAGTGGCCTTGGGCCGGGCGCGGTGGCTCACACCTGTAATCCCAGCACTTTGGGAGGCCGAGATGGGCGGATCACGAGGTCAGGAGATGAGACCATCCTGGCTAACATGGTGAAACCCCGTCTCTACTAAAAATACAAAAAGTTAGCCGGGTGAGGTGGCGGGCACCTGTAGTCCCAGCTACTCAGGAGGCTGAGGCAGGAGAATGGTGTGAACCTGGGAGGTGCAGCTTGCAGGGAGCCGAGATCGCACCACTGCACTCCAGCCTGGGCGACAGAGCGAGACTCCACCGCAAAAAAAAAAAAAAAAAGAATCATAGTGGCCATGGGCATGGTGGCTGGTGCCCATAATCCTGGCACTTTGGGAGGCTGAGGTGGGAGAATCACTTGAGGTCAGGAATTAGAGGCCTGCAGTGAGTGCCACTGCACTTCAGCCTGAGGGACAGAGCACAGAGCAAGATCCTGCTTCAATAAATGGATGGATGGGTGGGTGGGTGGGTGGGTGGATGGAGGAATCATAGTGATCAGCAGTGCTTAATGACTGAGATTAGTCTATTCTGAAGTATGTTAATAAAGCTTGAAGGATCAGAGGAAGAGAGTAGGAAAAAAGCACACACATTCTACAAACCTCGCCACATCCACTCAGTTAAAAGACAGAACAGGATTCCCTTGGATGTTGGGAAAGGGAAGTCAGACGTGAAAGTTGTAGACAGGATTAAGCCACTTAATTTTCCTATTAAATGGACTCTAGAGAGTAAGTTCATGCTTCTCATTTTACTGATGGAGAAGCAGTACCACATACTTGGTGAAATTCCTGTGTCTGCAAAACATTGGTTATTCTGCAATTGTTATATATAAAGGGATAAACATTGAAGTTATTGGTCTCTTCCTTCTCATTGGTATTGTGGGTGTTCTTTACCAACTGAGTTAGGAACTGACTTGAGATATTTTAAACTTACGGGACTTGATTTAGAGCACTTACTCTTAGATGTTAAATATTTGGTTTGCTCTTTATTGAATAACTTAATTATCTTATTACTAATAATTCCTGTATTAGACAATGAGACTTAGACTCATAATAGAATACAGGTATCTTAATGAGAATGTTCTCATTTAAAACACTAACTCCTAATTCACTAGCAGCTAATAAAACTAACATTGTTGCACAGTACATTGTTGACTAGTTAGAAGAATTTGACAGTATGTTTGGTGCTGAGACCAGCTCGGTCGGGGAGACCCTAACCCAGCGGCGCTAGAGGAATTAAAGACACACACACACAAATATAGAGGTGTGAAGTGGGAAATCAGGGGTCTCACAGCCTTCAGAGCTGAGTATTGCTATTAATAAAGGGTGTAGAATTTGAAAATAGGCCAGGCGTGGTGGCCCACGCCTGTAATCCCAGCACTTTAGGAGGCCGAGGAAGGCGGATCATGAGGTCAGGAGGTTGAGATGAGCCTGACCAACACAGTGAAACCCCGTCTCTACTAAAAATACAAAAATTAGCTGGGCGTGGTGGCGGGTGCCTGTAATCCCAGCTGCTCAGGAGGTTGAGGCAGGAGAATTGCTTGAACCTGGAAGGCAGAGGTTGCAGTGAGCCGAGATTGCGCCACTGCACTCTAGCCTGGGCAACAGAGTGAGACTCCATCTCAAAAAAAAAAAAGAAAAAGAAAAAAGAATTTGAAAATAGCTTGAGAGACTAGAGAAGAAGTGAACTGATTTATTTTATATTTATGTATCTTATTTTTTGGCTTGTTGACCAGAAGTGAATTGATATGAATAAGCACACTTGCAAAATAAATGGGTTATTTATTTATTTATAGAGACAGGGTCTTGCTTTGTTTCCCAGGCTAGAGTACAGTGGCACCATCATAGCTCACTACTGCTGCTGGCAACTTCTGGGCTCAACGGGTCCTCCTGTCTTGACCTCCCAAAGTGCTGGGATTATAGGCATGAGCCGTCATGCCTGGCCCCCTAATTATTTAGATAGCCCTGTAGACCTGATTTCTTGTGGCTGAAGGTCTCTCAAATTGATTCTCAGTAGGCTTCATAAATAAAAGGGAACTTACACTGGAGGATCTTTATGCTGAATTGGCTTAGAATAAGTAGAAATTGCTAGGAATGTTTTATTTTTGTTTATTTAATTTGCTAAATCTGCTTTAGATATGAGCCTTGTAACTGGATTTCTTAAAAGTGTCCTTATGATTGAATCTATTTGTGGTGTTTGGATTGATTATTTTAAGTTCCTACTATGTACCAGACGTTTGCTACTTGTTTTAACTTGCTGTTTAATCTCTTTGAAGAAGGAACTGTTTCCTCCATTTTTATAGAAGAGAAAATTGAAACTTAAAGAGATTAGAGAACTCTCCTTCAGTCTAGGCAGAGCTGGGATTCCATTTCAGGACTGTTATGCTACACCAAATAAATGCTTGCTGCGTTAAAGAATGACTTAACAGTGAACACCTTAAGTCTTCATTGCCCAGTTACGTGAATGGAAGAAAGGCTGAGCAGTGAATTACAAACACTCTCTCCTCTAGTCTTCTGGCAGTGTTCCTTTACCTAATTCTGTGTCCTCAAACGCCCTGTTTTCTTTAGGTGATTATATTATTTGTTTCTTTTAAGCTTGCCTGTCTGCTTGTTCTTCTGAACAGTTCCCTTCAAATGTTACACCATCCACCCACATCTGTATTTCAGTATTTTATTGTGTCCTTTCATTGAGACTCTAATTTGGGTGAAAATTCTCCAAACTACATTTCTTTTTAGCATATTCTATTTTTGTCACCTAGAATCAGCCTCCCAGCTGACTTTTTCCCATAGATACGTAACAACCACCTGCTTTAACATTTTCTATCTTCCACTTAACAAAAATATTACTGTTGATAAATAATGAATACTTAGCATGTATAACTGTGCAAATAAAATGGGAGGAATGTGTATCGGGAAGATTTGAGGGGAGTGTGGATAAAAAACTGTTTGAAAATACCAGCTGTTGAATTTTATAGTGTTACTCTTTTTATTTTTATTTTTTAGTTTTATTATTACTATTTTTTGAGATGGAGTTTCGCTTTGTCGCCAGGCTGGAGTGCAGTGACGTGATCTTGGCTCACTGCAACCTCTATCTCCTGGGTTCAAGCGATTCTCCTGCCTCAGCCTCCCGAGTAGCTGGAACTAGAGGCGCGCGCCAGCCAATTTTTGTATTTTTAGTAGAGACAGGGTTTCACCATGTTGGCAAGGATGATCTCGATCTCTTGACCTCATGATCTTCCTGCCTCGGCCTCCCAAAGTGCTGGGATTACAGGCGTGAGCTACTGCACCCAGCCTATTATTATTTTTTAATTGAGACTTGTCTTACTTTCACCCAGGCTGGAGTGTAGTGGTGCAATCTTGCCTCACTGGAGCCTCCGCCTCCTGGGCTCAATCGATCCTCCCACCTCAGCCTCCTGAGTAGCTGGGACCACAGGCACTCGCTACCGTGCCCAGCTAATTTTTTCTATTTTTGGTAGAGACAGGGTTTTGCCACGTTGTCCAGGCTGGCCTCGGCTTCCCAAAGCGTTGGGATTACAGGCATGAGCCACCACGTGCAGCCTATAGTGTTATTCTTTAGTAGTTCCTAAAAGGCTTGTGTTAGATGTTTATAGCTGATAGTTGTGGTTTGAATCTGTGTCCCCAGCCAAATCTTGTGTCGAATTGTCATCCCCAGTGTTGGAGGTGGGGGCCCATGATTGGATCATGGGGGTGGATATCCCCCTTGGTGCTATTTTCATGATAGTGAGTGAGCTCTCGGGCGATCGGGTCGTCTAAAAGTGTGTAGCACCTCCCTCTTGTCTCTCTTGCTCCTCCTCTGGCCATGTTATATGTGCTTGCTTTCCCTTTGCCTTCCACCATGATTATAAGTTTACTGAGGCCTCCCTAGAAGCTGAGCAGATGCCAGCATCATGCTTCCTGTACAGCCTGCAGAACCTTGAGCCATTGAAACCTCTTCTCTTTATAAATTACCTAGTCTCATCTCAGGTATTTCCTTCTTTCTTTCTTTCTTTCTTTCTTTCTTTCTTTCTTTCTTTCTTTCTTTCTTTCTTTCTTTCTTTTTTTTTTTTTTTTTTTTGAGACGGAGTCTGGCTCTGTCGCCCAGGCCGGAGTGCAGTGGTGCGATCTCCACTCACTGCAAGCTCTGCCTCCCGGGTTCACGCCATTCTCCTGCCTCAGCCTCCCGAGTAGCTGGGACTACAGGTGCCTGCCACCACGCCTGGCTAATTTTTTGTATTTTTAGTAGAGACAGGGTTTCACCGTGTTAGCCAGGATGGTTTCGAACTCCTGACCTCAGGTGATCTGCCCGCCTCAGCCTCCCAAAGTGTCGGGATTACAGGTCTGAGCCATTGCGCCCGGCCAGGTATTTTTTTATAGCAGTGTGAGAACAGACTAATACAATAGCCATCATGTAAAATACAGTTTCCATTTTGAGCCAGGCACTTGGGTAAAAATGAAGAGTAGGTAAAAGACAAGATGTAGTTCTAATTTGAGCTTGTCATTTAGTATTTGAGTAATGCCGCATAATGGCTGTGGGTTTCCGATGACACACACCTTTTCATGATGTGGGTGGCCTAGGGAGTAGTGTGTTTGTTGGAACCACAGTTCTCTGCAGAGGGAATATGATTAAGTCTGATCTTTGTAATTTAGAATTAATGAGGCCAGGCGCACTAGCTGACACCTGTAATACCAGCACTTTGAGAGGCGAAGATGGGGAGGATCACTTGAGCCTGAGTTTGAGACCAGCCTGGGCAAGATAGTGAGAACCTGTCTCTACAAGAAAATAAAGAAAAAAATTTTTAAAAAAAGAAAAAAAATATAGAATTGGTATCTTGGCCACACCTCTTTCCCTGTGGTTGAGTTTTTTTTTTTTTTTTTTTTCCTGTTCTTTTCCTTTTTTTTTGAGACAAGATCTCTTCGTCACCTAGGCTGGAGTGCAGTGACATGATCAAGGCTTGCTGCAGTGTCAGTCTCCTGGGCTTAAAGGATCCTCCTGTCTCAGTCTCCCAAGTAGCTGGGACTGGAGGTAGGTGACACTAGCCTGGCTCACTTTAAAAACATTTTTTGTAGAGATAAGGTCTTGCCATGTTGCCCAGGGTGGTCTCAAACTCCTGGCCTCAAGCCATCCTCCCTCCTCAGCCTCCCAAAGTGCTGGGGTCTCTGGCATTCACCACCGCGGACAACCTTTTTTTTTTTTTTTTTTTTTTTTTAAGCTAAATTTTGTTGAATATTTGGATAGGCAATACAGGCATATGGTACAAAATTAAAAGATGCAAAAGGGTTATGCACAAGAGAAGTACATTTCTTAGGCATTCCTGGCCTTCCATTTTCCCTTCCTGGAGGCAGTTTTCTGATTTATTTTCTACAAGGATTCTGTTTAAATACTGGAGAATATCTGACCTGTTGTACTTTACTTTAGAATGGCAGGAAGCTGAATGACTCATGGGCATTTTTCCCTTTGTGAAGCTCATTGACATTCCTTCCTCTCAATACCTTAACTATGGCATGTTTTATAATTTGCTTTTGTTTTTGCTTTATCACAGTATTTTCCTATGTTTTTTATAGTCTTAATTTTTAAGCACTGCTTTAGGTATCTATTAATAGTTCAGAAAGTTGCGAAGATTACAAGCTCATATTTGTGAAAGTGTCTGGCACATAATAGGTGATCAATAAATATTTCCTTCTAGCTTGTCTGTCCCCTATCTCCCACTGGTTGTATGTATGAAACAAAAAAATGAAGGAGAAGGCTGAGCATAGTGGCTCATACCTGTAATCCTAGCACTTTGGGAGGCTGAGGCGAGCGAATTGCCTGAGGTCAGGAGTTAAAGACCAGCCTGGCCAACATGGTGAAACCCCGTCTCTACTAAAAATACAAAAATTAGCCGGGTGTGGTCACAGGCGTCTGTAATCCCAGCTACTCAGGAGGCTGAGGCAAGAGAATTCCTTGAACCTGGGAGGTGGAGGTTGCGGTCAGTCGAGATCGCGCCACTGCACTCCAGCCTGGGCAACAGAGTGAGACTTTTTGTCACACACACACACACACACACACACACACACACACACGTGAAATAAACCTATGAACCAACTAATGCAGTGGATTCCAAAATTAAGATTAAGCTTGTGTAAGTTGTAATGTTTCTTGATGTACCCATTTATTTGAGTGGAAACAGATTCTTTTCATTCTTTGAAATCACTTTGCTGAGATTTTTTTATTTTTTTTATTTTTTTTTTGGAGACAGAGTCTCGCTGTGTCGCCCAGACTGGAGTGCAGTGGTGTGATCTAGGCTCACTGCAACCTCCACCTCCCGGGTTCAAGCGATTCTCCTGCCTCAGCCTCCTGAGTAGCTAGGATTATAGGCATGTGCCACCACACTCAGCTAATTTTTGTATTTCAGTAGAGGTAGGGTTTCACCATGTAGGCCAGGCTGGTCTCAAACTCCTGACCTCAAGCGATCCGCCTGCTCAGCCTCCCTGAGTATTGGGATTATAGGTGTGAGCCACGGTGTCCCGCCAAGCTGAGACATTTTTAAGAAAATGTTTCTGTTTTTTTGTTTATTTGTTTGTTTTGAGATGGAGTCTCACTCTGTCACCCAGGCTGGAGTGCAGTGGTGCCATCACTGCAACCTCTGCCTCCTGGGTTCAAGCAATTCTCCTGTTCCAGCCTCCTAGGTAACTGGGACTGCAGGCTTGCCACCATATACCTGGCTGATTTTTTGTATTTTTAGTAGAGATGGGGTTTTACCATGTTGGCCAGGCTGGTCTTGAACTTCTGACTCAAGCGATCTACCCACCTCAGCCTCCCAAAGTGCTGGGATTACTCCCACAGCACCTGCTCAGAAAAGGTTTCTTTTCTTTTCTTTTTTTTTTTGAGATCAGGTCTCACTCTGTCGCCCAGGGTGTAGTGCAGTCGCGCAATCTCAGCTCACTGCAACCTCCGCCTTCCAGGTTCAGGTGATTCTCTTGCCTCAGCCTCCCAAGCAGGTGGGATTTCAGGCATACACCACCATGCATGGCTCATTTTTGTATTTTTAGTAGAGAGGGGTTTCACCATGTTGGCCAGGATGGTCGCGAACTCCTGACCTCATGTGATCCACCCGCATCAGCCTCCCAAAGTGCTGGGATTATAAGCGTGAATCACTGCACCTGGCTAGAAACATCTTCTAAAGCCTAATCTTTTTTTTTTTTCCTTATATAATTTAGGTTGACTATGTAAACCCAAAACACATAGGGTAGAAACTCGTGAAAAATATTTTTGAGGATATCTTTGCAAAGTGTTGTGCCTCACGGTGCTGGATATGGATGTGTGCTTAGTGTCAGTGCATAGATTTAGGATTTCCCACCTGTATGTATGCTTTTGGTGAGTCCTTTTAGGCGATATGTCCTCATGTTCAAGGAGTAATGGCATACTGGTTCATTTAAACCCATGTTTTAATCCTAATTTAAGACCGATTTACTTCTTCTTGGAGCTAATTTCTTAACTTTTCTGATGATGTTTTTGTTGCTTAAGTTAAGACTAATATAACACAGAAGTCTTACTCATCCTTTTTGATATTAGAGATTTTGGTTTATTAATCTAGTGGAATTTTAAATATCATTTTACATGTTTACTCTCAAGATCTGATGATTGACTGACTGGGTGCAGTGGATCACACCTGTAATCTCAGCACTTTGGGAGGCCAAGGCGGGCAGATCACTTGAGGTCAGGAGTTCGAGACCAGCCTGGCTAACATGGTGAAACCCTGTCTGTAGTAAAAATACAAAAATTAGCCGGACTTGGTGGTGCGTGCCTGTAATCCCAGCTACTGGGGAGACAGAGGTGAGAGAATCACTTGAACCCCAGAGGCGGAGGTTGCAGTGAGCCTAGATCACTCCATTGCACTCCAGCCTGGGCGACAGAGTGAGACTCCGTCTCAAAAAAAAAAAAAAAAAAAAAGAAGATTGAATTAAGGGCAAACTTGGAACAGGCCAGTTTCCCATTATATTGCCTCTCTGAAACAAGTGAAAGAGTTTTCTTTATGAGGGGTGTTCTTTTTAATTTAATTTAATTAATTTTTATTTATTTATTTTGAGACAGAGTCTTGCTCTGTTGCCCAGGCTGGAGTGCAGTGGCATGATCTCGGCTCACTGTAACCTCTGCCTCCCAGGTTCAGGTGATTCTCCTGCCTCAGCCTCCCAAGTAATTGGGATTACAGATGCCCACCGCCACACCCAGCTAATTTTTGTATTTTTAGTGGAGACGGGGTTTCACCATATTGGTGAGGCTGGTCTTGACCTCTGAACCTCAGATGATCTACCCACCTCGGCTTCCCAAAGTGTTGGGGTTACAGGTGTGAGCCACTGTGCTGGGCCTTCTTTTTAAAAAAGGTTTTTCTGGCCAGGTGCGGTGGCTTTAATCCATATGTGTGAGACCAGGCACGGTGGCTCATGCCTGTAATCCCAGCACTTTGGGAGGCAGATCACCTGAGGCATGAGAAGTGCTTGAACTAGGGAGGTAAGAAGTTGCAGTGAGCCAAGATCACACCATTGCACTCCAGGCTGGGTGAGAGTGAGACTCTGAAAAAAATAATAATAAAAATGGTTTTCTTACTTTTATGACTTGAATTATGGAAAGTTTTTAGAATGTGACTCTTTTCTCAGGAACAGGATGGCTACCTACCTACCCCCCATCCTTTTCCTGTATGCTATGGATTATCAGACCCCTCACTTGGGTTCCTCTTACATCACCAAGGTGTGCTTGTCAATACCCAGAAACCAACACTGATACATTACTAAGTTCCACATTTTATTTAGATTCCAATAGTTTTCCCATTAATGTCCATTTCTGTTCTAGAATCCAATCCAGGTTACTGTATGCATTGCATTTAATTATGATGTCTCCCCAGTTTGCTGTTTTTCACATGACTAGACTAGGGTTATGAATTTGGGGAATTCATATGATTGGAGTGGTGGGAGGTGTAGTGCATGCTACTCCATGATTTATTGCTGGTAATGTTAATCGTGGCCAAGGTTGTTTCCCTACTGTATACACTCACCACCTTCCATACTTATTTTTTTGGAAACAAGTTAGTAAGTCCAACCTACACTCAAGTCGGGGAGATTTAAGCTCCATCTCCTAGAGGGGAGTGGGGAATATTTACATAAATTATTTGAAATTCTCCCACGAGGAAGCTGCTTTTTCTAGGAAAGGTCTTTGCCCGTTATTCTACCGACTTACTGGACTTTTTATTTGACTTTTTAAAAAGAAGCTCTTTAGATAAAATCTCCATAAATACTTAGATAAATTACTGCAATTTTATATTTGCATATGAACAAGTGGAGTTTTGTTGATGCAGGGTTGCATTGGCCTTCACTATCAAAACAAATGTCTCATCTGATCAGCATTTATAAATAGTGAGGTACCAGAATCATTAAGGCTCATAAAGTCTTCCGTTTTTATTTTGGCTATTCTGGTGGTGGGTAACAATATTAACAACAATAAAAATTCATCTTATTTTACTGGAGATTCCTGCAAAGTGGCAGAATACCAGGACAAGGAACCAATTCTGGCACACATGTGTCAAACAAGAAAGCTCTGGGAATGTAATAATGTAATAAAGTGTGGTCGAGAGAGCTCTGGGCTGGAATAGGCATGGGGTCCTTGACACTATCACCTCTGCCAAGACACTTCATGTGTATGGTTTCCCCACCTTTAAGTAAACTCTATTTATGAAGTTCTTTGTAGCTTTAATAGTTTCTAGAGTTGCTTGAATTTGGGGTGACTTCTTGCAAGGGTAATGTGAAGTAGTGTCACATGGACAGTAACGGAGAGGTATCTGCTGCTGCCATTTATATAATAAATCTGAATTTGGAGGCAGAGAAAGGAGGCAGAAAGTTTGGTAAGGACGTTATTGCAACCTGAATAAGCCACTTAGGGCCTAGATCAGTGTTTGGGAATGTGGGAGAAGACAGCCATAGTCAAGAAGCGTGAAGTAGTTAATGTTGAGTTATTTTTAGGTGGTTTTTCTGTTCTTTTTACTCCAGACACTGACTTTCGTAATAAGATAAATAATCTGGTGAGTCGCATGCTCATGGTGTGCTGAGGCATTTAGCCAAGCAGCTTATGCATGTATTATCTCATTTAATTCTGTCACTATGAGGTAGAGATTATCTTTAACCATTGGTTCCAAATGAGAAAGCCCTGTTTGAAATAATTTTTCCAGTGTATTTAAATTTTGTAGGTACACACCTAGAATTTCAAACTGATGGTCTGAGTTCTGAGCCCATCTGTTTAATTCATCCTAATGGGTTATCTTGTGGATATGCTGATTATAGTAAAACAACTTTAAGAATGTGATATACATTATGAGTGATACTTGTGGTTTGAATGGGTTTTTTTAAACAACATGAAAATTTGAAGATATTTTGCATAGATTTGCTTTTGGGTAAAACTTTTTTTTTTTTCATATCTTCTGTAATTAACTTCTTTCCCCCCTTTTTTGAGATGGGGTCTCATTCTGTCACCCAGGCTGGAGTGCAGCTTGATGTATGATCATGGCTTACTGCAGCCTTGGACTCCTGGGCTCCAGCAATCCTCCCACCTTAGCCTCCCAAGTAGCTGGAAGTACAGGAGTGCAACACCATGCCCTGTAGAGACGGAGTCTTGCTGTGTTTCCTAGGCTGATCTCTAACTCCTGGCTTCAAGTGGTTCTCCCTACTTGGCCTCCCACAGTTTGATTAGAGATGTGAACCACTGTGCCCAGCCAAAATTAACTTTTTAATCTATTCTAAATCAAGAAGAAAATAGATGTGTCTTTTCTGGGACTAGTAATGAGAAATTGACAGCATCTGGTTTTTGGCTGTTGTTAAAGTGTGATTATTACTATACTGGTATGCTGATAAAGAGATTGCATGGTAATTTTCATCCTTTCATCTAAAAACATAATATTATAAGGATAGATATTTCCTTAGTATGGGGTGACTTGTGTAGATTACTATCTCATAAATTGGTTCAGATTAGTTTTTAAAAAGGGCAAAATTGTATATTAGTGATATTGCTCAGCTCTTTTTCAAAGGGATAAAGCACTGTAAAGAGAGAATGTGGGGGTAGAAGTCTAATAAAATCCTCACAAATCTGGATCAGTAACAGAAAAGTCAGTTATAGGCCAGGTGCCATGGCTCATGCTTGTAATCCCAGCACTGTGGGAAGCTGAGGCAGGTGGATTGCTTGAGCCCAGGAATTCGAGACCAGCCTGGGCAGCATGGTGAAACCCTGTCTGTACTAAAAATACAAAAAATTAGCTGGGCGTGATGGTGGGTACCTGTAGTCCTAGCTACTTGGGAGTCCAAGGTGGGAGGATTGCCTCAACCCAGGAGGCGCAGGTTGCAGTGAGTCGAGATTGTGCCGCTGCACTCCAGCCTGGGCAACAGGGTGAGAACTTGTCTCAAAAAAGAAAGAAAGAAAAGTCACTTATAATTATGTGGGCTTTAAAAAACCTGACTGATAGTGCTCTGTTTTTAGTTTCACCAAAAGATAGGTAGTACTTCCATCCTCTTTCATGAAACTACAGTATGTCTATTCTCAATGTTTCAAAACCTTGTAAGACTCAGAGGGAAGAAATAGTTTCTCATTAAGAAAAATTTAGTCAACAGTATAATTATGTATTAAGTGCTTCAGGAAAAGCAATGGGGGAAAGTATTTCCTACAGTATTAGGTCTCTCATTAGAGGTGAGCAGAGGGAGTTCCTTCAGCGCAGGACGGGCATTTCTGCAGGTGAAGTGGGATGAGACAACCGGCTATAGCAAGATGTTAGCATATGTAGTTAGCTTATGGAAACATAATTTGAATTGGACATGAGTTTTTGTTTGTTTTTGAGGCAGAGTCTTGCTCTGTTGCCCAGGCTCTATTGCAATGGCACGATCATGGCTCACTGCAGCCTTGAACTCTTGGACTCAAGGAGTTCACCCACCTCAGCAACCCAAGTAGCTGGAACTACAGGTGTGAGCCACAATGCCTTGCTAATTTTTTTTTTTATTTTTTGTAGTGACAGGGTCTCACTTTGTTGCCCAGGCTGGTCTCAAATTCCTGACCTCAAGCAATCCTCCAGCCTTGGCCTCTCAAAGTGCTGGGATTATAGGCGTGAGCACTGTGCCCTGCCTATGAGTTGTTATAGACTGGGTGATTTTGTAGTAGGCAGCAGTTTGTTGTCATTTGCATGTTGTACTTCATGTATGGTTTTCCCAAGTCATTAAATGTACATACTTCTGCAACTTTTTATTTTTTATTTTTTCTGGTGAAAAGATATACATATATTTAGAATTAGCCAGCTGGACTCAGTTTAGATGACCCCAATTTTGTTGGCAACATCCAAAGCATCATAATCAGGAGCTAGTTGAACGTATGCCTCCTTCTCTCCATCAGGCCGAATCAGGGTGTTGACCGGGCCACATCAATGTCATAGAGCTTCTTCACAGCCTGTTTGATCTGGTGCCTGTTGGCTTTAACATCTACAATGAACACAAGTGTCTTGTTGTCCTCGCTCTTCTTCATGGCAGACTCAGTGGTCAGCGGCAACTTGATGATAATATGGTGGTCAAGCTTGTTTCTCCTGGGGGCGCTCTTCTGAGGATATTTGGGCTGCCCCTGGAGTCGCAGTGTTTTGGGCCGCTGGAAGGTGGGTGATGTGTGGATCTTTTTTTTTTCCGGCTGTGGACGCCTTTCAACACTGCTTTCTTGGCCTTCACAGCCTTTGCTTTGGCTTCGGCTTGAGGAGGGGCAGGAGCTTCCTTCTTTGCTTTCGGTGCCATCTTGTGAAAAGGGCTCTGCAGCTTTTAATGTGTACAGTTTCCATGATATGATTGTACCAGATTATAAGATTATGTTGGACATTTGAGTTCTTTCCAATTTATTGCTGTTTTCAGCAGCACTTGATGAATAACTTTGTAGATAAGTTTTTGCAAAGCTTTATGAATATTTTCTTTTGGGATAAATTGCTAGAGGCTCGGGTAAACATTGCCAAACTACCCTTCAGAAAGCCTGAACTTATTTACAGTACACTTATGGTATGGTTTGGCTCTGTGTCCCCACGCAAATCTCATCTTGTAGCTCCTATAACTCCCACATATTGTAGGAGGGACCTGGTGGTAGATAATTGAATCATGAGGCCAGATCTTTCCTGTGCTTTTCTCTTGCTAGCAAATGAGTCTCATGAGATATCTAATAGTTTTAAAAAGGGGATTTTCCCTGCACAAGTGCTCCTCTCTGCCTGCTGCCATCCACGTAAGACTGAGTTGCTCCTCCTTGCCGTCCGCCATGACTGTGAGGCTTCCCCAGCTGCATGGAACTGTTAAATCCAGTTAAACCTCTTTGTTTTGTAAATTGCCCAGTCTCTGGTATGTCTTTATCAGCATTGTGAAAACAGACTAATGCAACTTCTCTCAACATTTCTAGTGGACAGGTTTTCTATGTTCCCTTCTAACATCCTGTTTTGCCAAACTTTTGCAAAGAATTTCATATTGTCTTTTTTCCTAATTCAACCTTTTGTAAGGAACTCTTACAACATTGGTGTAAAGGTATGTCCTTAGCTGGTGGTACAGTAGTTAGAAGTTTTCTCTGGGTTATGGTGATATTGGGAGTAATTGTGTTATAGGATAATCTGGGCTCTCTGTATTTCATAAGATTGTGGTGCCTCACCATCAGTCAGACTGTAGCTTCAGGGCTTTTTTTTCTCTTGGATTGCTTGGTGGTGAAATATCAATACAGCCTTGCCCATTCTGATTAGTGTGTTACATTACTGATAGGGCAGTGTTAAGAGAAATAGGAGAAACCTGAGCCTAAAACATTTCACTGTGAAATTAATTGGTCTCTGAAGTGTTTTGTCTTTGTTTAGGTTTGACGATCGTATGTGGCGAAATTACATTGGTGGTAAATGATAAGCTTGTTATATTGATAACATGGAAGAAAAGTGTTTCTGGTTTCTCTTAGAGAAAATCGATTCCCAGTCCAAGGCACCTGTGAGTCCAAGAGAATGAGAGAAGGTAAGATGTTATTAGTTAGAAACTGACTATACAATTCCAGTTTCTAGTGCAGAGTTGACTTCAGTAGCATTTGATTAGCATCTAACTTCCTTCTTGGGGGAATCAGAAAAGGGACATAGATTAGGCATTAGCTGAACTCAGATTACTGGAAAGTGATTGAGTCAGTTCTATTTTTTATTTTTATTTTTTGAGACAGTCTCACTCCGTCACCCGCTGGAGTGCAGTGGTGCAGTCTTGGCTCATGTCAACCTCCGCCTCCTGGGTTCAAGTGATTCTCATCCCTCAGCCTCTCTAGTAGCTGGAATTGCAGGTGTGAGCCACCACGCCCAGCTGGGTTTGGTTTTTTTTGCATTTTTAGTAGAGCCAGGTTTTCACCATGTTGTCCAGGCTGTTCTTGAAATCTTGACCTCAAATCGTCTACCCGCCTGAGCCTCCCAAAGTGCTGGGATTACAGGTATGAGCCACCATGCCTGGCTTTGAGCCAGTTCTAAGGGAAATTATTCATTTATTTTTGTCAGCTTGTAATATTGCAAATCATAGTATTTTTGAAATAACCTTCCCATGGGAATAGAGTTTATGCCCTTAAAGGGTAGAGTGCTATTATAAAGAGAGATACAAGAAGAGAGGGAGTGGGTGGCATTCCAGAGATCAGGTCTACATGAGTTGCTGCCCAGCCTTCTTGGTTCTCAAACTTGTCGGTCTGGATTGCTGTGTTTAAGGAAAGGGAATAGAACAATATACTCCCTTTCTAAAATTTTTCATTAATTGGCTACCTAACCTATGTTATGCATATTAATTTACTTAACATTTATGAAGTACTTATAATATGCTAGACACTGAAGATACTATGGTCTGAAAGATGGCAAATAATAGAGGAGAAAGAAAATCATAATTGCTATTATTTATGAAGTATTAAGTACAGGCAGTTCTTAAGCATTCGACTTAGTATTTTTCAACTTTAAGATGGTACAAAAGTGATACACACTCAGTAGAAACTGTATTTTGAATTTTGATCTTTTCCTCGGCTAGCAATATGTGGTGTAATACCCTTACATGAGATATTCAACCCTTTTTTTTTGTTGTTTTTTGGAGACAGAGTTTTGCTCTTGTTGCCCGGGCTGGAATGCAGTGGCGCAATCTCACTGCAACCTCTGCCTCCCGGGTTCAAGCGATTCTTCTGCCTCAGCCTCCCGAGTAGCTGGGATTACAGGCATGCACCACCATGCCTGACTAATTCTGTGTTTTTAGTAGAGATAGAGTTTCTCCATGTTGGTCAGGCTGGTCTCAAACTCCTGACCTCTGGTGATCCACCCACCTCAGCCTCCCAAAGTACTGGGATTATAGGTATGAGCCACCACACCTGGCCTCAACACTTTTTTTTTTTTTTTTTTTAAATAAAATAGGCTTTGTTAGATGGCCTTGCCCAACTACAGGCTAATGTAAGTGTTCTGAGCATGTTTAAGGTAGGCTAGGCTATGATGCCCATTAGGTTAGGTGTATTAAGTGCATTTTTGGATTACAATATTTTCAATTTGTGATACATTTATCAGGACTAACACTGTTGTAAGCTGAGGAGCATCTGTATGTACCAGGTACTTAATATTAAGGTGGCCTTTCTAATTCTCATAGAAACCCATGCAAGGTAGGCATTATCCTCTCCATTTTTCTTTAGGGTTAGTGAAGCTAAGTAGCTTGTTCGTCATCACTCAATAACAAAGTGGTTAAAATGGGATACAAGTCCACCATGGGATTGAGTCCCAGATGGGAGTTCAGATGCTGACCAGTGTTAGGATCTAAGTGCAAGTCACTTAACTCCTCTTTTCAAATGTGGACTACAACAGTTCTTATCTCATAGGGCTTTTTTGGTGTGTGTTATGTGACAGATAGGTGAAGTGGTTAGCCCAGTTACTGGCACGTAGTAATAGTTAATAATTATATTAGATCATACTGGCTCAAAAGCCATTAATAGTAGTTACTGCTGGTAGTTGAGTCTTACAAAGCCATTGTTTTCTCCACATGTCTTTATGCAAATCATTAATGACAAGAGCCTAAACTGTGATAGAGAAGGTGTCCCCAGTGTTATGAGAGTATTGAAGAGGAATGGACTGCTAACCTGGACTAGGAGAGTAAGCAGACTTACAAAGATGGTGATCCTTGAGGGGTCTTGAAGCATTATTAGGAGTTAGCTGGTGGGAAAAGATAAAGAGAAGGAAGTGGGTTAGAGGAAAGTCATGGCAAAGCAAAAAGGCCCAGAAATGTAATGACTGTGTGAGGGATAGAGTCCTGAGGGTGAGACATAGGTTAGAAAGATAAGCAGGCCAGATTATGAAGGGTCTTGCATGCCATGGGTTTTTTCCCTAAAGACAGCGGGGGAAGCAGCAGAAGGACTTTTTATTTTGGAATAATTTTAGATTTACAGGAAAGTTGTAAAGATAGTACAAAGAGTTTCCATATACCCTACACCCAGTTTCCCCGTTATTAACATCTTACATTAGTATGGTACATTTGTTACAATTAGTGATTGATTGATTTGTAATTATTACCTGAAGTTCATAATTTATTCTTATGTTCTTAGTTTTTACCTAATACCCCTTTTCTGTTCCAGAATCCCATCGAAGATACCACATTACATTTAGTTGCCTTGTTGCTTTAGGTTCCTCTTGGCTGTGACAGTTTCTCAAGATTTTTCTTGTTTTTGATGATGTTTTAGTTTTAAGAAGTACTAATCAGAAATTTTGCAGGATGTTTCTCAATTGGGATTTGTCTGGCATTTTTCTCATTATTGTACTAAGGTTATGAGTTTGGGGTAGGAAGACCACAGACGTAGAGTGCCATTTCATCCCATCCAAGGGTACATACCATCAACATGACTGATGACTGCTCATGTTGACCAGTGTTGCCTGGCGGAGTACTTTACAGTGGAAACGTCTGAGTTTGTCAGAAGTTTCAGCTGTAAAGTACTCTTCCATCTCCTGCTCCGCCCCTTTCCATACAACCCCCTTTTTTGGAAAGAGGTCACTATGCACAGCCCACACTGAAGGGGAAGGGAGTTATGATCCATATCTCAGGAAGGACTTTTAACGTGGAAAGTGATTTGATCAGAATTATGTTCCAGGGCCAGGCACGGTGGCTCATGCCCATAATTCCAGCACTTTGGGAGGGGAGGCAGGAGGATCAGTTGAGCCCAGGAGTTTGAGGCTGCGGTGAGCTATGGTCATATCACTGCACTCCATCCTGGACAAACAGGGCAAGACCTTGTTTCTTAAAAAAATAAAGAATGGGCTGGGCGTAGTGGCTCACACCTGTAATCCCAGCACTTTGGGAGGCCAAGGCAGGTGGATCAAGTGAGGTCAGGAGTTCGAGACCAGCCTGGCCAACATGGTGAAACCCCATCTCTACTAAAAATATGAAAACTAGCCGGGCGTGGTGGTGGGTGCCTGTAATCCCAGCTGCTCGGGAGGCTGAAGGAGGAGAATTGCTTGAACCCAGGAGATGGAGGTTGCAGTGAGCTGACATGGTACCACTGTGCTCCAGCCTTGGCAACAGAGTGAGACTCTGTCTCAATAATAATAATAATAATGATAATAATAAAAAATAATGAATTGTGCTTCAGAAAGATTGCTCTAGCTAGTGGAGAAACTGAATCTGGGGAGACCGAATTTAGCCTGCAACCTTTAAGACAGGACAAGATGAGAAACCATGAAGTTGGAAACTGAAGGTCAGTGGCAGCAGGGTTGGAGAGCGATGGATTTGAGAAAAGTCGAAGAGATTAGTGGATGGGGCTCAGTGGGTTTTGCAGAGTGTGTGTGCTCGAGTGCTAGTAGCAGATGAGGGGACTCCAAGATGACTTGCCAGCCATATTGCTGGGAGTTGGTGACTATACAAGTGATAGTGTTAATTTTTTTAGGTAAACAAGAAGAAACAGCTTGTTGTTGATAGTGGGAAGGGTGAATGAGAGGGCAATAAGCTGTGTCAAGATGCTTTTTGAGTTGTTCTTGGCTTATATGCGTATTCTGTCTTGAGATAAAGATTTAGAAGTCATTACCATAATAAATGTGGTTTGAGAAATTTGCAGTGTTAGATGTTATGGCATAGGAAGAGTAATTAATACCAGATGAAAAAGAGGAACCCAGGGAACACTGATGTTTAAAAAAGTGGTAGAGAAAACGTGGGGAAAGGTCAACTTTTGTTAAAATCTCTTATTCATGTGGCTGTTTAATTCCTCTACATCACATCCTCTCTTCTGTTCACCCTGGAGGTGTAAAACACTATACCAAAGGACAGAACACACTATACACGTTTAGAACATTTCTTCTGAGGATAGTTACTGCTGCGGTAATGCAGGTACTGTTGTGGTGATGCTAATGAGAATAAATCTTGCTAAAATTAAGAATCAAGACAGCTGAAGACCTATGGAAAGCAATTGACCGAACAGTACTACTTCAGGTCAGGTAAGCAGTGGCAGTACAAGAATGAAGAATGGATTCTTTGTTACCAAGCAATTAACAATCTAGTTGGGTATTTACTGGGTAATACAATACAAAGTAAGCAATGGTAATTGGTTATGTGTATGTCAGTTGTGGCATGATAGTTTCTACCTCGGCTATCTGCTGAAGCCCTTTCTGTCTGTCTTCTCTCCCTGTCCAGCTTTGTTCTTGCCTGCCTTTTTATTTTTTACAGTCCCTCTCCTTTTTTGCAGGGGGGCGGGGCGGTGCTAGTGGGAGTATACATACCCCTCGTTAACCACCTGTGATGTAAGTTAAGATTTTTTTTTAAATGTTTCTGTTTTTTAAAAACAAGTGAATAGAGCATTTATTATCATGGAGGATAAAATCCTCAAAGAAAAAATCTGTTTAGCTTTTAAATTCTTCGTGAAATCGCTAATCTTTGAGGCGAAAAATTTTTTCCCGTAAATTTAGGAGAACATGAGATTTGAGTTTTTAAGGACTTTATAGCGTGCCTATGTTTATTGTAGATTTTAATTCCAGAGAGCTGGTGATTGGAAATCATGGACCTATTTGTTCCAATTTAAACTTTCAGCATTTAAAAAGGAAGAGATAAGAGAGAACCAGACAGGAGGTATATAGTTTGTAGAAAGATACAGATATTTAATGTAATCCCAGCACTTTGAGAGGCTGAAGCGGGCAGATCACCTGAAGTCGGGAGTTTGAGACCAGCCTGACCAACATGGAGAAACCCTGTCTCTACTAAAAATACAAAATTAGCCAGGCGTGGTGGCACATTCCTGTAATCCTATCTACTTGGGATGCTGAGGCAGGAGAATCGCTTGAACCCAGGAGGCGGAGGTTGCAGTGAGCTGAGATCGCGCCACTGCACTCCAGCCTAGGCAACAAGAGTGAAACTCGGTCTGAAAAAAAAAAAAAAGAGAAAAGAAAAGATACAGGTATTGAAATACCAAAGTTGCTTCTGACTTCCTCATTTTATAGAGAGTGAACTGTTGTCAGTTGAGAATTCTTAAGCCATTTAACTTAAATGCTAAAATACTTAATGTGGATATCATGGGGAGGAAAAATGTTCTTTACATTCTTTGGTTTTTGATCATAATGTATGGTGTCTTTAAAATCTAGGCATTGTAGCATAATGGTTAACACCACCGACTCTGTCTTCTGCTGTTTTCATACCTCTTCCTTAAGCTTCGACTCAGCTTCACTGCTCATAGGTGTGATGTTGGGCAGCTTACTTCATCTCTCTGTGCTTTAATTTTCTCATCTATAAAATGGATAGTCGTAAGATTGAAATGAACTAAGGCACGTCAAAGTACACAGTGCCTAGCACATAGTAAGCATTTATAACTGTTACAGCAATAGTAATCATATATACTCTTGCCATTCCCTTTGATTTCTATCTTTTTGATTACCCAACGTCAGAAGCCAAAAATTTTGGAGTCATAAAACGTTTTTTGGTCCCTAACATAATTAAGTTAAATTTACTCATGCGTAGCATCTCAGGATATATTGAAAGTATGGGTGGCCAGTCCATACATTTAAGAATAAGAATTATAAGAATTTAGAGACAGAGCCTTGCTTTGTACCCCAGGCTGGAGTGCAGTGGTGTGACCTCAGCTCACTGCAACCTCTGCCTCCTGGGTTCAAGCAATTCTCCGGCCTCAGCCTCCTGAGTAGCTGGGATTACAGGTGTGTGCCACCATGCCCGACTAATTTTTATATTTTTAGTAGAGACGGGGTTTCACCATGTTGGACAGGCTGGTCTCAAACTCTTGACAGCAAGTGATCTGCCTGCCTTGGCCTCTCCCAAAGTGCTGGGGTTACAGGCATGAGCCACTTCACCCGGCCAGAATTTACCTTTTTAAAAAGCTTTATTTATTATCTTTTTGAGTCCTACTGATGAGTAATTTGGAGTTTCATGTGTCCTTTTTATATAGGTATTAGAGTATGACAATGACATCTATAATGGGATAGAATTTAAATTTTAAAGCAAACCAAACAGCTGTCCTATTTATGAGTGCTAACTTAAAGATGGTTTGATAACATGAAGGTAACGGTACTATGAATGTGAATGTAATGACCCTATATATACACAATAAATATACACAATATATATACAGTTCTCTGTTTATACTTTTCAGCTTCAGTTTTCTTGTTCTGAATTTAAGCAAGAAGGTAGCATTTAATTCATAGCTTATTGTGCTACTCCTGTTTTCATACCTCTTCCTTAAGCTTCTGGTAAAATTAAAACATTTCAAGTAGAGTTTAGGATTGTAGAAAACAAGGCATGTTGTTAAAACCTGTAATTGTGAGCGTGTCTTAAAATGACAAGATTATTATATATATATATATATTTATTTATTTTACTTATTTATTGATTGATTTTGAGATGGAGTCTTGCTCTTGTCGCCCAGGCTGGAGTGCAGCGGTGTTGTCTCAGTTCACTGCAACCTCTGCCTCCCGGGTTCAAGCAATTCTAGTGCCTCAGCCTCCCAAGTAGCTGGGATTACAGGCACCTGCCACCATGCCTGGCTAATTTTTGTATTTTTAGTAGAGATGGGGTTTCACCATGTTGGCCAGGCTGGTCTTGAACTCCTGACCTCAGGTGATCCACCCATCTTGGCCTCCCAAAGTGCTGGGATTGCAGGTGTGAGCCACCGCACCCAGCCCTATCTTATAATTATTGATAGCAAGAAAAGCATATTCACCATTTGTTTCAGTTCTCATTGTTTTCGCTTCCCCTTCTGTGTTTATCCATTTGGCCATTCTCTTTCTTGTGTTCATCTTTCTGTTCTGACTCAGGTCATTGAGGATATGGTTGGACCCTGAATGGTAGAAACACAACTCCCTCTTCCCCTCGACTCCACAGACTTAATGTGATTTTTTAGGGTATAGGGGAGGGGGTTATGAGAATGTGGGAACCCAAGCAGGTGTTCTAATGGCTGTGGAGTAACCTGTCTTCTCCTTCCAGTTAGTTTCTGTGTTTTGTTTGTTTGTTTGTTTTAAAGAGACAGGGTCTCTCCCTCTGTCGCCCAGGCTGGAGTGCAGCAGGGTGATCATAGCTCACTACAGCCTTGAACTCTTGGGCTCAAGCAATCCTTTAGCCTCACCCTCTGAAGTAGCTGGGACTACAGGTGCTTACCACCATATCTGGCTAACTTTTAAAAACTTTCAGAGATAGGGTCTCACTGTGTTGCCCAGGCTGGCCTTGAACTTCTGGCCTCAGCTGATCCTCCCACCTCAGCCTCCTGAGTAGCCTTGCTTTTTAAATAACAGCTTTACTACAATAAAATTAACAAAACACGCAGTTCACTTATTTAAAATATGCAAAATTCAGTGGTTTTCGGTATATTCAGAGTTGTGTAACTATCACCACAAATCAAATTTAAAACATTTTATCATCCCATGAAGAAATGCTGTACCTGTTAGCAGTGGCACCCTGTTATTTCAAATGCCCTACAGCCTCTGGCAATCACTAATCATCTTTCTGTCTGGACGGTTCATGTAAATAAAATCATACAATAGGCTGTGGATTTTTGTGCATGTGACTGGCTGCTTTCACTTAGCATAGTGTTTCAAGTTTCATACTGAGCATGTGTTAGTGTTTTATTTTCATGGCAGTATAAAGTTCTGTCATATAGACATACTGCATTTTTTTATTCAATCGGTTGATGGGCATTTGGGTTGTTTCTACCTTTTAGCTGTTGAGTAATGCTGCTATGAAAATTTATATACAAATTATTATGTGGATATATGTTTTTATTTCTTTGGGCTGTATACCTAGGAGTGGATTTTCTGGGTTATATGATAATTTTTTTTCTTTTTTGAGATGGAGTCTCGCTCTGTTGCCCAGTCTGGAGTGCAGTGGTGCGATCTCGGCTCACTGCAAGCTCCACCTCCTGTTACGCCATTTTCCTGCCTTAGCCTCCCGAGTAGCTGGGACTACAGGCGCCCGCCACCACACCCAGCTAATTTTTTTTTGTATTTTTAGTAGAGACGGGGTTTCACCATGTTAGCCAGGATGGTCTCCATCTCCTGACCTCATGATCCGCCCGCCTCGGCTTCCCAAAGTGCTGGGATTACAGGTGTGAGCCACCACGCCCGGCCTCTGGGTTATATGATAATCTTTTGAGGAATGGCACCATTTTATATTCCCAACATTTTAGCCAAATAATCTGACTAAAAACAGGCAAAAGAGCTGAATAGACATTTCTCCAGGGAAGATACTCAGATGGCCAATAAACTTATCCAATATGCTCAACCTCTTTATTCAGGGAAATGCAAATCAAAACCACAGTGAGAGACTACTTCACACCTGCTGGCTAGAATCAAAAAGTCAGATAATAACAAGTGTTGGTGAGGATGTGTAGAAATTGGAACTCTCATACCCTGCTGGTGGGAATGTAAATGTAAATTGCTGTTCTGCTCCCAAACAGTTGACAAGTAAAATATAGCATTATAGAGTGAGAAATAACTCAGAGTTTCAGAGTAGAACTGAAAATATACTAGAAGAGTATTTTCCTTAGTGTTGGACTAGATGATTTTAAATTTGAACACAGACATTGTATCAGGTAACATCAAATCATACAGTGAAGGGTTTCTCACAATGTACACAAAATAGTATTTGTCTGCTTAACACTGGGATTTGCAAAGAACAGTGAAATATTACAGTGTTACAAAGCAAGATCTTCCTCTCTTTAAATGCCTGTTAACCTGATTTTAAGAATATCTTTATTGTATACATCTTATTCTTTAAATGTACCCCATAACTAATAGTACCAATTTTATGTTTTCAACATTTAAGTTATGATATTATACATTTCCTTTAACTTGCTTTTTCTATTCAAACTGGTTGATAGCTGTAGATCTGATTTTGTTTTCTATATTTAATTCCCTTGAAGTCACATACCACGGTTTATCCAATCCCTGATTTTTTTTTTTTTTTTTTTTAAGACAGAGTCTCCCTCTGTGGCCCAGGCTGGAGTGCACTGGCAGGATCTCGGCTCACTGCAAGCTCCGTCTCCTGGGTTCACGTCATTCTCCTGCCTCAGCCTCCTGAGTAGCTGGGACTACAGTCGCCCACTACCATGCCCGGCTAATTTTTGTATTTTTAGTAGAGACGGGGTTTCACTGTGTTAGCCAGGATGGTCTCGATCTCCTGACCTTGTGATCCGCCCGCCTTGGCCTCCCAAAGTGCTGGGATTACAGGCGTGAGCCATGGCTCACGTGAGACAGAGTTTCACTCTTTTTGCCCAGGCTAGAGTGCAATGGCACGATCTCGGCTCACCGCAACCTCCGCCTCCCGGGTTCAAGTGATTCTCCTGCCTCAGCCTCCCAAGTAGCTGGGATTACAGGCATGTGCCACCATGCCTGGCTAATGTTGTGTTTTTAGTAGAGACAGGGTTTCTCCATGTTGCTCAGGCTGGTCTCGAACTCCCGACTTCAGGTGATCCGCCCGCCGCCGCCTCGCCAAGTGCTGGGATTACAGGGGTGAGCCACCGCGCCCAGCCCCCGTTGATGTATTTTAAAGATTTTCCTCTATTTTTGTCCTATAGACGATTCTGTAGTAACTATCTATGTTATTATGTAGATAGGGTTCTTCAGATAAACAGAACTACTAGAATATGTATGGGTGTATCTATGTGTACATATATTCAGAGATTTATTTTAAGGAATTGGTTTATGTAGTTGTAGGGGCCTGACGAGTCTGAAATCTGTGCAGGCCTATAAGAAGGAGTTAGGGCCTTAGTCTCAACTTCTGGAAAAATCTCAATTTCTGCTCTTATGACCTTTAGGTGAACTGGATAAGGCCCACCCACATTATGGAGGGTAATCAAGAGATTATAGATGTTAACCATATCTACTAAATACTTTTCACAGTAACACCTAGATTAATGTTTGATTAAATAACTGGCTACTAGAGTCTAGCCAAGTTGACACAGAAAACTAAGCAACACACTGTCCTTCCATGTGCACCAGAGACTTTCAGACTTTAAAAAACCTCCACCAATAGTTTATACACATACTTAATGAAACCATATGCTGATGTTTTCTGTTCTTATTCTTTTTTTTAAAATGCTGATTAGGAACCCAAAATTCAATGTGAGTAGATCTGACCAGCAATTTGAAAAACATTGCATATATATGTAGTCTAGAAATGGAATTGCTGGCTTGCAAGGTATCCACACGTCCACTTTACTATACATTGCCAGTTTTTTTCTCTGAAGTAGTTGAACCACTGTACAGCCCTACTAGCCGTGTGAATAAACCTTCTTTCTTACCCCCTTGATGGCAACTGGTAATTGCAGTTTCCTTGTAGACCTAATTATTCCAGATAGGTCTGGGCTTATTTTTTAAGGTCTTTAAAACTTGATAAAAATCGACTTTAGGCCGGGCACGGTGGCTCATGCCTGTAATCCCAGCACTTTGGGAGGCCGAGGCGGGCGGATCATGAGACCATCCTGGCTAACACGGTGAAACCCTGTCTCTACTAAAAATACAAAAAATTAGCAGGGCGTGGTGGCAGGCGCCTGTAGTCCCAGCTACAGGCTGGGGCAGGAGAATGACATGAACCCGGGAGGCGGAGCTTGCAGTGAGCCAAGATCTGCACTCTAGCCTGGGCGACAGAGCAAGACTCCACCTCAAAAAAAAAAAAAAAAAAAAAAAAGTCAACTTTAAACAAAGAGACCTGCCTGTGTTGGCACCTTCAGCAAATATTAGTATCTACCCAGAAATTAATGACATTTCTTTATTTTCATTGTATTTATATTTTTTGATTTACATATAGCAAAACTGAATAATTTTTGGTGCACATTTTTGTGAGTGTTAAGACATGTATACAATACTCCTCCCTTATCCATGAAAGGTATGTTTCAAGACCTCTGGTGGATGCCTGAAACTGTGGGTAGTACTGAACCCTATATATATACTATGGTTCTTCCTATGCATACATACCTATGATAAAGATTAATTTATAAGTTAGACACACTGAGAGATCAACAACAAAAAATAATAAAATGAACAATTATAACAATATGCCAACATCGCCAATACTTTGGGGCTGTTAGTAAGTAAAATACAGGGGACTTGAACACAAATGCTGCGATGCTATGACAGTCCAGCTGATAACTAAGATGACCCAAGTGACTAATGGGCACATAGCACCTACAGAGGGGATGTGGTGCACAAATGGATGATTCAGGTACTATTCCTGGAATTTTCATTTGAATGTTTTCAGACCACAGTTGATCATGGGTAACTGAAATCACAGAAAGCAAATTCCAATGCGGGGCACCACTGGAGTTTCATATACCACCACCACAATTAGGATACCAAAGAGTTCCAGCTCCTCCAAAAGCTACCTCAGACTTTCTTAAGCTTCCTCACACTTCTAGACCCTGGAAACCTTGGATCTATTCATTATCCCTGTACTTTTGCCTTTTTCAGAGTGTCGTATGAATGAACTTGTACTGGCTTCTTTCACTCACTGTAATGCTTTGGAAGTAGGTCTAGGTTGTTGAATATATTAGTAGTTCACTATTTTTGTTGCTGTGTACTGTTCCAGTATATGGATGTACTACAGTTGGTTTATCCATTTACGCATTGAAAACATCTGAATATTTCACAGTTTTTTTTTTTTTTTTTCCCCAAGGCAGAAGAATTTTTCTTAGTACAGAACAAAATGAAAAGTCTCCCATGTCTACTTCTATCCACACAGACCCGGCAACCATCCGATTTCTCAATTTTTTCCCCACCCTTCCCGCCTTTCTATTCCACAAAACCGCCATTGTCATCATGGCCCATCCCCAATGAGCCGCTGGGCACACCTCCCAGACGGGGTCGTGGCCGGGCAGAGGGGCTCCTCGCTTCCCAGTAGGGGCGGCCGGGCAGAAGCGCCCCTCACCTCCCGGATGGGGCGGCTGGCCGGGCGGGGGGCTGACCCCCCCACCACCCTCCCGGACGGGGCGGCTGGCCGGGCAGAGGGGCTCCTCACTTCCCAGTAGGGGCGGCCAGGCAGAGGCGCCCCTCACCTCCCGGACGGGGCGGCCGGCCGGGCGGGGGGCTGACCCCCCCACCTCCCTCCCGGACAGGGCGGCTGGCCGACCCCCCCCCACCTCCCTCCCGGACGGGGCGGCTGGCCGGGCAGAGGGGCTCCTCACTTCCCAGTAGGGGCGGCCGGGCAGAGGCGCCCCTCACCTCCCGGACGGGGCGGCTGGCCAGGTGGGGGGCTGATCCCCCCACCTCCCTCCCGGACGGGGCGGCTGGCTGGGCGGGGGGCTGACCCCCCACCTCCCTCCCGGACTGGGCGGCTGGCCGGGCGGGGGGCTGACCCCCCCCACCTCCCTCCCGGACGGGGCGGCTGGCCGGGCAGAGGGGTCCTCACTTCCCAGTAGGGGCGGCCGGGCAGAGGCGCCCCTCACCTCCCGGACGGGGCGGCTGGCCGGGCGAGGGGCTGACCCCCCACCTCCCTCCTGGACGGGGCGGCTGGCCGGGCGGGGGGCTGACCCCCCCACCTCCCTCCCGGACGGGGCGGCTGGCCGGGCAGAGGGGCTCCTCACTTCCCAGTAGGGGCGGCCGGGCAGAGGCGCCCCTCACCTCCCGGACGGGGCGGCCGGCCGGGCGGGGGGCTGACCCCCCACCTCCCTCCCGGACGGGGCGGCTGGCCGGGCAGAGGGGCTCCTCACTTCCCAGTAGGGGCGGCCGGGCCGAGGAGCCCCTCACCTCCCGGACGGGGCGGCTGGCCGGGCGGGGGGCTGACCCCCCCCCACCTCCCTCCCGGACGGGGCGGCTGGCCGGGCAGGGGGCTGACCCCCCCTCCCCCCTCCCGGACGGGGTGGCTGGCCGGGCAGAGGGGCTCCTCACTTCCCAGTCGGGGCGGCCGGGCAAAGGAGCCCCTCACCTCCCGGACGGGGCGGCTGGCCGGGCAGGGGGCTGACCCCCCCCCCACCTCCCTCCCGGACGGGGTGGCTGCCGGGCGGAGACGCTCCTCACTTCCCAGACGGGGTGGCTGCCGGACGGAGGGGCTCCTCACTTCTCAGACGGGGCGGTTGCCAGGCAGAGGGTTTCCTCACTTCTCAGACGGGGCGGCCGGGCAGAGACGCTCCTCACCTCCCAGACAGGGTTGCGGCCCAGCAGAGGCGCTCCTCACATCCCAGACAGGGCGGCGGGGCAGAGGTGCTCCCCACATCTCAGACGATGGGCGGCCGGGCAGAGACGCTCCTCACTTCCTAGATGGGATGGCGGCGGGGAAGAGGCGCTCCTCGCTTCCTAGATGGGATGGCGGCCGGGCAGAGACGCTCCTCACTTTCCAGACTGGGCAGCCAGGCAGAGAGGCTCCTCATATCCCAGACGATGGGGGGCCAGGCAGAGACGCTCCTCACTTCCCAGACGGGGTGGCGGCTGGGCAGAGGCTGCAATCTCGGCACTTTGGGGGGCCAAGGCAGGCGGCTGGGAGGTGGAGGTTGTAGCGAGCTGAGATCACGCCACTGCACTCCAGCCTGGGCACCATTGAGCACTGAGTGAACGAGACTCCGTCTGCAATCCCGGCACCTCGGGAGGCCGAGGCTGGCGGATCACTCGCGGTTAGGAGCTGGAGACCAGCCCGGCCAACACAGCAAAACCCCGTCTCCACCAAAAAAAAAAACGAAAACCAGTCAGGCGTGGCGGCGCGCGCCTGCAATCGCAGGCACTCGGCAGGCTGAGGCAGGAGAATCAGGCAGGGAGGTTGCAGTGAGCCGAGATGGCAGCAGTACCGTCCAGCTTTGGCTCGGCATCAGAGGGAGACCGTGGAAGGAGACCGTGGAGAGAGAGGGAGACGAGAGGGAGAGGGAGAGGGAGAGCTGTTTCACAGTTTTTGATGATTGTGAATAACGCTGCCTATGTGTGCAGGTGCTTTTTTTTGTTTGTTTGTTTTGAGGTGGTGTCTCGCTCTGTCGCCCAGGCTGGAGTGCAGTGGCGCGATCTTGGCTCACTGCAAGCTCCGCCTCCTGGGTTCAAGCCATTCTCCTGCCTCAGCCTCCTGAGTAGCTGGGTCTGCAGGCACACACCACCACACCTGGCTAATTTTTGTATTTTTGTGGAGATGGGGTTTCACAGTATTGGTCAGGCTGGTCTCGAACCCCTGACCTCAGGTGATCCTGAGCCTCCCAAAGTGCTGGGATTACAGGCGTGAGTCACTGCTCCCAGCCTGTGTGCAGGTTTTATTGTGAACATATGCTAATTCTGTAGGGTATATGGCTGAACAGTGGGGTTGCTAGATCAGTCATTTGGTAAATATAATTATGTCTTTGTAAAAAACTGCAAAACTTTCCCAGAATGGCTTTATAATTTTGCATTTACACCAGCAGTGTATGAGAATTTCAGTTGTTCCCATTCTTGTCAGCACTTTGTAGTGTTGATGCCTTTTATTTTAGACAGCCTAACAGGTAAATAATGGTTTCTCATCATGGCTTTAATTTACATTTTCCTAATGGCTAATGATGTAGAGCATCTTTTCATCTAATATACCCCCTTTATATCTACTTTGGCGAAGTGACTGTTCAAATCTTTTGGCCATTTTAAAAAAATTGTGTTATTTTCCTTATTGTTGACTTTGAAAGTTCTTTATGTATTCTGGATAGAAGTCCTTTGTTGCATATGCGATATGCAAATATTTTCTTACAGTCCGTAGTGTATCTCAACAGTGCCTTTTGCAGAGCAAAAGTTTTTAAATTTTATTTTTAGTATACCATTAAAAAATGTTTGGTGGATTGTGATTTTGGTACTGTATCTAAGATCTCCTTTCCCAATCCAAGGTCAAAAAGATTTCCATGTGTTTTTCTTTAGAAATTCTATAATTTTTCAGTTTTACACTTAGTTCTGTCATCTGTTTTGAGATAATTTTGAGGTATGGATCCAAATTTTTTTAAAAAAATGTTTGTTTTGTTTTTGCATGTGAATATTCATTTGTTCCTGCATCATTTGTTGAAAAGATTATTATTTTTGGCTTGATTTTGCCTTCGTGCCTTTATGGAAAATCATTTGATCCTGTATGTGTGGTTCTGTTTTTGGACTCTATTCCATTTATTTCCCTTTTTTTTTCTTTTTTTTTTTTGAGACAGAATCTCGCTCTGTCACCCAGGCTGGAGTGCAGTGGTGCAATCTTGGCTCACTGCAAGCTCCGCCTCTCGCGTTCACGCCATTCTCCTGCCTCAGTCTCCCGAGTAGCTGGGACTACAGGCGCCCGCCACCACGCCCGGCTAATTTTTTGTATTTTTAGTATAGACGGGGTTTCATCATGTTAGCCAGGATGGTCTTGATCCCCTGACTTCATGATCCTCCTGCCTCGGCCTCCCAAAGTGCTGGGATTACAGGCGTGAGCCACTGCACCTGGCCTTTTCTCTGTCTTTATGCCAATACCATACATTCTTGATTACTGATTTTTTGTAATTAGTCTTGATTTAGATAGTGTAAGTCTTCCAACTTTGCTCTTTTTCAAAATTGCATTGGCTGTCTCATTTACTTTGCCTTTCTTTATGAATTGTAGAATATTTATCAATTACGGCAAAAGAAGGTGCTACAATTTTGATTGGAGTTGCATTGAATCTTTAGAGCAGTTTGGGAAGAATGCCTTCTTAATAATAAGTCTATATCTATGATCTATTTCTTCATCTTCTTAGATCATCTTTAGTTTCTCTCAGCAGTGTTTTGTAGTTTTCAGTGTACACATCTTACTTTATCCCTAAGTTATTTCATATTTGATGCTAATGATCTTTAATTTTGATTTTTGATTTTTTTTTTATTGCTGGTATATAGAAATAGAATTGACTATTTACTATTAATATTATTTCCTACAACCTTACTAAACTTGTTTATTCTGGTACCATTTTGTAGATTCTACAAAATGTAGATTTTCTACACAGATAATCGTGCAGTTTTGATTGTACCTTTCCACTGTGGATGCCTTTATTTTTGTTTTACTTTAGACTTTTATTGGAAATACAGCAGGACTTATTTGTCTTTGTATTCCCTTTGGGGTCCCTCCCCACACATACCTTTGATGACTTTTGTTTTAGATTCTTTGTAGCGTTAGCATTGTTCTGAAGTCAGAACTATGTATATATCTATAAAAAAGGTATACTTGGGCTGGGCGTGGTGGCTCACACCTGTAATCCCAGCACTTTGGGAGGCCAAGGCAGGCAGATCATGAGGTCAGGAGTTCGAGACCAGCCTGGCCAATATGATGAAACCCCGTCTCTACTAAAAATAAAAAATTAGCTGGGTGTGGTGGTGCACACCTGTAGTCCCAGCTACTCAAGAGGCTGAGGCAGGAGAATTGCTTGAGCCTGGGAGGCAGAGGTTGCAGGGAGCCAAGATCACACCACTGCACTCCAGCCTGCGTGACTGAGTGAGACTGTCTCAAAAAAGAAGGTAAACTCAAAGGCGGTCACTCCATCTTTTTTGTCATATTTCTTTCTCATCTACATCCTCTTCCCATCTGCAACAGAAATTCAACTTTTAATTTTACCTAATTCATACTTTTCACACTTTGGGTCCTTTTCACTATTCTGTTACGGTTCTTTAAAGTAACTGCCTCTCAGATTTTACTAAAAATGTAAAATTTCCTCTTTATGAAACCTAGAACACATTGGTAGACAAAATTAAAGATGGGAGATCTGGTGGTATCATAAAAGAAGAAATTCGTCAACCAGACTGTGGGTTTCCTAGATTTTTGTTTATAGTAGGTTGTATGTTATATTTAGTTGCATTTTTCCCCCTAGAGTTTAGGTTCCATAACTTTCATCATATTTTCAGAGTAATTTATTTAAAGGAAAAAAAGTGGCCAAAATTAACCTTTAGAATGAATAAGTCTGGGCCTAACCAGTGTGAAGGTATGGTCACTGAACCTCCTGTTTCTCGAGTCTTTGCCTTCTGAAGATATGTGTATTGTAATAGATGACAGCCGCTTGCGGTTAATTCAGTAATACATGTCAGCTCCACCCCTGGCACTTTTAAACCTTTTGGCCTACTATTTTGCAAAACAGATTTTTAAGAATTAGTATGCATTTTAGAAGTTTCCTTTCAGGTTAAACTTTTTAAATAGTTATTCTTTAATAATGCTGTTAAAAGAATTTTGGGATTTCTATTGCCAAGTCACTAAAAAGTAACTCAGGCAGAGAAGGGTAAGGGTGCTGCAAGCACACATGAAGAATTAACATTTTAAAAGAACCTTTGAGCACCTTGGCACCTGTGGATTTCTTCTTGGATGTCTCATGCCTAAAAGCAGAGCAGCATACTGTAAAATCAGTAAAAGTAGGAAAGGACTTGCAAGTAGAAATGTTTCAGCAGACTCTCGCCTCCCCCATCTCCATCCTCACTCTGATGTTAAGTGTGGGGCCCATTGGGCCAGATACAGGTAAAAAGGTGGGTGATGTCATTAAAAGGTATTGTTACTTATAGCTTATTATATGTGTTAAATTTTAATAAGAATTTTCTTTTTTCTTTCTCCCAAGCCAAACTGGCAAGACGCAGTCAAGAACGGGACAATCTTGGCATGTTGGTCTGGTCACCCAATCAAAATCTGTCAGAAGCAAAGTGTAAGTCTTGGAGCACTTTATTTTCCACCTTTCTTGTTTAATGTAAGGTTTTAAAGGTACCTTTGAAGGTAAAAGCTTCTATATGTATTAAATTTCTTTTCTATTTTAAGATAAATAATTTAAAGAGTTTTAAAGTGTATATTTCTTTTTTTAAAATTTTTTATTTTTTGAGATGGATTCTGGCTCTGTTGCCCAGGCTGGAGTGCAGCAGCACGATCTGGGCTCACTGCAATCTCTGCTTCCTGGGTTCATGTGATTCTCCAGCCCCAGCCTCCTGAATAGCTGGGATTACAGGCACCCATTACCACACCCAGCTAATTTTTGTATTTTTAGTAGAGATGGGGTTTTGCCATGTTGGCCAGGCTGGTCTCAAACTCCTGACTTCAGGTGATCCGCCTGCCATGGCCTCCCAAAATGTTGGGATTACAGGTGTGAGCCACTGCGCCCTGTGATCTGTTCCATTTTTGAACATGTTCTTTCTTACAGAGCACTAAAAATCTGCCTCCCTGTAATTTGTAAAAGCTTTGTTTTCCTGAACTTTGCTAAATAAGTTTGCTTCCATATGTGTCCTTTAAATGTTCAGTCATCGTATCTCCTTTACTGTCTGAGTCCAAGCTAGTTGCTTCAGGTGCCTTTTCAGATGGTTTTTTTGGGGATCTCTTTTCATCTCCTGTTGTCCTTCTAAGTGTGTTCCAGTTGGCCACAATGTCCATCTTAAATTGTACTCAGAACTGAATATGAAGAATACTGAGCATTTTTTGAACCTTTATGCCAGCACAGTACTAAAATGTTTTTCATACTCCTGTATCATTCAGTGTTCACAGTAACCCAGGAGGAAGATTTTTTCTCTGTTTTACAGATGGCATCCCATAGTTCAAAGAGTCAGAGGGTTGTAAAAGTAGCACAGATAGTGAGTGGCGGAACCCCAAGTAGTTCACTCCTGGGTCATAATCTCACTTATTTCTCAGGCTGTGTTCATTTAGCCTGTTAGCCACTATCTTTCTGTTATTACAGTTTAAAGTTGTATTAGTCACTTTTCCTATTGTATTGCTTATTGGAGTCTTTGGAGTCAGAATTTAATTTTAATGTTATCTTATTTTTCATAGACCTAGAAGAAAAGGGCAGAATATGTAAAGTTAATTGATTTTTAAACAGTGGTGTTGCCTATAAAATAAATTTACAGTTTTATTGTAAGCCCTGATTACAATCGTTTTAAGTTTAAAGTTGGTTAAAACTTTAAACTTTAAAAAAACTAACCTGTCCACTGAGGCTCCCAGTGGACAGCGAGCTCGGCTTGTGGCTGAGACACACTTGAGCCAGGCCAGAGGCATAGGAGGACCAAATTTGACAGATATCAATACACGATTCTTACTGAGGCCTTTGAAACGGACCCTTGTCCTGGAATTACTGTCAGAAAAGAACCGGCCAGAAAAACAGACTCCCGAGCCACGAGTCCAGGTTTGGTTTCAGAATTGGAGAGGTGGAGCACGGAAAAGAAGCCAGAGCAGCGCCAGCGTGGAGGCCACCTGGGCGCAGGTCCCCCCGATCCCAGACCCTGGTCAGCCTGGGGTGCTGACCCCTACTGTTCCACCAGCGGGGCTTCCCCGGGGGTCCCAAGCAATGTGGGCAACTTCTCTTGGGAATCGGAGGATGCTTTGGGCCAAGCTCTCCTCTGGGGGCGCGCTGATGTTCCGTGCGCGAATGTGGCCCCCGCTGACCTGGAGATGGCAGCCAGTGCGCTCGGCCACGCTTAGGGAGATGTCCCTTGATCTCCGCCCTCGGGCCCAGTGCTGCTTCCGGGTCCCTCTTGCCACCAGCCCTTCCCACAGCTGGAAGCTGGCAGTGCTGGGCCTCAAGTTCATCCCGGGGCACCCGGCCTGCTCCCCATACACCAGTCCCTAGCTCTGCGGGGGCTGGGGCTGCACCCTCCTGCTGTGGAGCAGCAGCCGAGGTGGGGCTGGCAGCTGGGGGAGGCGCCTGGGTGCGCCGTGACCTGGGAGCAGCCCTCTCCGCCCCAGCCCCCGCAGCTCTGACCGTATCCCGCCTCTCTGCCTCTTTCCTGGCCATAGTCACAGCCACAGCCATCGCAGGACCCGGCTGAGCGCTAGGAACAGGTTCCTTGTCTTCCTCCAGAATCCAACTCGCACGGGAGGCCCCAGCACCCCTGCCCCCAACCCGCTGCGGAGTCTGAACCTCAAGCGGCTGCATAGCAAACCCGTGGAAATGACCTGTCAGTGTCAGGCAGTGGAAGACAGATGAACTAAGCAAGGGCTCATCGGTAGTGTTCACGTTATGAAAATTGAAGAGAAATATCAAGATTTATTTACTTTGTCACGGAAGGGCTTCCAGACATACCTTTCAGGGAAATCGAGTTGTTAGGGTGGAAGGGCCTTGGGGTGCATGAGACCTAGGGGTTTTCCTTAGATGGCATAAAAAAGGATTGACTTTATAGAATACATCTGTCTTTCCATTTATTAACCGAGTAAACACGGAGCACTGAGAGTGAACAAAGTCCACTAGCGAGAAGGCAGGATGAGGACGGCTTTGTAGAAATGCATTATTTTCTATCAGGAAAGAGCAATGATTTCTACTCTGGGAAAAAAACAAAACAAACACTTACCTAAAAGTAATATTTACATATTGTTGAAAGTTCATAGATAAAAGTATAAAGAATAAAAAAAATTCACCTATTATTCCATCACCCAGAGGTGATAATCGTTAAACATTTTGGGGTATTTCTTCCAATTTTTTTTGTATGTATTTATATAAGTGAGATGATAGATTATCTGTGTGTGTGTATGTGTGTATTGTCTTCCTGAGCATCGGACCTAAGCAGTTTCCACGTTGTTAAAACTGCTTATAAAGGTTTTAAATAACTAGGTGTAATACTTTATTACATGGATATGTCAGTATGTTTAACAATTACTCTATTGAAAATTTAGGTGTCTCAGTTTTGGAAGAATATGGAAGTCTTGGTTGTCCAGCATTTATTCTGACATTAAGTAGAAATAAGTGATTTAGGACATATTTCTAGCAGATACTAAAAAACTGTGTATAGGATGTCTGGAGATCCCTGGCTTTTCTTGTGTGTGTGTGTGTGTTTTTTTTTTCCTCTTCTTTTCAAAGTGGCTGTTCAGAGTTCTGCCTCTTAGGGTTACTGAAAGCTTATAAAGTTATGTTGTAATTATAAAAATAAATGCTATTTTAGAAAATTCAAATAGTACATAATGCATAATATATAATTGTTTTCCACAAAATGTGAACTGTTATCAGTCTGCTCATAAGTACATCTGGGACTTTGTTTCATCTCAGTATATCTACAGTTATCTAATTTTTTTTTACTGTAACTAGTATGGATGTATCATAATTTAGCCTTTTTTTAAACAAAATTACCTGTATTACCTATTGATGAATATTTATAATCTTAGTTCTTTTTTTAAACTCTGTTTTTTAAAAAACCTGATCCGTAGAATGACTCTAGTTTAACATTAATGAATTGTACATTTCTTTTTTTTTTTTTTGAGACAGAGGTTTATTCTTATTGCCCAGGCTGGAGTGCAGTTGTGCGATCTTGGCTCACTGCAACCTCCACCTCCTGGGCTCAAGAGAGTCTCCTGCCTCAGCTTCCCAAGTAGCTGGGACTACACACGCAGGCCCCTGCACCTGGCCTTGAATTGTACATTTCAGAATAGCTAGAAGAGGGCTGAGTGCGGTGTCTCACCCCTGTAATCCCAACAGTTTGAGAGGCTGAGGCGAGCTGATCACTTGAGCTCAAGAGTTTGAGACCAGTCTGGGCAACATGGTGAAACCCCATGTCTCTCAAAAAGTCCAAAAGTTAGCTGGGTGCGTGGCATGTGCCTGTAGTCCCAGCACTTGGAGGCAGAGATGAGGATGCTTGAGCTCAGGAGTTCAAGACCAGCCTGGGCAACATAGATCTCCCCTCTATTAAAAAAAAACGGGGAGGCGGGGGCTAGAAGAGAATAATTTTGAATGTTCCTAATATAGAGAAAATGTAAATATTTAGGATTATGGATATCCCAGTTACCCTGATTTGATTATATGAATGTATCAAATTATCACATGTACCCTGGAAATATGTACATCTGATATGTATCAGTAAAATAAAATACATACATTTTAAGAGAGGATCTTGGCTCTGTTGTCCATGCTGGAGCTCAGTGGCACAGTCATAGCTCACTGCAGCCTTGAACTCCTGGGCTCAAGCTGTCATTTTAAAAAAAGCAATAGTGAAGATTTTTGCCCCTTAATACATTTCTTATTTTCTTGTTTAAAATAGATTTTATATTTTAGAGACATTTTAGCTTCACAGCTAAATTGAGCAGAAGGTACAGAGTGCCCATTTATCTTCTGCCCCCACACACCCACACCCTCCCCCAGTGTGAACATCCTGCGCTGGAGTCCACCAAAGGGATACGTTTGTTACAATCAAGCAGCCTACAGTGACACATTCTTATCACCCGAAATTCATAGTTTACATTAAGCTTCACTCTTGTGTTGTATGTTCTGTGGATTCCGACAAATGTATAATGACCTGTCCACCAATGTAGTTATCATCGTTTCACTGGTTTAAGAAACCTCTGTGCTCCACCTGTTCATCTCCCTCTCTGCCTCCTAAACCCTGGCAACTGTTGATCGTTTTACTGTTTCTGTAGAATGCCTTCCAGCTGGAATCATATAGTATGTAGCCTTTTCAAATTGGCTTCTTTCACTTAGCAATATGCATTTAAGGTTCCACTGTCTCTTTTCATGGCTGGATAGTTCATTTCTTTTTAGTGCTGAATAATATACCGTTGTCTAGCTATGCCACAGTTTATCTGGTGTATTGTCATGCTAGGAACCCCTCTCCCACCCCCACATTACAAACAGACTGATGTCTTCTGTCGTCTTCTCCTTTTTTACATCGTTGTTTCAACTGAAATTATTGGATTATATTTTTTCCTTCACTTACATTAAACTCATACATACTTTGTGCCTGGACTTCATTCTTTTCAGTGTACCTGGCTCTATATTTATTCTTTTAGGTGAATCTTAGATTTGTGGTAACAAGTTCTGTCCAAAAGTATCTCAATTCAGATTATACGGAATTCGTGTTTATCTACTGAGTTTTCATTTACGTTTTATATTGAACAGCTTTTTGTCTGGGAATGTACCAGGAGTGAAAGGTTCAGGAATCTCATACTGTAATGGAGAGACAGAAAAAATGAACATGTGAGCAAATAATTTATGTGTAGTTTTCCTAGGCAACTCTTCCTTTTTAGAGGTAGAAACACTGGGGTCTACAGAAGTAAAGTCAAGTGTTTAAGGTCCCATAGCCAGTTATTACAGTAGCCAAGTTTTAGCTAGATCTCTTGTCTCCAGACAATATTTACCACACCTGTCTGCCTTTGTAGGCTGCTTCATTTAATAAACTGTAATTCAACGCTTAAAACATTAATACTATACTAGTTTTTTTGGGCTGTGTCTAAGTAAAACCCATTTAATGAGAGATATAACTTATGGGATATGCCTAGAAAATGTGGCCTGTAGAGAGACATTTCATGTTGAGGAAGCGTAAATAATTCCCAATAACATAGATTAGAACAATGAGTTTAAATATTAAGTGATCATGGAAAATTACTTGATGAAACCATGGCTTGAGATTTCAGCAACAAAGGAGTGAATGAAGTACAATCTGCCATCATGTGTAATCTGGAGGGTGGCAGACTGAGAAACTGAAAAATGTTCACTTATTGGAGAAGAGTACAGTTGACTCATATGATTTTTACATCAAGCATCTCCCATGTACCACTGAGTCAGTATTCTGATGTTCCCGTTGGGACTCAGCAGAAGGTGCTAGCTTTCCTAGGTAGAAACAAAGAGTTGAAGATGGTTGACATTTGATTGAAATGTGGAAGAATGAGTAGGAGTTTGCTGGCTGGACCAGGGGCATAAGTGCACACTAGACAGAAGAAATGATAGCATTTCCTTTTTTTTTTTTTTTTTTTGAGATAGAGGTCTCGCTCTGTTGCCCATGCTGGAGTACAGTGGCGTGATCTTGGCTCACTGCAACCTCTGCCTCCTGGGTTCAAGCAGTTCTCCTGCTTCAGCCCTGCGAGTAGCTGGGATTACATGCGTGTGCCACCACACCCGGCTAATTGTGTGTTTTTAGTAGAGACAGGGTTTTACCATGTTGGCCAGGCTGGTCTTGAACTCCTGACCTCAGGTGATCCTCCTGCCTTGGTCTCCCAAAGTGTTGGAATTATAGGCGTGAGCCACTGCGCCCGGCCAGCATTTTCATTTTTAAAGGTGTGAAGATGTGGAGAGGAAATCCAGCACTTAATTTTGGAGATTTGCCTGACTGTGACAAGTGTTGTCCTGGGGCAGAGAGAAATGAAACTAGAAAGGCAGGCCAGCTTCTTAAAGGTTTGGAGGATCTCTTGACGGAGTTTTAGCTAGAACTGATATGATTTACACTGAAAAGCTCTTGACAGTCCTGTGGTTTAGAGAAGAGTAGAGAAGAGGTTTATTGGTGGTAGTAAGGTGTTGATGCAATTCCAAGTCAGAGAAGTTGATTGCCTAACCGGGTCAGTGCTGTTAAAAGGCGGCATGATGGAAATTCAGGAAGTCAAGTCAGGAGTATCTTAACTTGCCCCAAAGAGATGGAGACCATAGAATTGTGGGCTTAGTGACTGGTTCAGGCAGCCTTTAACATGCCTGTAAAGACTATTAAATGCCGTTAAGTATAGGTGCACTGTTCCATCATTTACTCCACACGTTTCTGTTGAACCCCTATGAGGCACTCCGTTGCTGTGATACGGTATCATCTCTCCTCAGTCCCCACTGTGATATTGTGCAGCCACCCTTTGCATGGATTCCACACCCTACCTCTGCACATCCTGTTTATACCATTCCAGGCTGCCCGCCTTTGGGGACTCCATCCTCATTCCAGTTGATCTGCACCCTAAATGCCCACCTTGCTCAGCCCTACCCACCAGCTTTAGGATACCACCTCTTGCCTTCATGCAGACACCACTGCACTGCGCAGTGTACTTTTGACAGTCCCCTCTTGTCACTGTGCTTACGTGTAGACCTACCTCAAGTTTGGACTTCGTTTGTTTAGAGAAGCAGCTGAACGTTAACAAAGTGGGCGTATTAGAGTTTAAAATATATGTAGAGTTTAGGCCAGATTGTAGGCCCAGTCTGGTTCCTTTTACTGACTTAGGAAAAACAAAGTTTACCCAGGCACGTGTGGTTAAATATAATGCAAAACTGTGGTCCAAGGGTCTTAATGAAATGGATAGATTAATCTGAGGATTTTTTTTTTGTTGCTTGATTATTATTATTTTTTTTAAGGTAGGGCTTGAAAAGAAGGGGAGTGGAACTAGAGGGGAAGCTCGGGTATAGCCTTGTCTGTTGTTTATAGTCTGCTTTTTAAAAATATATAATCAACTAAATTGCTCATGCTGAATGATGTTGATAGTTCCCAGAAGGAGCAAATTTCTCAGATGGGCTGCTGTTGCCTTGGGTGTAGAATTTAGCAAGGTGACTTTTGGCTATTGGATATCCATAGAAACAGATGGTCTTGCTCATTTATGCATTATGCATTTTATAAGTTATATATAGTAAGTGTTTGTGCAGTTATTTAAGTGTTTGCATTTTGGGTTTTTTATTTTATAAAAATGAGGAAAAACTGGTCCAGTGGTAAGAATCATGGATCTCTGTGTTAAAATAGACAAAAATGGAAATCGTTAGCTGTGCCAAAAACAAGCTGGCTGATTTTTTTGAGACAGAGTCTCGCACTGATGCCTGGGCTAGAGTGCAGTGGCGCAATCTCAGCTCACTGCAACCTCTGCCTCCCAGGTTCAAGCTATTCTCCTGCCTCAGCCTCCCTAGTAGCTGGAATTACAGGCACCCGCCACCATGCCCAGCTAATTTTTTGTATTTTTAGTAGACACGGGGTTTCACCATGTTGGCCAGGCTGGTCTCAAACTCCTGACCTTGGGATTTGCCTGCCTCAGCCTCCCAAAGTGCTGGGATTACAGGCGTGAGTCACCGCGCCCGGCCTGATTTTTTTTTTAAGCTAGCTATTAACTATATAAGGAAAAAAATTGCATGTAACATGGTGGAGGTAGATAATTTAAAGTTGTGTCAAAAGACAAGTTTAAGTTAGGGATTTAAAAGTAAGTTTTAGCTTTCTTGGAATAAGAGCCGTACCTATGACATACGCACAATTCATTTCTACTTTAGGATGTTTGACTTACTATATTGTACATGAAAGTTTAGAGTAATATGAATAATGTGTAATATATCATATATAATTCTAAACTTTCATGTAGATACATAGTAAATGTCAGGTGTCTCTATTCAGAGCATCCCAGTAGCTTTTCAATTCATTGTAAGTTAAAGTCAAAAGAACCTGACACACCCTGGGCAGCATGGCAAAACTCCATCTCTACAAAAAAATTAACCAGTCATGATGGTGCACACCTGTAGTCCCAGACTGTTGGGAGGCTGAGATGGGAGGATCACTTGAGCCCAGGAGGTCCAGGCTGCAGTGAGCTGTGATTGCGCCACTGCACTCCAGCCTGGGCAACAGCAGGACCCTGTCTTAAAAAAAGGAAAAAAGAAAATAATAATAACACAAAAAAAGAACTTGATGTCCACATGGCTCACCCCCCAGTTCATTCTGGTTATTGCTTAAGTGTCACTATATCAGAGAAGCCTTCTTTGACCACACAAACCACTCACTGTCTTAACTCACTTTCTTTCATTCTGCTTATCATCACCGGACATCGTATTATCTACTTTATGTCTCTCGTCTCTCTCCACTGTAGTGTAAAACTGAGTGGAGGAACTTGGTATGTGTGTTCAGTTCTCTGTCAGTCCCCTCTTGGCATGTGGTGGGTGTATAATAAATAAGTTATTGAATGAATGAGAAGGTGGTGGGAGTGCAGGATTCCCCTGGATAGAGATTTGCAAATACAGGCTTTTCTGCCATTTGCTCTGTAACTTGGGTTGTCTGGAATCTTATAACATTTCCTTCTTTGTCCCTTACCTTGTGGCTATCATTTGTTTACTCAGTAACTTGCACAACTGCTTGTGTACCAAGCGCTAGCAGGCACTGGCGAAATACACGAACAGTCCGACAAGTCCCTGCCCAAGTGTAGCTTACAGTCTACGGGAAGCTGCACTGGTAAATAAGTTCATTGAGCGCCGTGAAGGAGAAGTGTGCTTAAACAAATACCACATATTCTCACTTACAAGTGGGAGCTAAACATTGGGTGCACATGGCCATAAAGATGGGACCAATAAATAAGACACTGGGGACTACCTAGGATGGGGAGAGGTGGGGACAAGGGCTTAAAAAGAACCTGTGCTGAGTGAGTCATGGGTTCATTTGTACCCCAGACCTCAGCATCACGCAGTGTGTCTTTGTAACAAACCTGCACACGTGCCCCCGATTCTAAAATAAAAAGTTGAGGGAAAAAAACAAAACAAAACAACTTATTCTTTGACTTGGGTGTGAGCAGCAGTAGCGATAGGGTAAGCCTATATTGGCCTAGTTTTCAGCTTTTTAAAAATATATGGCTAGAAGAGGTTGAAACTTGTGATTAAAATGAGTCTTTTGAGTGTGTGAAAAGTATTTTCATCACTTTAATTTTTTTAAGTGCTCTAGAACTAGCTAAAATGGGCAAAACGTACTAGAATAAACATAGCTGAATGAGTTGAATTTACAAACTAGTGGAAGCCTTCTATTAAACAGTAATTTACCTTGTAATCATATTAATGTCTAATCTGTATCTTTATACAGAAAAACGTTTCATTGTGTTCAGTTTTAGTTTATCCTTTCTGTTGACAGTGGACATCCATTATCAGTTCTTGACTATTACAAATATTACTGCTGGGGAAGCATTCTTGGACCTATTTCTTGATGCCCATCTAGAATATATATGCTAAGTTCTGAGAGATCAGTGCCAAATTATTTTCAAAGTGGTCAAACTGGTTTACACTGCTACCAGCAAAATGCAGAATTTATTTGCTCCACATCCTCTCCAATAATTGCTGTTGTTGGACTTATACGTGTTAGACCAGTCTAGTGTGAGTATAACACTGTTTCATATACCAAGGAATTTTGCTGTTTTAGTTAGGTCTGTTAATGGCATTGGTGTTATGAAACAAATATTCCCACATTTTAAAAAGAGGTGTATATTGATATATGTAGGGATGAAATGAAATAATTGGGATTTACTTTAAAATTCTTCAGCACATGTAAAGCACATTTTGGGATCAGTTCACCAAATTGTTCTGTGGATGCAGATTAAAGTATTGTTTCCGTGTTTAATTTACTGTCCTGTGGTTATGTAGGACAGTATACCTACCCTTAGAAAACACTTGCTGAATGTTTAAGAGTACTGGGTCATAATATATGAAAGCTGCTCTCAAGTAGTTCAGGAAAAAGTTAACACACACACACACACACACACACACACACACGCTTATTTTTATTATTAAAAATAGCCTCTAACTTACCCCACCATGTGGACATAACCACTATTAAAGTTTGCTTCCGGATCTTTTCGGTATGCTTATATGCACTCTGATTTTAAGCACAAATGGTTACATCTTCTATGTAGTGGTTTTCAACTTTAATTTTCCTGCAATTAAAAATTAAACCGAGTTTTGATCCTGAATAATATCACATCTTGTAGCATACTTTATTCAACTACATCTCTCCTTCCTTCCTTCCTTCCTTCCTTCCTTCCTTCCTTCCTTCCTTCTTTTTCTTTTTCTTTTTTTTTTTTTTTTTGAGACAGTCTTGCTCTGTCGCACAGGCTGGAGTGCATTGGCACAGTCTCAGCCCATTGCAACCTCCGCCTCCCAGGTTCAAGCAATTCTCGTGCCTCAGCCTCCCGAGTAGCTGGAATTACAGGCATGTACCACCACACCTGGCTAATTTTCATATTTTTAGTAGAGTTGGGGTTTCACCATGTTGGCCAGGCTGGTCTTGAATTCCTGACCTCAAGTGATTGACCTGCCTCAGCCTCTCAAAGTGTTGAGATTACAGGCCTGAGCTTCTGCTCCCAGCCCACATCCCATTCTTGAACATTTAGATGTTCTTCTTTTTTCCTCCTATAAATAACACAAGTACACAGGAATTTATAATGTCCTCTCCCCAGTTGAAAAGAAAGCCCTCCTTAATTCTGCAGATCAGGTTTCTCAATTATGTGCATTCATAGTTCTTTTTCTCGGTCACTTACGACAATTGGAATTCATTTGTATGACTATTTCTCTCTCTCCAGTCAGACATGCGGGTTCCATAAGGGCAGAGATTGTCTATTTTAATCACAGCTATCAAAGCAGCACCAGGCACACAGTAGGCCTGAAAGATTTGTTAAATCAGTGGAGAATAATTTCAACATAAACAATATATTTTATAAAAGATCACTGTGTTGCAACTTACTTTGAAAGCTCTTAAATAACTTGTTTGTATAGCAGTGCTTATGGAAGGCTACTCTATTGGATGAAGAATAGAAAACCCTCCACATTGCAAACAGTGGGACTTAACAGTGGGAGGGCCTGCCCCTCCCAACTCCCTCTCACAGGCAGGAGAGCCTGCCCTCTCATACTCAGTCTCACAATGGGGTTTAGCTTCCTTTTCAGAGCTAAAGAACCCACCCAGCCTTCCTATAACACAGACTCTCTTTCATCTTTAATGGACAGAATCAAGATTATTGCTGCCAGAGATAGAAAGTTGGGGAAAAGTCCTCGAGGGTCCCCTTCTTTGTTTGGAGCAATTTGATGCAGGTAGCTTGTATTTCTGTTTATCTGCTTCCTGTTTCGTCTTTTATCTTTTATCCATCACCTTAAGCATTTATGCTTTTTTTTTTAATCTTAAGAAATGGGGGTTCACTGTGTTGCCCAAGCTGGTCTCAAACTCCTGGGCTCAAGTAATCCTCCCGTCTTGGCTTATCAAAGTGCTGGGATTACAGGCTATAAGTGTGAGCCACTGCATCTGGCCAATCTTTTGTTTTTTGTATGAGGGTAGCTGGAGCACTTTTAATTTTCTAAGGTTAAAAACTTACCTTTGCTTCACTTAAGGAAACCATGTGAGAGATCTTGAAAAATGCACTTTTCATTTTCATCACTGCCCTACCAGCAACTACTGGTGTACTCTGCCAAGATAAGCTTCAGACAAGTCACTTCTCTGGGGATTGGGGTTGGAGACTGACTTATTCTGTAAAGTGGGATTTTAACAAACTCCCACTAAGAAATAGCTTTAAAAAATTTATTTTTTTGAGATGGAGTCTTGCTCTGTTGCCCAGGCTGGAGTGCAGTGGCACAATCTCAGCTCACTGCAACCTCCGCCTCCTGGGTTCACGCCATTCTCCTGCCTCAGCCTCCCCAGTAGCTGGGACTATAGGCACCCGCCACCATGCCCGGCTAATTTTTTTGTTTTTGTTTTTGTTTTTGTATTTTTAGTAGAGATGGGGTTTCACCGTGTTAGCCAGGATGGTCTCAATCTCCTGACCTGGTGATCCACCCGCCTCGTCCTCCCAAAGTGCTAGGATTACAGGCGTGAGCCATTGCGCCCGGCCAAGAAATAGCATTTTTATAAAGAACGTACATTTTGTTACCTACTTGGAAGGACGGATTGATGAAATCCTCAGGCAGAGTCTCTGGCTTGGCTTCCTGTGCTGTTTTCCACCCCAGAGAGGGAGCGTTCAGATGTTTACTGTAGTAATGTCTGTACCCACCAGGTGGCACAATTGCTTTACTTAAATGATTTAAGCTCATTTTGATTCTCAGCGAGGTGTGATAACTCATTTCTTATTTTAATAATAAAAGATGCCACAATATTTGTTACTGTATTTTTAAAGAGAATTTTTGCATGTTCAGTTGAGTGATGAGAGAGAAATTGGTGTCATGTTTCCTCTGTGGTACCTAATCCTACAGCAAGAGTTTCAAAAATATTTTTTTAAAAAAGCTCTAAGAAGGCTATAAGCCTTGTCATCAGCCCACCATATGGTGCCAGCCTATTGCTTTGCATAGAATATCCAAGATCACACAGTGTTCTGAATATCTGCAGTATCTAGGGGGAGGGAAGGGTGAGTTAAGGTTACTGTGGCAATTTTCATCTGCATTTCTCCCTTCTTTTGCACTTGAGACTTACTGAGGGTACTAGGGCATTTCGTTCATTGAATTAAAATGAATATAGAAACAATTGAAGTTTAGCGTCCATCTGTTTCTTACCCCTGCTTTCTGTCACTTCATCAACCACAGTTCTATTAACTTCATTCAAGCTAGATACAGTATGTTGATTAGCCTTGGTTCCCTGTACCAAGGAGGCTGTTCTAATCTGAAGAGCCCTTCTGCCTCTATCTTCTCTCCTCAAGAGATAGAACTGTGTTGGCTGGTCCGAAGTAGTGAGTTATCTCAACTGATTCTTCACAATTGCAGATGGAACTCCTTGTTCTTCTCTCTTCCTGCTTCTCACTACTGGACCCAGCTGGTCTTTTTTAAAAGAAGGAAAGGAGGGAAGGAGGGAGGAATTGTGCATAGAGGTTGTTTGTTTTTGTTTTTGTTTTAGATGGAGTCTTGCTCTGTTGCCCAGGCTAGAGTGCAGTGGTGCGATCTCGGCTCACTGCAACCTCTGCCTCCCTGGTTCAAGCAATTCTCCTGCTTCAGCCTCCTGAGCAGCTGAGATTACAGGCATGAGCCACCATGCCCTGCTATTTTTTTTTTTTTTTTTTTAGTAGAGACGGGGTTTCACCATGTTGGCCAGGCTGGTTTCGAACTCCTGACCTTGTGATCCACCCACCTCAGCCTCCCAGAGTGCTGGGATTATAGGTGTGAGCCACTGCGCCCAGTGCATAGAGGTCTTAAACCTTATACCTTATCTGATATTTACCAGCTGTGTGACCCTAGCCAGACTACTTCTGTGAGCCTCAGTTTCTTTGTGAATGAGAGTGATAATGGAACTATCAGAGAAGATTAAAAAAAAGATTGTAAAGAGCTTAAAACAATGGCTCATAAATAATAAATTCTCAGACGTTAGCTGTTGTTTCTGCTTGTCAGTATAGATGCCGAACCTTTAGGAAGCATTCCTTCATTGATCATTATTATCATCTGATGACTTGGCATTCCCATACTGTCCTACATCTGTGTTGTTATTTCGTGTGTTTGTTCTCTTCTGTTGCCTGTGTGTTGTCTCAAGCTACTGTGGGAAATCGGTTCATTTTTGCTTATTTCGGCTTGCTATTTAATACAGTGCTTTGTTCATGGTAAGTTTAATTCAGTACATGCTTGATTAGGCTTTTGGAATTTTATAAATTTTCTTGAAGAATGAGGATTTCACATTCTGTCTTTAAGTGATATTATGAGGAAGCCCATAACTCATTCACCTATGCTCTCCATAATGGTAAAACGCAGTGGATGGATTCTTGTGCTTCTGACTGACAGATTGGAATGTCGGCCAGGTTGCACAGGCAGGCCTGCTTTGCGCACCCTGTACACTGGGGAAGGGTGATGGGTGCAAATGCCTGGGCCCATAGAAACGTGCTGGCATTTTCTTGAGCAGCGTGGACTTTGCTCATTGTCCTGATTAGCGTTTACTTCATGAGTCCCTGCCCTCAGTGGCTCCTCACTTCCAGATTGGTGAATTTTTAATCGATAAGGGACAGAATTAAGATTGTTGTTGCCAGAGTTGGAAAAGTCCCCACGGATCCCTCTTTTCTTTAAGAGCAGTTTTTTGTAGGTAGCTTGTATTTCTCCTGCTCCTCTTCCTTCCTGTTTCATCTTTTATTCACTGACTTTTAAGCATCTGCTTATCTTTTTTTTTTTTTTTTTTTTTTTATAAGGGTAGCTGGGAACACATTTTATTTTCTTGGGTTGAAAGCTTTTTTTTTTTGCTTCAGTTAAGGAAACCACGTGGGAGGTTTTGAAAAGTGCACTTTTCATTTTCATTGCTGTCCTACCAGCAGCTACTGGTATAACTCTGTAAAGGAACAGGGTAGGTGGTGGGAAGGGAATAGCATCAGGGATTCTGAAAAGTATGGCAGCTATGCATGTCCCTTGATTAAAGAAAACAAAAGCTGAGGATTATGTAGAGCAGGAATACAGTAAGAGACAAGGTCTGTCAACAGCATTGCTTGTGCAGATGGCTATATTCTGAGTAAACTCTAGTCCAGAACATTCTGTGAGGAGAGGAGGAGGAGTACCTACTGTGGTGTCATTTTCCCAGTTAGGTGATAACCTGGCTTTATTGGTGAGAACTAATTCTTGGGAAGGTCAGGGCGTTGCTAAAGATAACATAGTCATACAGTGCTGACTGTGTGCCATGCACTGCTAGACAAACTCATTTTATTTTGAGACAGAGCCAGAATTTGACCCGGGTCTTTCTTACCCTGTACATAACCTGTGCTGCCTTTTATCTTGTGGGACAGGAAACCTCATATGTTGACATTGTACATAATACAGCACCCCAGGCATTCATTCAGCAAATGTCTGTCTGATTTTTGTTGGACATTGGGAACAATGAAAAGAATGAAAAAGTGTATATTTGCTAGTAGGTATTAGATGGTAATTCCTTTTACAGGTTAGAGGGCTCCTGGTACATTAACTTACTTCATCACAACCTTCCGAGCACCTAGTAGACACACCATGTGTCTTCATTTAAGTAGTTACTACAGTAGAGTGCTTTCTTCCTTTACTTTAGATTTGAGTCATCAGGGTGATCTTCCAAGAATTTTTTTTTTTTTTTTGGACAGGGTCTCGCTCTGTTGCCCAGGTTGGAATGCAGTGGCACGATCTTGGCTCACTGCAACCTCTGCCTCCAGGATTCAAGCGATTGTCCTGCCTCAGCCTTCCAAGTAGCTGGGATTACAGACACGCACCACCGTGCCCAGCTGATTTTTGTATTTTTAGTAGAGATGGGGTTTCACCATGTTGGCCGGGCTGGTCTCGAACTCCTGACCTCAAGTGATCCTCTTGCCTCAGCCTCCCAAAGTGCTGGGATTACTGGCATGAGCCACCGCACCCGGCCATCCAAGAAAATCCAAAAGTTACATGACTTTAAAGGTTACCTTAGTAAGAATACCTTATTGTTTACAATATGGCAGATGTCCTATATAACCTCAGCTGCAGCATTCGGGATCTACTGTTACTGTCTTGTTGTTCCTGTCACCAGCTGATTCTTAAGATATAAAGCAAAAGAGGAGTTGAAAATGGAGTAGCATTCAACAAATGCTTGTGTGTGTCTTAAAATTTGTAGCTAAATCTGGTTGCAGACAGTGGGCACAGGCATTACAGGCCTTGTTACTGATGTAGCAGGAGGGACTCTGAGCAGATAACATATGCCCAAGAACCACAGGCAGGACTAGCCCCTGTGCTGGGCCACTCCAGGGACTCCTGCATCACTTTTTCAGCCTGTGCATGTGTTTGCTCAAAGATCGTGCTACTGGTGATCATACATACATTCCTTACTCAGTTAAGGTAGATAATAGTGTGCTCTGAGACTTGAGATTTACAGCAGAAGCTTAAGGTTCATTTGTTGTTCATTCACCAAGTATTTATTAAAGGAAGGAACCCTTCAAGCCAGTTTTAAACAAGCAGACCTTCTCCAGAGTTGACCCTCAATTTACCGCAGATTGTTTTCGCCTTCTGTCCTTACATATTCCTGAGTGCATCTCATGACCTGGTTTTTAATCAGCTGGCCTGCTGTCTGTTTCTAGGTCTGGTATGCTGCCATTTGCATCTCATCTCCTCCAGTATGAACCCCCATATTACCTGTGTCTCTCTGCAGGGTTCTGGCCAGGTATACAGAACCACCTGTTCGAGCAGCCTCATCTGACATTTTTTAGAATCTGAGAGCACTTTTATTTGGCATAATCTAATGTATTGTGAAGGAAAAAGCAAGGGACACACTTTGGAGTAATTCCCTGCCCTGCCTTTTTTTTTTTGAGATGAAGTCTTGCTCTGTCACCAAGGCTGGAGTTCAGTGGCACGATCTTGGCTCACTGCAACCTCAGCCTCCCAAGTAGCTGGAACTACAGGCATGCGCCACCACGCCCAGCTAATTTTTGTATTTTTAGTAGAGATGGGGTTTCACCATGTTGGCCAGGATGATGTTGATCTCTTGACTTCGTGATCCACCTGCTTTAGCCTCCGGAAATGCTGGGATTACAGGCGTGAGCCACCGCGCCTGGCCTCTGCCCTGCTTTTTAAAATCACCAGTTATACTTTTGTGACAAGCTATGGTCATTTCATTTGTCATTTGCTGACCTTCAAGTAAATTGAAATTTTACTGTAATCTGAGTGAAGTAACCAGTTTGTAACTATTTTAAATATTAAATCGGAAATTAGTGGCTTAGTATTAGAATTAATATTGAGCTGCAGTATATAATTAGTTATTGTTTGAATTAGGTTGACTTTTTCTTTTGTCAATGGAATATTTTTCCCCAATTTTTAGAATACATGCTTCTATAAGAGTTGGAATTCTTTTTCAAAATTGATTTCTGTTTCCTAAATTGGTTGACAGTTCTCCCAGAGCTGGGAGCATGCTTTTGGTATAATCGCATGGCAAACTAAGTTGTAGAAGCTCAGACTTTTATTAGGACTCCTCTGTTTACTCTTTGTGTCATAGTGGGAAAGTGGATCACTCTGAGCCTGTTTTCTCTAAGTTTGGCCATTGTACCTAGAGAGTAAGATTTAGGAGCCAAGAGGGAATAGGGGCTAGTCAGGATTTTACTGCCTACTTCATACAGTTCTATGCTCCTTGATTTTTTTTTTTTTTAGCTTGTGTTGTTGTTATTTTTTTAATTCATAAAGGAAAATCATGCATGAACATATGGCAGTGCTATTGACTAGTGCATTATTTTTTCTTGTACACTTGGGAAGAAAGACTAGAATATCCTCAGGGAGGAAATTGATTCATCTTTGGGGGTGGCAGCTTCTCCTAGAGGTTGAGTCAATTCATTTTCCTTGGTATTTTCCATGGTTCTTGAAAGCTAGCCACCTTATATTGGAGTAGTACATATTTGAAAGCAAATACCAAGCACTGGGTCACGTAATCTATCTCTTAAGAATTTTTTAAAACATAAAGAATAGTTTGTTCATTATTCAACCTGAGCTGAAACTAAAAATGACGCCCAATTTCATATTTCTTTTTACTGCTAGACATGTTGTTTAAAGTAGTACTTGTTTGTTGTAGAAAGTTTTAAGTAGAACTAAAGATTTTGTCTTCCTTTTCCCTTTTTCTTTTTTTGAGACAGAGTCTTGCTCTGTCACCAGGCTGGAGTGCAGTGGTGCAATCTTGGTTCACTGCAACCTCTGCCTCCCGGGTTCAAGCGATTCTCCTGCCTCAGCCTCCCAAGTAGCTGGGATTACAGGCATGTGCCACCACACCTGGCTAATTTTTGTATTTTTAGTAGAGATGGGGTTTCGCCATGTTGGTCAGGTTGCTCTCGAACTCCTGACCTCAAAGTGATTCGCCTGCCCTAGCCTCCCAAAATGCTGGGATTACAGGCATGAGCTGCAGCATCCAGCCCTGACTAATTATTTTTAAAAATTATTTGTAGAGACAGGATTTCACTATGTTATCCAGGCTAATCTAGAACTCCTGGCCTCAAGGGATCCTCCCGCCTCAGCTTTCCGAAGTGTTAGGATTACAGGCATGAGCCTTTGTTTTTCTCTTTTAAAGAAGACTCATAATCTCATCACCAGGTGATACTGCTGTTAATATTTGAGAATATTCATTCAGACGTTTCTCTGCAGGATCAATAACTATTATAATGGTTCTGTTTTGTTACTGTGTGTTCTTTATTTTTAGTCTTGTACAGGACAAGTGTATTAGTCCGTTTTTATGCTGTTGGTAAAGACATACCCGAGACTGGGAAGAAAAAGAGGTTTAATGGACTTAGAGTTTCACATGGCTAGGAAGGCCTTACAATCATGGTAGAAAGCGAGGAGGAGCGAGGAGCAAGTCATATTTTACATGGATGGCGGCAGGCAAAGAGAGCTTGTGCAGGGAAACTCCCCTTTTTAAAACCATCAGATCTTGTGAGACTTACTAACAGGAGAATAGCACAGGAAAGCCCATCCTCCATGATTCAGTTACCTCCAGTTGGGTCCCTCCTACAGCACTTGGGAATTGTGGGAGATACAAATCAAAATGAGATTTGGGTGGGGACACAGCCAAACCATATCAGCAGGCCTGAAATATACACGTATATCAATTCTAGCAGACCATAGGGTGTACTCTGTCCCTCAGTTTGTTTAATGGCATCTCTTCTTGTTTTTCAGTGGATGAATACATTGCCATTGCCAAAGAAAAGCATGGGTACAACATGGAACAGGTAATATCATGGTTTTCTTTCTTTTGCTGTTAAAAAATGAGTATTTGTAACTAAATAATTATATTTTTTTCTTCTTTGTATTGAGTAGCAGTGTTTCTTCATTAGCAACTTTTTGGTAATTACTAGTAGTGTTACACAAACTCTGGTCTTCTTTTTCTTGTTCAAGATGAATATTAGAGGACCCTTTGATTTGAAAGGCATATCTGTCATCTGCAGATCTACAGCCTTTAGGACACTGATTACTTAGTGATTACTAAGGAGCTGGATGCTTGAGCATAATGCTTTCTCATTTGAATATGTGATTTGTTTGTCATTCTTCTGGTTGTATCATGATGTTTTTTGACGCATGTTTTCACATTCTTACCTAAAGTGTTTTAATATTCACCATTTTGAATCATTTTCAGTTTGAGATGGAGTCTCGCTCTGGTGACCAGGCTGGAGTGCAGTGGCGCATCTCAGCTCATTGCAACCTCTGCCTCCGGGGTTCAAGTAGTTCTCGTAATTCTCGTGCCTCGGCCTCTCAAGTAGCTGAGATTACAGGTGCACACCACCACGCCTGGCTAATTTTTGTATTTTTAGTAGAGAAGGGGCCTCCCAAAGTGTTGGGATTACAGGCGTGAGCCACTGCGCCTGGCCAAGATTTTCTTTTAAATATTGTTTGGAATGTACTAATAAGAAATCCACAAGATTTATTTTTCTGCAAAAGTGTGGTGATACCTTATTTCAGCTTTAATGATTTATTTTAAACACATCAAGTTGGATTAATGCTTTCCATGGCATTAATCTAGATCTTACAACCTGGAAGTTACTGACATTTCTTATTTTTCTGAATGATGGAAGTTACCAAGAGTTTAGATTATGTGAAATTGTACCCTTTCTTTTGGACTTGGCCTTACATTTAATTACTCTATCCTGGTCATTGAAGCTACTTTTGATTGCAAAATATACCTGTATGAATTCTTAAGGATGGTAGTCTTGATCATTTCTCCTTTAAAAATGATCATTAGCATGAAAATTTCCTATATTATAATTCCAGCATAAAAATTACCATTAGCAAAGTATTGCTGGATCTCATCTTACCTCTTTTGTTGCTTATTCTATTTCTACTTTTTTTCTTTCTAAGCTGAGAAGACCTTTATATATCATATATATAACATATAAATATATATAATTTTTAAAATAAAAGAATAACAGCAATTGTTCTTTCATAAATTACTTTTTTCATTTATATATTGAGGCAGTAAAGTGTGATACTTGAAGAGCACAGATCCTAGAACTATGCTGGTTCTGTGACCAGAGGCAGGGAAAGGCAGTGCCTCAGAGAAGACCTTCAGTTTATACTCAGGCTGATCCTCACAATGGAGGCAAGCCTACAACCAAAAGAAAACAAAACTGTAGTAAAAACATAGCAAACCCTGAGGAAGAGTGTGATTATGAGTTTACTACATTATTAGATTCAGATGTCCAGGTTTTAACAGAAAAATCACAGAGCATACAAAGAAATGGTAAAGTATGCCCATTCAGTAGAAAAAAATTAATCAACAGAAACTGTCCCTGGGAAAAGACCTTAGTGGCAGATCTACTAGGCAAAGATTTTAAAACAACTATCTTAAAGATGTTTTTAAAGAACTAATGGAAGATACAGAAAAAATCAAGAAAATGATGTATGAACAAATGGAAATAACAGTAAGGAAATGGAAAACCTGAAAGGAAACCAAAATGAAATTCTAGACCCTAAACACTTGAAATGAAAAATTCACTAGACGTGCTCAAAGGCAGATTGGAAGAGTCTCAACAAAGAACATGAAGAAAGGACAGTGGAAATGATTTGAGTCTGAGCAGCAGGATGAGAAAAGATTGAAGAGTGAACAGAGCCTAAGGTACCCTAGGGACACAATCGGGTGGACTAACATATGCATGTGGAAGTTGCATAAGGAGTAAGAGAGATAGGGACAGAGAGATTACTTGAAGAAATAATGGCCAAAAATTTCGCAAATTTGTTGAAAGATGTGAATATAAACAAACATCCAAGAAACTCAGTGAACTCCAAGTAGAATAAACTCAAAGAGGCTCACCAGAGCACATAATGAAACTTTGAAAAGACAGAGAATCTTGATAGCAGCAAGAGAGAACTAACCTATTACATATAAGGGATCCTGAATAAGCTTATTAGGGTATTTCTTGTCAAAACCTTTGGAAGCCAGAGGCAATGGTCTGATATATTCAAAGCAGCAAGAGAAGAAAACTGTCAACTAAGAATTCTATATCTGAGAAAATTCTTTCAAAAGTAAAGGGGAGAAATGAAGATATTGTCAGTTAAAAGCTGCCGGAGAGTCTCTCTGAAGAGACCACAGTGGAGCTGAACTTGCCAACTGGTAATCCCATGGTCTATAAATTGGACAAGAACTTGAAGCCCATCAAGCCCATGAATAAAAAAAGTTCCTGGGGATGAAGAGACCATTCATAAAGCCATGGAAGCTGTGGCTGCCCAGGGCAAGGCCAAGAAGTGAAGGCCAGCAGGCTGACTGCTCTCTCAAGGAGCACTCTCCCTGCCCAACCCATTCTTCTTCACCTCCCTGCTGCACATGCCACACCGACCACATCTGCAGGCATCTTACGTTGGAGCTGCAGATGGGAACTCATGGCTCCCATTTTCATTGTAATCAGTTTTGTCTCCTGCACCCACTCCCTTCATATAATCTAGTCAGATAGCACCTCTGGTGCAGGGAGAAAGCTCCTCTTATCCAAGAGAGTTGAGAGGTAGTGACTAGGGCTTTTGCCAGGGCTTGTTTACTAAGGACCTTTGTGGGAGGAACCATGCTGTCATGACCAAAGAGGAGAAGCAAAGAGGGCCTGCTTGACCCCAGGACCCAATCCTGTACTCTTCTCTAGTCATGCCACTGTCAGGAGAGCTCTGCTCATTCCAGTGGAAGATGACAGTAACCTGCACGGTGATGTGAAAAAACAACGATTTCCTCCCTGATCCCAGGGTAGGTGGCTCTAGAAGGTTGAGAGCAATCCTGTATTAAGTTCATGTGTTGGATTTACTTTTACAAAAAATTGTATGTATAAATAATACAAAACAAAAACCCTTCTGAGATTTTTTATTTTATTTTTTTGAGATGGAGTCTCACTCTGTCACCCAGGCTGGAGGGCAATGGTGCGATCTCAGCTCACTACAACCTCCGCCTCTCGGGTTCAAACAATTCTCCTGCCTCAGCCTCCTGAGTAGCTGGGATTACAGGTGCCTGCCACCATGCCCGGCTAATTTTTGTATTTTTAGTAGAGACAGGGTTTCACCATGTTGGTCAGGCTGGTCTCGAACTCCTGACCTCGTGATCCACTCACGTCGGCCTTCCGAAGTGCTGGGATTATAGGCGTGAGCCACCGCGCCCAGCCCCCTTCTAGGATTTTTAGTGGCAGTTCAAATAGTCCCACATGTGGTCATCAGAAATAAGCCATTCCATCCTGGACAACATGGCAAAATCCTGTCTCTACAAAAAATTAAAATCAGCCAGGCATGGTGGTGTGTGCCTGTGGTCCCAGCTACTTGGGAGGATGAGATGGGAAGATTTGTTGAGCCCAGGAGGTTGAAACCAGCCTGGGCAATATGGTGACACCTCATCTCTAAAAAAAAGTTTAAAAATTAGCCAAACATGGTAGTGTGTGCCTGTAGTCTCAATTACTCTGGAGGTTGAGGTGGGAGGATCGCGTGAGCCTAGAAGGCAGAGGTTGCAGTGAGCCAAGATCATGTCATTGCACTCTAGATCACAACTCTATATCAACAACAACAACAACAACAAAAAAAAAGAGGGGGGAAAGAAGCCATTCCTCACACCAATATGGGATAAGCTCCTTGACCTCTAAGGGATAGGATTGCATCCTGCTGTGGGTTTTCGAATCTCTCCCCTACCTTGTTTTGTGGCTGTGAAATGCCTCATGATCATGTCCAAGTATGTCTTTCACTGGCTGATTTCCGAATCACGTTCTAATTGCTTGGCCCTGCCATGTGGACCCAGTATTCATTTTGAGCATAACTGTACTAAATCTTTCTTTCTAGATCAGTGTAATAAAGGTGTAATGTGCAACTTAAAATAAATAAAAGCTTGTGTCTTTTTGTTTGTTTTGTTTTGAGACAAGGTCTTGCTCTGTCATCCATGCTGGAGTGCAGTGGTGTGATCATAGCTCACTGCAGCCTCAAACCCCTGGGCTCAGTCAAGCAGTCCTCCTGCCTCAGCCCCCCAAGTAGCTGCAGTTACAGGCGCGCACCACCATGCCTGGCTAACTTGTTGTTGTTTGTTTGTTTTTCGTAGATTCATGGTCTTGCTAAGTTCCCCAGGCTGGTCTCCATGTTCTGAGCTCAAGTGATCCTCTCACCTCGGCCTCCCAGAGTGCTGGGGTTACAGGTGTGAGCCACAACACCCAGCCTCAGAAAATAGCTATAGAATATATACACAAGGAAATAGAAAGGAATTTAAATCTTTCACTATAAATAATCAACAAAACATAAAAAGGAGGCTGGATGTGGTGGCTCACACCTATAATCCCAGCACTTCAGGCAGATCACTTGAGCTCAGGAGTTGGAGACCAACCTGGGCAACATGGCAAAACCCTGTCTCTACAAAAAAAAAACTAGCTGCGCATGGTGGCACGCACCTGTAGTCCCAGCTGCTCAGGAGGCTGAGGCAGGAGAATTGATTGAGCCTGGAAGGGAGAAGGTTGCAGTGAGCCAAGATCATGACATTGCTCCTCCAGCCTGGGCAAGGAGAGTGAAACCCTGTCTCAAAAAAAAAAAAAAAAAAAAAAAAAAAACCTAAAAAAACAGTAATTCAGGAAATGAAGGACATAAAAAACTTTAAGGAATGTACAAAACAAATAGCCAAATGACAGAAGTCCCTCCTTATCAGTGATTACTTTAAATATAAATGGGTTAAACTTTCCAAAGGACAGAGATTGGCATAATGGGTAAAAATTACAGGATCCCAGTATATACAAGAGATTTACATTAGTTCCAAAAACACAATTTTAAAGTGAAAGGGTGGAAAATGGTATCCCATGCAAGTAGTAACCAAAAGAAAGCAGGAGTGATTATAATAATATCAGTCAAAATAGACTTTAAATTTAAACAGGTTGTAAGAGACAAGGACATTCACTGTTGGTGGGAATGTAAAATGGTACACCTGGTGGGGAAAACAGGATGGCAGCTCCTTAAAAAATTAAAAATAGAATTACCGTATTATCCACTAATTCTACTTCTGGCCAAAGTGGGTAGATCACTTGAGCCCAGGAGTTTAAGACCAGCCTGGGCAACATGGCAAAACCCTGTCTCTACAGAAAGTACAAGAAATTAGCCGGGTGTGGTGGCATGTGCCTGTATCCCAGCTACTTGGGAGACTGAGGTGATCAAGGAGGATTGCTTGAGCCTGGGAGGTGGAGGTTGCAGTGAGTGCCACTGCACTCCAGCCTGGGTGACAGATCCAGACCCTGTCTCAAATAATAATAATAATAATAATAATAAATTTTTTAAAATTTATTTTAGAAGAATTATTTATAGTTTCTCTGTGACCACTTCCCTGATGATACATATGTTGCCATACTTAACAAATACCACCTTCCCTTGTTGCTGTACCTAACAAGTTATCACCATCCTGAATTGTATACTTATCATTTCCAAGAAAAATATTTTTATTGTATGTGTAATTTCCAATTAAAACATATTGCATATTGTTTGAAAATTAAATAATTTATTTAAATTGCTTCACTCTTTCTTGATACTTATACCTATATTAAAAGACATTATACCTATAATAAAAATTACATCACCTGAAAAAAAAGTATGTGTATATTACCACAGTTACAAAGAATAGAAAAAGGGGCCTCTGACAGTGTCTGCCACTTAGCGCTGTAGATGAGTTAGTTTGTCTAAATATGAAGTCGTTTTTACTTTTCTTTTGCTGGTCTCATTTCCATTTTCATTGTTTTTTGTTTGATCTAAAATTTTACTGATATCATTTTTGTAGGCTCTTGGGATGCTCTTCTGGCATAAACATAATATCGAAAAGTCATTGGCTGATTTGCCCAACTTTACCCCTTTCCCAGATGAGTGGACTGTGGAAGATAAAGTCTTATTTGAGCAAGCCTTTAGTTTTCATGGGAAAACTTTTCATAGAATCCAACAAATGGTAAGTAGATGAGACCACTGAGTTCTATTTTTTTTCTCCTATCTAACTCTCTTTTGCAGCATACTTGAGATAGGGATATCATACTCAAACATAAATATTCCCATTTTTGATAAAGTTCCCCTTTAGATTCAGCTTAGTACATGCTGCTCTGTGGATGGGAGTTTTCCAGTTACAGGAGTAAAGCACTTCTAGCACTTCCCATCCTGTCGTCTGTGACTGGACCCTCCCCACCCACCCCAGTCCCTCTTGTTGGGACTCCCAAAAGATTAGACCCATACGAAGGACTTTTTTTTTTTAGACGGAGTCTCGCTCTATCACCAGGCTGGAGTGCAGTGGCATGATCTTGGCTCACTGCAACCTCCGCCTCCCGGGTTCAAGCGATTCTCCTGCCTCAGCCTCCTGAGTAGCTTGGGACTACAGGTGCGTGCCACCACGGCCGGCTAATTTTTTGTATCTTTTTTTTTTTTTTTTGAGATGGAGTCTCACTGTGTCGCCCAGGCTGGAGTGCAGTGGCGCGATCTCGGCTCACTGAAAGCTCCGCCTCCCGGGTTCACGCCATTCTCCTGTCTCAGCCTCCCGAGTAGCTGGGACTATAGGCGCCCGCTACCACGCCCGGCTAATTTTTTGTATTTTTAGTAAAGACAGGATTTCACCATGTTGGCCAGGATGGTCTCGATCTCTTGACCTCGTGATCCACCCGCCTCGGCCTCCCAAAGTGCTGGGATTACAGGCGTGAGTCACCACATCCGGCCTAATTTTTTGTATCTTTAGTAGAGACGGGGTTTCACCATATTAGCCAGGATGGTCTCCATCTCCTGACCTCGTGATCCGCCTGCCTTAGCCACCCAAAGTGCTGGGATTACAGGCGTGAGCCGCTGCGCCCGGCCTTAAACATTTGATTTTTAAAGATTACTTTTTTATTTAAATAAACCAACTCATTTTTTATGTTTAGCTTCCAGATAAATCTATAGCAAGTCTGGTGAAATTTTACTATTCTTGGAAGAAGACGAGGACTAAAACTAGTGTGATGGATCGCCATGCCCGGAAACAAAAACGGGAGCGGGAGGAGAGGTGAGCACATGGCTGGGGTGTTGTCTAACCACTTAGGGGACTATCTAAGAGCCCCAGATACACAAAGGCAAGGCAGAATGACTGGTTTTCCCTCCGCGCCTTCCTGGTGGAACCACATGTTCATGAGATGTATTAGAGCGTGTCACATTATTCAGGTATTTTTTCTCACCACTCTTTCCCTGCAGTCAGTGAACTTCCATTTTGAGTCAGTTAACTTTGACCCATTTTTTTTCCTTCCCATTTAGAAGGGGTGGCTCCTTTTAATAAAAAAGAATCTTTTATTTTGTAGTTTGAGGTTTAACGTGGTATATTTTTACAAGATTCATTTGGTGTGTTTTTATGTTTGCCATGTGGAAACAAAAATACAACTTAGAGTTGCTGCTTCTTTTTTTGACCATCTGTTTTTTGTGTGTGAATGAGAAAGAGAAACATTTTATAATCTCTTAGTAAGGATATTAGTTTTAAGGATAGCTCAGTATGGAGAATACTTCTTAACCATCACTTCCTCAGTCTTATATGTAGCATAGAGAAGTAGAAATGGCCAGGTACTCACACTCAGAAATGGGCTCTGGTCTCAGCTCTGAAGATTCCACTTACATGCCACAGGCTACACTGGGATGTTTAAGGTCTTTAATTTATTTTTTAAAATGTGTAAAATTGTACATACTCACAGGCAGGTGACTTCAACATGCGTCTTCCCCAAGCTTCTGTTTTCCTTAACTCTAAAATGAAGATGTTTGAAGTCCAGAAGGCAGCATGCAGACCTAGTGGTTTCCTTGTTAGGGTGGTGAGATATATAGGTGGGTTTTAAAAAATCCTATTTTCCACATTTCCTGTAATATTTTTATCAATTAATAATAAAAAAATAAAATGAAGGAGGATGAAATATATGGTCCCCGGTGTCCCATCTCAGGATGGAATTTTATCATTTCAAATGAAAGAGTAACATGTGAGAACACATTGAAAGTTGAGTATCACTTTTGGAGAATTCAAACCTCTTGGCCCAAGTATAAATTGAGAGTGATGTTAAGAACATCTCCAAAGCTCTTTTAATTGTAAGAGCCTATAAAATTATCGACCATGATACATCTGCATATTTTTGCCTCTGACTTATATACTAGTAGGTTTATTTATGGATGAGTACTCTTATTAACTTTTAATGAAGCTTTTTCATTTCCCTAGTTTACTGTCTATATAGTAAGTCTGTTACTATAAGCAGATGCAGTTTACTAAGCAGCAATCAAAATTAAATAATACAGAGTGGGATTGGATATCCTTGAGTGTGAAATAAGAATACCTGCCAACACTTCCATTCTTACTCCCTGGAGGCTTTTTTTTTGCATTAGTCCCGATGGGGCCAGGAAGTGCTTTGCCTCCACCTCCCATGTGCACCTCAACCACTTTTGGGATGCGGGGATGGAGGTGCTGCAGCAGCACCTGATAAATTGTTGGCTTTCTAACAGGACTTGCCTGTGAAAGTCATGGCAGGGACTGGGACAAAATTCCCTTAGCCGAAGGCTCTTTCTTGTTGTGGACACTCTTTCCTCAGCTAGAGCTTCCTGCTACCTTGGTGGAGGATGGGGAGGAGGTGGCGCGTAGTGGGCATGGTCCCGTGGGATGGATTCCAGAGGCAGTGCGAGGTGGGCAAACTGGGGCAGGCTACTTGACTTCTGTAGACTTAGTTTTCTTTTTTTACAGTTGCATTCCTACCTACATCGGGGCTTTTCTTGTTTCTTTGTTTTAAATTAAATGAAATACTACATTCAGGATATTACAAAAAGCATTTAAAGTGCTATACCAATGTAAGTTTTCTTTTTAAAATTAAACATAATTTTAAAACATCAGTTGTCCAGGACACCAGAAAAGCCTCAGACTTTGTGTGGCCTTGGGTAGAAAGACGGTACTTGGAAAAGGATTTTTTTACTGTTAGCAGGTTTATTCCCAATGCAGTGGAAATTTATTCTCCCATAATTTCTCAGTTTTGTTTAGTAATCATATCCTAGTCCTCAATAGATAATTATGAGAAAATAACATGTAAATGCATTTTCATTTTGATATTTTCAGTTTACAGATATAGAGCAATAGTGTTTTAGATCTGGATTGGGAAGTTAGGAATCTATTTTAGTAGTTTCTCATCACTTAGACTGAAAGAACTATGGAGTTGGTATTCTGTTTGAATTACAAAGATGTTTTTATCTCAGCAGCCTGAAAACATACTAATTTTATATTAAATCAGTTTATTATTTATATTTGGTAAAATTAGTACAAAATTTTCAGTTAAATCAATTTATCGTTTGTATTCGGAAAATTAGTACAAAATAATCATTCAGTAACTTGTTCTTGTCTTCCAGCGAGGATGAACTGGAAGAGGCAAATGGAAACAATCCCATTGACATTGAGGTTGATCAAAACAAGGAAAGCAAAAAGGAGGTATTTTTTCCCCCTAGTATTGTTTAGGCGAATAAATTTTATTACTAGTTTCATAAATAAAACATTCATGTTGCTTGTTCTACTTAATATATTAAGTGCTATGTGGAAAGCAGCATGATATGACTATTTTTCAACAATACTGTCTTTGCTTTATAGATTGTATAATTTTGTTTGCTAATAGATATGAATAAAGGAAGGCTTAAAGGATAGAAAATAGCACTAATGAGTAATGATGTTCCCTAGAACAGCAGTCCTCACTGACTTTCTTCGTAAGCCATTAGCTCAGTAGGTTAACAAGTGGTCTAGTGAATTCCAGGCAGCCTTAGGGTCTCCATTCACGCTATAGATGCCCCAGCGTCTGCCCATCCTAGGCACCCATGCCGTGCCTGGGGTGACTGCAGGGAGCTGGCAGGGACTCGGCACAGCCCTCCTGTTACTCAGAAGCAGCAATTTGGTCACACCAGGGGGAGCCAGGACCATCCTCTCTCACATGGTGACTGTTTCATCTTATCATTTTAAAAAATCATTATACAAGAGATTGTAGTTTCTGGATTCAGGGGGCTCGTGAACCTCTACAATTGCATGTAACTTTTACATAGGTTCATAGAGGTATTTTTCCAAAGACACAGTCTATAGTTTCAAAAAAATTTCTCAGAGAGTTCTCTCTCTCTGCTCCAAATTATAAGAATAGTTATTATTTTAAGCCTATAAAAACAGAAGGGTCTAAATTTATCTAAACTTTAAAATGACATCAGTAATATATGTTTCTTATAGACAAGGTAGGAAATACAGCTAACTGAAAGAAGAAAATTAAAGTGATTTATAATATTATCCATAATCACTGTCAACCTTTTGGTGACTTTTTCCTGAGAACTCTTTCTGTAAAATGTATATGCCTGTATATTCATAATTCTGAATCTAGTCACTTTTTAAAAATAATATAATGGAAGCTTTGTAATTTTTAGAACCTTTTAAATTTACTCTACCTTGATTTTTTTTTTCTCTTTTTTCTTTTTTGAGACAGGGTCTCCTGTGTCACCCAGGTTGGAATGCAGTGGCACCATGACTCACTGCAGCCGCCAACTCCTGGGCTCAAGCAGTCCTTCCACTATGGCCTTGCAAAGTGCTGGGATAACAGGCATGAGCCACCTCCAGCCCTTGATTTTATTTTTTTTTATTTTGTTTTTGAGACAGTCTCTCACTCTGTTGCCCAGGCTGGAGTGCAGTAGTATGACCTTGGCTCACTGCAACCTCTGCCTCCCAGATTCAAGTGATTCTCCTGCCTCAGCCTACCGAGTAGCTGGGATTATAGGCACATGCCACCACGCCCTGCTAGGTTTTTTTTTTTGTATTTTTAGTAGAGATGGGGTTTCATCATGTTGGCCAGGCTGGACCTTGAATTTTTTTTTATGTCAAATATATTTGTATACGTAGCTATATATTATTCTGTCACATGAATGTTTCATAATTGAGTTACCTTATCCTATGTGGATTTCCCAGTTGTTTATTCCTCCTGTTTTTTGCTTTTATAAACAATGCTGGATTGATTCTCACATAACTCACTATCTGTGCTCATAGATTTTTTTCATTAGAACCGATTCCTGGAAGTTGTATTGTTGAGTCAACGTGTTCTAGATACATTGTTAAGGCTTTTTTTTTTTTTTTTGGTTGTATATCACCAAATTGGAAATTGGTCGTTTTTTTCTGCATAATTTATATGAATGCCCAAATAAGATCCTGAGGGTTAGCTAAATTAGATTGTTTGGGAAATCAAATTGTAGTTGTAGTTTTTATTAAGCTTTGTGTTGATGTATTGCTATTTACTAGGTTTTTCAGTGGCACATTTTAAATGAGAGAAAACACTTGATTTCATACATTTTTATAATTCTTATTTATATAATTTCTGATTCAGAAAGAAAATGGCTAAATCATTGTTTTTTTTTTTTTTTTTTTTTTTTGGAGATGGAGTCTTGCTCTGTTGCCCAGGCTGGAGTGCAGTGGTCCGATCTCAGCTCACTGCAGCCTCTGCCTCCCAGGTTCAAGCAGTTCTCTGCTTCAGCCTCCCAAGTAGCTGGGATTACAGGGGCCCGCAACCATGCCTGGCTAATTTTTGTATTTTTACTAGAGACGGAGTTTCACCATCTTGGCCAGGCTGGTTTTGAACTCCTGACCTCAAGTGATCCACCCACCTCGGCCTCCTAAAGTGCTGAGATTACAGCCGTGAGCCACCACACCTGGCCCGTAGTTTCTTTTTTTTTTTTTTGAGACGGAGCCTCACTGTGTCGCCCAGGCTGGAGTGCAGTGGTGCAATCTCGGCTCACTGCAAGCTGCGCCTCCCAGGTTCATGCCATTCTCCTGCCTCAGCCTCCCGCCATTCTCCTGCTTCAGCCTCCCAAGTAGCTGGGGCTACAGGCGCCCGCCACCGCACCTGGCTAATTTTTTGTAGTTTTAGTAGAGATGGGGTTTCACTGTGTTAGCCAGGGTGGTCTCAATCTCCTGACTTCGTGATCCGCCCGCCTCAGCCTCCCAAAGTGCTGGGATTACAGGCATGAGCCACCATGCCCAGCCACCTGGCCCGTAGTTTTTTTAAGTATTAAAATGATACTAGAACAGACGTAGTCAGTTGGTGATCTTTATTAAACATCGTAGTCCCATACACAGCAGTTTATTGCCTACTAATATTTTTGTATTACCCACTTGTTGAAGAAATTATCACTACCATTATAGTTTTGCAGTGTCTTTAGCTCAGTCTTTTAAAATATGAAGCAGAAAGTCATATTTTCAGCTTTATCAGTGAATGCTAATGCACTAACAAGATGGAATTATGAGCAATTATAAAAACTTCTTGTTCTTAAAATGGTTACCAGTAAGTTATATTCTTTAACTTGACAAGATTTTACTGTGTTTCATTTCTGAAAGTTTTGGTTTTACAGAAATTAATAGCCGTCATGCATTTTAAAATGATAAGGTATATTATTTTAGAGTAAGTTATATAAGTTGCCGTAAAAATTGTGTTATCCAAAAATGTGTATAAAAAGCTGTAATTTCATGTAGCTAAATACAGATGTGTGTGTGGCCACAAAACTCATTAGCAGAGAATACAGATTTTTTTCTTTCTATATTACTAGAGGAAGCTGAGAATTCTTATTTTCATTGGCTTGAAACGATAGAGTAAGGAAGTATTTGTACAAGAAGGAGTGGAACACAGTTTCATTGTGTTTAGTCAAAACTCAGTAGCCCAAATTCTGTCTGTGAACTGCCTGTTAGAATTTATAGATCTCATTTGGTTCTGATAGGGCATGGTATTTGTCTTAGATTGTTTTGGTGCCATGTTAAGGAAATAAATATGTTTATTACTGATCATTTGACTTTTTTTAAGTTTCATTCATCACCTGTGTATATCATGCAGGTTCCCCCTACTGAGACAGTTCCTCAGGTCAAAAAAGAAAAACATAGCACACAAGCTAAAAATAGAGCAAAAAGGAAACCTCCAAAAGGAATGTTTCTTTCTCAAGAAGATGTGGAGGCTGTTTCTGCCAATGCCACTGCTGCTACCACGGTGCTGAGACAACTAGACATGGAATTGGTTTCAGTCAAACGACAGGTACTCATAAGCCTGGTCTTGGATGTAAAAGAATTAATTAGCACTTTAGAGGTGTTTCTGTTATTCATATATGTGAATGTTCTCTTTCCGCAAATCTCAAAGGAGCATTTTGTTTCGAAGGAATTGGACAGATCTTAAGTACCAGCCCATTGTTTTTCTTTTTAATGAACATATAAATTGAAGTGTATGGATATAGTGTGATCTGAAAGTATTTCTGAAGTATATAGCAAAGCATATGAATATCATATTTATATTATATATGTGTCTGTGTCTCCATGATTTCTCACAATATGAACATACCCTAGTAACCTGCATCTGGATCAAAAAATGGAATGTTGCCCCCAGGCCCATGCATTTTCCCTCCTGGTCACTATTCCATGGAATGTTGCATTCCCTCAGCAACTCCACCCCTCTTTTATTACCTGACTCCTCCTTGTAGGTGGCCACTATTCTGATTTTTTTTTTTTTTGAGACGGTGTCTCGCTCTGTCGCCCAGGCTGGAGTGCAGTGGCGCGATCCCGGCTCACTGCAAGCTCTGCCTCCCCAGTTCATGCCATTTTCCTGCCTCAGCCTCCCGAGTAGCTGGGACTACAGGCACCCACCACCACGCCCAGCTAATTGTTTTTTGTATGTTTAGTAGAGACGGGGTTTTACCATGTTAGCCAGGATGGTCTCGATCTCCTGATCTCATGATCCACCCGCCTCGGCCTCCCAAAGTGCTGGAATTACAGGCGTGAGCCACCGCGCCCGGCCCTGATTTTTTTTAATTTTATTTTGTTTTTGAGACAGTGTCTTGTCCTGTTGCCCAGGCTGGAGTGCAGCGGTGCGATCTTGGCTCACTGTAACCTTTGCTTCCGGGGCTCAAATGATCCTCCCATCTCAGCCTCCCAAGTAGTTGGGAGTACAGGCGCTTGTCATCACACCTGGCTAATTTTTTGTGTTTTTGGTAGAGACGGGGTTTTGCCATATTCCCCAGGCTGGTCTTGAACTCCTGAGCTCAAGTGATCTGCCCGCCTCAGCCTCCCAAAGTGTACTGAGATTACAGGTGTGAGCTACCACACTCGGCCCTGTTCTGATTTTTAAAACCATAAGTTGTTTTTGTCCATTTTTGAATTTTATATAAATGAAAGTCATGTGGTACTGTTTATTTTATGTCTGGCTTTCTTTCAACCTGAGAGCTAAACAGTTTTTCAAAGTGGTCCTGTCATTTTATGTGCGTTTTGTTTGCACATCAGCGTTTCCCAGCTGTAGCACTATCCTCATGATGGGCCGTTCTGTGCACTGTAAGATGTTGAGCAGCATCCCTGGTCTTGACCCAGTAGATGCTAGTAGCACCCTCCCCTACCAGTTGTGACAACAGAAATATCCCTAGGCATCACCAGATTACCTCACAGGGGCAAAATTGTCCCCATTTGAGAACCACTGCTCTACATCATTGCCATATTTTGGTAGTCTTAAATTTTAGCCCTTCTGATGGGTTATAATGATGCCTCATTGTACTTTTTATTTGGCAGTTCCCTGATGACTAATGAGGTTGCTCACCTTTTCATCCATTTGTTGGTCATTTGGATATCCTCTTTTGTGACATGTCTACTCAAGTCTCATCTGTTTTTTTTCTGTCAGGTTGCGTATTTTCTTATTGGTTTATAGGTGTTCTTTAGGCTCTGAGTTGTTTTCTACAACTTGTATTTTAAATGCTGTAAATATGTTTTGCATTCTGTGACTCTCAATGGTATCTTTTGATGAACAGTAATTCTTCATTTTAAGGTAGTTTAGTTTCTTAGTCTTCTGAGGTTAGTGTTTTTGAGTTCTGTTCACCTTTCTCAAGGTCATGACGATATTCTCTCATGTTAGTCTTAGAAGTGTTGTTTTACCTTTTACATTTTGATCTAGAAATGTTTTTCTGTATTTGTTGTTACATGTCGGATTAATAGTCACTGTTTTGTTTTCATATGAGTATCAATTTGGTCAAGTATTTATTGAAGAAACTGTCCTTTATCCTTTGCAACGCAGCAGGACCTTTGTTTTACATCCAGTGTCTGTATGCATATGGGTCTGGTTTGAGGTTCTCTGTTCCTTTAATCTCTTTGTCCATCCTTCACCAATACATACTGTCCTAACTTTATGTACTTTATTAATTTAGTTATCTGGTGTAATATAAGTTCTCCAAGATTGTCTTGGTTATCCCTGGCCTTTTACTTTCCATATAAAATTTAGAATTACTTTATCAATTTTCAGAAAAATAATTCTATTAGAGTTTTGATTGGGATTGTATTGCATCTATAGATAAAAATGGAGAATTAACATCTTTATTGAGTTTTCTGATCAGTGAACCTGATATACCCCTCTACTTCTATAGGTTTGTAATTTCTCTCAATGTTGTATTGTTTTCTGTGTAAGAACTTAACGCATCTTTTGTTAGTCATTCCATGATATTTGGTACTTTTTTGGTGCTCTTGTAAAGGATATTGTTTTTTAAATTACTTTTTATAATTATTTTTGCCTGCTATGTAGCTTATTATTTTAATCTGATTGCATAGTACATTTAAACTGAAAATTCAACCTAGTAGTTGGGTCCTGTCCTTTCATTCTCTCTCTGGAATTCAGTTTCCAGAAATCCATCAGCAAGTTGTTGACTGACTATTTTTGGTTTTTGCTGCTTTTGATTTATCTTGATGGTTCCCTTGGAAGGTCAAACAGTAGACCAACTGTCATCTCATAGACGCGAAGAGCAGGGCGTGCTGCTGTCTTTCTTGTGGTTTAGGGAGGCAGCCCAGACCAGGACCCAAGCACACTCTGTGTGCTCAGAGGAGCGGCTTCTTCTTGTGGCTGCTGGCACAGCTGCACTCTAATCTTAGGAGAATCACTTAATCTTTCTAGGCCTCTTTTCAAATGAGATTAATCCTGGCCTGCCTGATCTCACAGAATATGTCTGGGCTACTGTGTGAGAGAGCATTTGAAGTTCTGTTTGCACTGGAAGAACTGTCTCGGGCTGTGAGCTCTTGTTGACATTGTCATCTTCCTTTACAAGGATGCTCCTTTCTCCCTCTGCTGAGTGAGCTCCTGGTGGTTGCTGTTTAATATATTGAGAAAAGAAAAAGAGGCCTTCCTCTTGCACCGAGGTGTTATTGACTCCATAGGGTGAGAGAGAAAAGATTCTTTAGTTTTCAGAGCAGGGTCAAGAGCAAGAATTTTTAAAATTTGAAGGTCGCTCACAATTATGAAGAGGGAGGACTCAGCCTCACTCAGAGAGGAGGTGGGTGATTTCCTTTCCACAGCCTTTTAGCGCCACAGTGCAGCAGTGTGTTCATTGCCAAATGTGCTTCTAGACTCAAAATGGGCAGTCAGTCCACTTGGGCCACTTGTTCTGGAGGCCGCCATGTTTGGTATATCAAGGATATATTCTGAAAATAACAGCAAACTCGACTAACAACAGCTTAAACAATTTAGGGTTTATTTTTCTCAAATGGCAAGAAGTGCCAACATCAGTGGCTACTGGTGTTAGTTCATGTGTTCAGTCATGCTCTCAGGGACCCAGGTACTTTTCAGGTCTTCTACTGTGCCATTCTCAGCTGTTGGCTTTTCATCTTGCTTGTTGCCTCATGTTGGAAGCTACTGGAGCCATTTTGCAACCCTCACATCTGCATTCAGGGCAGTATGAAGAGGAGGTGGGGGTGGAGGTAACCTGTCTGTCCCTTTTAGCAGGACAAGCAAAAGCCTTACCGGAAGCTCCTTAGCTGAATTCTGTGTGCCCGTGCGTTGCGTACTGCTCTTCCTCCTTCCCAAGACATCATCAACCTCTACCAGCGAGAAGGGGGCTGGGCATGTCTCTTAAATTAGCCAGTGAACAGTGCTGGTTGCATCAGGTCTTTCTCTGAGTGGAGAATAAAGTGATCTGATGTTAAAAGAGGAATCACTGTGCCCACAGTAAAGTAGAAAACAGAAAGTTCTGTATGACTGAGGGTTGGGTGGGAGGGTGGTGTCTAGGTAGGGCGTCAGGACAAGTGGATGGCTTTTCTTTTTCATCTTGTTTTTTCTTTAAGTGTGATTACCTTTGCATCCTATTTCTTACCTATTTCATTGCCACTCACTTTCCAGTTAGCATGATGGTGGCAGTAATCTCTGTTTTTTTCCTGCTTAATAAACACTAGATGTTTGGCGGGGGGAAGGGGGCGTATTTTGTTTTTTGGAGACAGGATCTTGCTCTGTTGTCCATCCTGGGACTGTAGTGATACAGTCATGGATCACAGTAGCCTCAAAGGCCTGGGCTCAAGCAGTTGCCCACCTCAGCCCCCTAAGTAGGTAGGACTGCAGGTGAGCACCACCACACCTGGCTAATTTTAAAATTTTTTTGGTAGAGACAGGGTCTTGCTGTGTCACCCAGGCTGTTCTTGAACTCCTGGGCTCAAATGATCCTTCCTGCCTTGGCCTCCCAAAGGGCTGTGATTACAGGTGTGAGCCACTGCACTAGCATAATTTTTTTTTGGCAGGGTCTGGCACTGTCACCCAGGCTGAAGTGCAGTGGTGCGATCTCGGCTCACTGCAACCCCTGCCTCCCAGACTCAAGCTATCCTCCCACCTCAGCCTCGCAAGTAGTTGGGACTACACAGCCTAGATATTTCTTCTTCTTCTTCTTCTTTTTTTAAAATTATACTTTAAGTTCTAGGGTACATGTGCACAACGTGCAGGTTTATTACATATGTATGCATGTGCCATGTTGGTGTGCTGCACCCACTTCGTCATTTACATTAGGTATATCTCCTAATGCTATCCCTCCCCACTCCCCCAACCCCACGACAGGCCCCGGTGTGTGATGTTTCCCCATCCTGTGTCCAAGTGTTCTCATTGTTCAATTCCCACCTATGAGTGAGAACATGCGGTGTTTGGTTTTCTGTCCTTGCGATAGTTTGCTCAGAATGATGGTTTCCAGCTTCATCCATGTCCTTACAAAGGACATAAACTCATCCTTTTTTATGGCTGCATAGTATTCCATGGTATATATGCAGCCTAGATATTTCTGATACGGAAAATGCATCAGGAAGAGGGGTATAGGCTACTGAGCATTTAGAGCTAGCTTTTAGTTCAGAATTTTAGATGTTTTGCATTTACTCTCTCTGCTTCTTTTATAACGTTACTTAATCACAGTGCAATATATACCCAGTTTTGTACTATCTATGAACAACCAGCTAGAGTGACAAGAGTGGTCTGTTTCACTGGAATGCGAAGAGGACATGTAATATTCTAAACCTTGACTTTTTCCTGCCAAAAGTTGCTATGTTGCATTTTTAGCCAAAAAGGAATCCAGTGAACATAATCTGAGTACTTTGCAATTTTCCTGGGTTTTCGGTAACTGAAAGACCACTGAGCAAGATCCTAAGAGATTGTAATGTCTAGCATGGCAGCCAGCAGCCCCATGTGTGGTTGTTTAAATTTAGATTAATTACAAGTGAAAAAAATTTAAAAATTTTCGGGTAGCATCTTCTACTCATGAATGTCTTTTACATTTTACTTGAGAAAATCAAGCTCCTCTTCCGTTGGCTTTCTTAGTTGCTTGTGTGATTATTCAAAGATGAAAAATGCTGGAGTTCAGAGTTCCCTGGTGCTTGACACGGATATGCCCTCTACTTGGAGTAGAGAGAAAATAGCATACTTCCGTGACCTGTCTCATTCAAGGGTCCATGGGAAAATTAAGGAGCAGCCATAGCCTGGGAGGTTGGTATTGTTTGTGGTCTTTCTTTCGACTGGGTAAGGACAGTGAAAGATTACCTTGAGCCAAGGCAGTAATGTGGAAAAAGATAATTTGTAGGAAAGTGAAGACGTGACAGTTAATCAAAGTTAGACTTCTGGAAATCTCACTGACATTGTGTTTTCCTCGCCCCCCCATCATTAAAGAAATCTATGCTTGTGCACTTCTGCCCTGTGTAGAAGCGGTGGACAGCACAGTGATCTTGGGGCGCTGTGAGGCTGCACCCGCAGTTCTGTTGTAAAGACTGGGCCTTTTTGGTCCTTACTGTGGCTGCTCTGTTACTTCAGTTCAATCCTATGTGGTAGTAAGCCCAGGGATTTCTTCTGTCTTTTATGTAAGACTCCAGGTAGGTGTTTTGCTGCTCAGGTATCACCTGTTAGGAAGCTGTGGATCCAGGACTGTGTACGTGAGAGCCCTCCGTCCCCTCCTCCTTGGGTTGTACCTTATCTGTTGCTCTGAACAAGCAAATAATAAACCTAGTTAGATGCTTCAAAGGATACCATAGGGATCTCAGAATTCAGCTACAACAGATGTTAGTAACGTCTTTACTCTTGGGTTTTTGTTTCTTTAGGTTTTTAAGTTCTGTTTTCATACCTTTATATAGTTTTTATTTTTAAAATGAAAATTATTTTTTCCTTCCTAGATCCAGAATATTAAACAGACAAACAGTGCTCTCAAAGAAAAACTTGATGGTGGAATAGAACCATATCGACTTCCAGAGGTAGGATTATGTTAACATCATCTTAGAAGTCATATTCAAGTTTTACATGTTTAAGAATTTAATATCGGTGTGATACATCCCCAGTATACATCTCTTGGAAGAGTATATGGACATAATTTTATGAACCCAGTTGATGTTAAAATTCCGATAAGAGAAAATGAAAGGTTCGTTAAGCTCATAAGGACATACTCATCTCTAAATGTAATGTGCTAAAATGACTCATTTGGATATCCAGGTCATTCAGAAATGTAATGCACGTTGGACTACAGAAGAGCAGCTTCTCGCCGTACAAGGTAGGGGGAAGTTCTTCTAAAGAGTTTAGGAGGCCGGCTGTGGTGGCTCACACCTGTAATCCCAACATTTTGGAAGGTTGACGCATTTGCTTGAGCCCAGGAGCTCAAGGCTGCATTGATCCATGATCACACCACTGCATTCCAGCCTGGACAACAGAGGGAGACCCTGACTTTAAAAAAAAAAAATTTTTTTTTTAATGGAAAAAAAAGAGCTTAGGAGCATTGGTAGATTTTAGGGAAAAGTTACGTCCTGCCCTACTCCCAGCACCTAGATTCTTGGACAATTATGTCCTAGTGGATATCATTTTAGCCAAATTACTGTATTCCTTTGGGCTTTTTTCTTTTCCTTTCCCACTTCTCACAAGTTGTAAAAACTTAACCGGGAACCCTGAGTCTTCTAAAGGTGTATTTCATTTTACTAGTTACTCATCGAGCTCTGACTAGCCAGGAAGTACAAAACCCCAAAAGAAGCAGACAGAGTGTTCAGCTTTAAAGGTTGGGGGTGCTCTGGACCTGCGATACCAAAAGATGAATGCAGAATGTCCCCAACCCTAGGGCAATTGCTGGGTGACTTCAGCTGTTATGTGACATGTAATGGGAAGACAGATATCAAAATGACAGGGTCGGTCATCTCCAGAATGTGTCTAGAATTGGCTGGTACTTTTTCCTACTCTAATAATACACGAAATTATTGCCTGCTGTTAAAAGCCTGTATGTTTTCTTATCTGGATAAAGAGGTAAGTGTCACTTGTGGTTTTAAAAAAATGTTTTTCTCTTGTATTTTAAAAAATGCTTTCTTACATCCTTAGCCATCAGGAAATATGGCCGAGATTTTCAGGCAATCTCAGACGTGATTGGGAACAAATCAGTGGTACAAGTGAAAAACTTTTTTGTAAATTATCGACGCCGCTTCAACATAGATGAAGTTTTACAAGAATGGGAGGCAGAACATGGTAAAGAAGAGACCAATGGGCCCAGTAACCAGAAGCCTGTGAAGTCCCCAGATAATTCCATTAAGATGCCCGAAGAGGAAGACGAGGTAAATCTGAAACAAAACAGTCACTTCTCTTGTCAGGTTCACGCTTGATACTCCAGTTTCTAAAGTGATGAATTTTTTCAGCTATAGAGATTTTTAGGTATCAGCTGTATTAGTAACTTCACTCTTACCTGTAAATAGCCGGAATGTGTATGCATTGACTCCAGTTCTTGGTGCCTGTATATTATTCACATGTTAATTTCTGGGCAAATCCTGAATTACATCCTGATTTCCTCCAGCTACAAAATACTCTGCATTATCAGTTTTTCCTTAAATACAGTAAAATCTTGAGTGACAAAGACAGGGGAGTGGGGGCATAAACAAAAAGTAAAAATGCAGTGAAAGCTGTCCTGTCTGTGAGGGATGTCGATGAAGCTCCGTCATCTGCAATGTGCAGTCACATCATCATGACGCAGCACAGCGAGCCAGCCAGGAGCTCCTGAGGCCTCTCCCTGCTGTCCAGATCTTTCAGCCTTTGATGCTCTTTGGGGCTGATTGGCTTAAGTATTGATGGGGACAGTTCTGTGGCTGGCTGGAACTTCTGTGATGGTGGCTAATTTCTGGAATGATAACCCTGGTCTCATCTGTCACCTCCCTGCTTCCTGTGTCAGGGGCACCTGCCATTTCCCCATCTAGCCTGGCCTGCCTTGCTGTTACATTTGTCCCTCTATTCCCAGAGCAGATGAGCCTGGGGCTGGGCATAAGAAAGAGTTACTTGCCAATCACTTTGCATCTGAATTTGTTCACAGGCATGGTAATTTAAGAATTAATTTAGCTTTGTAAGGAAAGTCACTTTCACATCAAAGCCTTTTCAAACCATACTGGAATGTTTTGAGATTACCTATTTTGTATTGCGTGTGCTACCATTTTGCTCCAAGGGCCTGGCTCTGGAAACAGCCCAGAAGGCCCCTCCTGACCTGAGCATGGAAGTACCTCGTGAGGTATTGGCATCCCCTGGGAGCGTGGTGCCGCCACTCCATGCAGGGCCTCTTTGCTGACTGGAGAAAGGACCTCAAGGCACAGCCATCTGTAAGAACACCATTGAAACATATTAAATTTGTTAGAATTAGATTCTTTAGAGCCTTTTGCCAGAAAATCTTTATAATAAGTGTACCACGTCTATAATATTGCCAAGGTCAGTACCCCTGAATCACCCCCATGCATAGCTCTGCCTGAAAAGAGCATGTGAATTAAATGATGGTGTTTTTATCTTTCAGCAGTGATTTTTTTCTTTATTATTATTTCTTTTTATTTTCAGTGATTTTTGTACCAGCACTAATTGCCCCTGTTAGCACTCAGTTTCGGAAGCATTGAAAAGCTGGAGACTGCTGGGGAAGAACCATTAGAATTTGCAGGAATGAAAGCTTGCTTCTTGTGTGTGTGTTTTCCGGCTTCGGTCCCAGGATGACTGGAAGCAGAAACAGTTGGGAACGCTGGCTCTATTCCCTCTTCGCATTTGATCAAAGCCAGTGTTGGCTGGGCTGGCATAACAAATCTCATAGTAAATTTAGGACCAAGAGTCCCTACCAACAGGATGTCAGTTGTTGTGCATATGTTTTTTTCTTCATTCTCTTATTCTTGGATCATTGGTTGACTGACTTAAGTGAGTCAAGTATTTTTTTTTTAACCTTGTTATTAGCCCAGAAGGTTCTTCCGTAATGATCCACTTACCGTGTGGATTGCATTATCAAAGTACCGTCTTTCTTTTCACAGTCTAGTTATGGCTCCTCCAAGCAGCAGATCATAGTTTTTCCTTGGTGATTGATCTTCCATGTCTCTATTTACCCAGCCTTCTCTGCAAAACAAAATGAAGAATGGTATTATCTAACTCGTGTTTAGTTTCATAGTCCTTATATCCCTTTACAAACTTTTTCACTCCGCTAGTCATTTAAAATGTACCCCCTCATACCTTTCTTTTCTTTTTTTTTTGAGACAGAGTCTCCCTCTGTCACCCAGGCTGGAGTGCAGTGGCTCAATCTCGGCTCACTGCAACCTCCATCTCCCAGGTTCAAGTGCTTCTCCTGCCTCAGCCCTCAGCCTCCCTAGTAGCTGGGATTATGGGTGTGCACCACCATGCTTGGCTAATTTTTGTATTTTTAGTAGAGATGGGGTTTCGGCATGTTGACCAGGCTGGTTTCAAAACTGCTGATCTCAAGTGATCCGCTCGCCTCTGCCTCCCAAAGTGCTGGGATTACAGGCATGAGCCACCGTGCCCGGCCTATTTCTTGAGTTTCTTTCTTTTTCTGCTTCTTGTAGTGCCACCCCTGCCCTGCCACCTAGTTTTATGTTCTCCATATGTTAGTTTGCAGAAGGAAATTAATCTAGTGACCAGCTGCTTCTCTGTGTCCAAGGGCCTAAGGGAACTTGTTAGAATGCTGGCTTACTTGTCTGTCTGGTGAGTCCACAGAACTTGGGGTGTGTGTAATTTCACCTTTTTATTTGTCCTGTAGAGTCCAACAGCTGAGAAAGATGTCTGCTGGTGTCTTGCCTGTCCCTTCTGCCCTCAGGTTTTATGTATTATGCAGAAGCCACAGGGAGAACATGAGAATTCCTAGAAGTTCTAGTAACAGAATGGTCTGTCAGTTATAGATTATTTCCTTCAGGGCTTAGAGGCAGGTAGGTAGCCCAAGGCATTTTGAGCTTTTGAAATTCATAGTTATTTGACGTGGACAAGGGTGGGTTGGGAACAGTGTCATATCCAACCTTACACTGAAGAAAGGATGCCATGGATTGGACAGAAAGATGTCACTTAAAATTATGAAATGATTAAGTCTGTTACCAGTGAGGAGAAATCTCCTCCTGTATCTAAGAACAGTTCTTGTACATGGTATGGTTTTTAGCTGAAGGAACAATCACTTTGCGATTTTGGATGCATGGCCCAGTTGTTTCTCCAGCAATGAGATGCCATGAGCATGGCAGAGAGCAGTAAGACGCTATGCAGCCTTTAGGTTTGGGTCTGGGAGTCCTTTTTAAAAAATGGGAGAGGGGAGTTAGGAAATGCCTCATAGCTTTTAAAGAAGATCCTGGGATCGTATGGGCTCCTGTATCCCAGCTAGAACCAGTGACTGGGTGCTGAACGGGCTGGGTGCCACAGCATGCCCTCAAGCCAGTGAGAGGAGTTAGGGCTGCCACTGTGCTTATATGCCCTTTTCAGGTTTTTTTGTTCATTTGTGTTTTTGAGACGGAGTCTTGTTCTGTTGCCCAGAGCAAGTGGAGTGCAGTGGTACGATCTTAGCTCACTGCAGCCTCCATCTCCCGAGCTCTTGATTCTCGTGCCTCAGCCTCCCAAGTAGCTGGGACTACAGGTGTGCGCCACCACGCACGGCCAATATTTCTTTTCAGTAGATAGGTTTTGCCTTTTTGGCCAGGCTGGTCTCGAATTCCTGACATCAAGTGATCCACCTGCCTCAGCCTCCCAAAGTGCTGGGATTACAGGCGTGAGCCACTGTGCCGGGCCGTTTTCAGGCACTTAAATTTAATCCTGGTGAAGTAGGTATTATCACTATGTGTCTTCTGCACATGAAGAAACTGAAACTCAAAAACACTGATAACTTCTTTGCACATATTGGGGTTTGAGGCCAAGACGTCTGGCTGGAGAGGCCACACGCTTGCCCTGCCCTTAAGAACATGGTGGGCTGGGCGTGGGGGCCCACACATGTAATCCCAGCACTTTGGGAGGCCGAGGCAGGCAGATCACGAGGTCAGGAGTTCGAGACCAGCCCGGCCAACATGGTGAAACCCCGTCTCTACTGAAGGTACAAAAATTAGCTGGGCGTGGAGGCAGGTGCCTGTAGTTGCGGCTACTTGAGAGGCTGAGGCAGAGGAATCGCTTGACCCAGGAGGCGGAGGTTGCAGCGAGCCGAGATAGCGCCACTGCACTCCAGCCTGGGAGACAGAGTGAGACCTGTCTCCCCTCCAAAAAAAAAAAAAAGAACTCGGTGTTTGCTCTGCAGGTTTGCTGGCTACCTTCTCTTTTCAGTACACTGGAAATAGCAGCTTGTGTTGTTTACCTACTCTTTGATCCTTTTTTTTTTTTTTTTCCTCTTGGCCTCAGGCTCCTGTTCTGGATGTCAGATATGCATCTGCCTCCTGAGAAACTGGTGGCTTTGAACACTTGGTGTGGACTACTGTGTTATCCGGGATATCAGGTATTATGAGACATCACCTAGCCATCTGCATCACATCTCTCTGGACAAGCAGCTATTACCAAAAAAGGCATATACTTCCAGTCCTGTGCTCCATCTGCCTTAATTCTTTGCTCGTTCCTCCATGTTGGCGCCACTTCCCAGAGAGCTCCACTGCATCTCACACTCTGCCCACGTGCTGGGGAAGTCTCACGGCCTGCACATCTCTTGTGACTCTGGGAACCGCCTCTCCCGCCGGAGCCCCCGAGCCCCACCAATGGCAGCTCTTCCCAGTCAGCAGCTTCAGAGCAGGCAGTCTCCTTGGAAGGCCCGACTCTGTTCCTGCATGGCCTGCAGTTTCTACTTTGTGCATAGAGTCATTTTCAGAGTCACCGCGACCCTGTTGGCCTTCTAGAAAGTTTCTTTTGTTCTTTTCTGAGACAACCACCTAAGTGATAATACGCTTTTTTGGAAACTAATATATATTGCCAGACTGCATCATAACCTTTATCATGCCAAGCATCCTGATGCAACTCACATTTCCCTAAACATGGGGTACAGTTATGATTTATAAATTGAGTTGGCTTAAATCTCCCTCTTCTCCCTTCCCAAGTGTTACAAAGATCATTTACTGCAACTGTCGTTGGACACTGTAGCTTAAAGGGAACGTGGACCTCAATGCTTTCTGCCTTCAACTTTTCAGCATTGTGACCCCAGGGTGGTTGCCACCCCATCTTTTCCTGACCCCCCCCACCCCCCCACCTCCAAGAGGTTCGGCCCACATCACTGTACCTGGTGCTTGTAAATTTGGAATTGGTGCCTTCTCCTTTTGGCAACCATGGTTATCAATCCTTTTTCTGTTTTAGTGTCTTATTTCTTCTTTCAAGTTATTTGCTAGCCAAAGATGACATCACTGAGATTAGGAGACAGGGGAGAGCTTGCTGCAGATTCTGACAGTGCAGATTTTAAATGTCAGGATATTAGAATAGCTGGCGCTGGTTTATGAAAGCTGCGCGTTGTTCCGCGTTCTCTCGGTGTGCCTGGCCTTTTATGTGGCACTCTGTATGTCAGTTTGTGTCCTTCATGTGCTGATGTGATTACACAAACACCATGCACTCTCTTTTCATATCAGAGTACAGGACAGAGAAGTGATCAATGTATTGGTCTAGTGAGACTGAGATGAAAAGAAATAACCTACAGAGTGGTCTGTAATGCCTTTTGGTTGGACTGGGAACAAGTAAAAATTTCTAATAAACATTTTGAGACTTCCAGAATCACTTTTGTTATCTTATCAGACCATGGGCCTGCTGAGGGTTGAGCAGACAGCCTGCATTCTAACATACCCTGTTCCCACCCCACGGCCATTCAGACTGCACTCAATACGCTGAAGTCGCTTTTGTTGTTGTTGTTGTTGTTTGCATCATTTGGATTTTTTTCCTGCTTTCAATACCAAAAAAATGCAGATGCTTTAAGGCCTAAACAGAATTCTGAAGAATTTAAAATATGCAATTAAAGTTTGATATGTTTTGTCTCCCAAGCACCTTGTTTTTTGTTGTTGTTGTTGTTGTTGAAGTCAGCTGATTTTCTCTTTAGAAAGAGGGTCAGCTAGAAACCTAGGTTTTTTGGAATTGTAAATTTTTTTTTAGTATAGTCTGGAGAGAAAGGTCATTCAAAAGGAAAGTACAATGGGACTTGCTGCCCTTCATCATCTCGTTCCCGTGCCAGGTGTGTGTTGGTCACGTAAAAGCCTGGGAAGCATCAGAGGAGTCCCGGATTGCTGCTGCTACCTGGAGACAGGGTTAGCAAAATAACACTAGTGATGAGGGAGAGGCTTCTTTTCACCATAAGCCTGCTGTGTACACCGAGGGCGGCAGGAGAAGCATGGGAAGGAGTCAGCCTAAGTTTGCACATTGCATAAAGGGTACACTAAGGTATGAGCTGAAGCTTTAGGTTCTCCGTGCTTCCCTCAAGACCTCCTTCTTGCTAACAGAAGCAGTAGGCAATTGCTGCAGTGCGTTTCTCACCCTGCCAATAGGTCTGTCTGTATCTCTGTTAAGGAAAATAGCCTGGTCCCTCCTGGCAGTGCTTGGAAGCTTGATGCTAATTTTTATATAGCGTGGCAAACTGACCAGCAGTGCCAGGCCTTGATCTGTATTCTGCACTATCCCTTTACTTGGTTCCTGGCACTGAATGGTCTCCAGCCCTGAAGAATCACGTGTGATCACAGCAGCTGACCTGGGCTTTCTCCCCGAGAGGAAGGGGCATGTCATTTTTATTTGACAGAGGGAAAATGGGAGCTGTCCTTGACTGCCTTTGTTGTGCTTTCCCGCGTAAGATAGCACTGTGTTTTAAACTGTTGCATTACACTGTCTTTGCAATGATGTAAATGTAAGAAATCACTTAGCTTTAAAAGCGCAGTGGTTTGATCTTATTTATATGAAGACTTTTTAACATATCAAGAATTAGGTGCATTGGCAGGTAGGGTTTGGGGTGTGATAACTGCTTCAGATGGAATGTTCACTTAAGCTTTGTCTTCTTAAAAATTATCAATGTGAATGTCATAATTATATATATTTTTGTGGAAAATTTTCTCCTAAGTATAAGTTATTGTGCAAAATATAGTGTCATTGATGCAAATAATAGTTTAACTTTTAGTTTAGAACTCCTAAAAGATATAAATTGTATTGCATATGCATTAAAAGTTTGTTTTATTTAATTTTATGTAGATGTGTGAAGTGTTAGGTAAAATTTTTTTCACTTATCCATTTAAACACCTTGTTACTTGAATATTGTGTTGACTGGTCTGCAACAGTGATCCATTCTGTAATATAGCTCTTTTAACTGGGAAGGAACCACACCCCAGTTGTGCCGATTACATTAGTGTTGGCACACAGTCGGGTGCTAGTGTAACACAAATGCCGCGTTGTCTGGGTGTACAGTGTTTGTGGAGACGCCACTTCCTCAAAATGGTTTTTGATTGTTTTTAACCTATAAGACGTTCTGATGCTCACAAACCTCTATTCAACACACAAAACAAACATGAAAAGGTAGTTAGTTGGGTTGTAACAGCTTACTGGGGTGGACTCATAAAACAGTGGCTTTCTGTTCATCTAAAGTTTCCTCAGATACCACAGACCACTGTTAAGTGTGCTCATTGTCACTTTAAATTTCAACGATACCCTATTTTTGTCATTCTAAATATCAGATGTACTATTGGTATAATTGCACACCAAAAATAAGCCAAACAGTGCATTACGCTAACTGGATCCCTGCTTTTATGTGAGCTAAGGAAAGATGGAGCCAACTCCAACGAGGGCCTCTTTTTCTCTCTTGTCTAGCCTGTTTCTAAACCGAATGATCCAGGATTCAAGCTTCTATTGTCAAGTGAAACTTTCCTCAGATGGACTCCAGGTAGCCAGGTCACCTAAACCTAGTGGTCCTGTGCGATGCTCTTTCTGCCAGTCCCTGAATCTCTGCAGCTTCTCTTACCTGTCTTACCTGTAGTAAAGCACAATTGCAGTGGCGTCGCATTCAGAAGAAGGGAAGGTCAGCAGAGGCTATGCATGTTGTGTGATGATGAGTGTTTACAGCCACCTTCTCCTAAAACGAAATTTATACCGGGGTGGATAGTATTCCATTAGGTAGACTTATCGACTTTGCTAAGTGCTTTTTAGACAGCTTAAAAAATTTTCAAGATTTTAAAAGATGTATAAGGTTAAGTTTGCAAATATAATGGAAATGCTGTATATCTTTTGAAGTGATGAAATCCACGTTGGAATTTTAAAGAAAATATGTTGTAATAATGCTGTTGTAAGTAATATTTTAATGTCTCTTTGCCTGTTTTCTATTTCAGCACATTCATTGTGGTGAATGTTCATAGCATTATAACTGCTTAGCCATTGAATGATAACATTTGTTAGTGGAAATTGGAAAATTTATTTGTGAAATTCTGCAGAATTCATTTTTCTATTTCCAATATTTGCTGAGGTTAAATAAAAATTTTCAAGCCATTGATGTAATAAAATATGAAATGAAAGCATTTTCTGCACCCCCACGCTCCATCAAAGCAGTACCCTTCCCTGTAACAAAGTGGGGTTCTTTCTTTCCTTTTAAGTGAGGCTTGGGGTTTCCAAATGTTGAATTTCTTCCAAATCAGACCCTGTGGAAACACTGCCAGGGATGCCTTTTGTTTTTAGCCTTTTGCTCTACCTGAACTGACATTCTTTTTTATATATGATAATTTTATAGTTGGAATCAAGTTGAAGCACATGAATTCATAAAGTTTGTGATAGTTGTGGGTTTAAATGCAAGGGTTCAGTAAGAGGCATTTTTCCCCCCATGGGTGGATTTTCTTTTTTCAGCCTGACCAGGCTTTTGGCCTGATACCTGGAGGCAGGATGGTGGCAGTGCAGAGGCAAGATCACTGCCGCTGTGGCCTCTGCTCAGCCAAGAGTGCATGCACACCAGTGCCGGTAGTTTCCTGAGTAGCGTGAAGAAGCTGGCGGTGGCTGTGGTCTCATGGTCTTCCCTTTATTAGCTGGGATGTAGAATTTGATTAGATGACTACTGTAGATTGGGGCTAGAAGTCCAGTGCACTATCCATTGTGCCACTGAGCTTGCTCACTAGATAACTTCTATAGAAACCCAATTTCTAGGTCCAGGCAGATGGGGCCCCTGTGTGTGACTGCACAGTGTAGGAGGGTTGTAGAAGGGTGACCGGGTCCAGCCTTCCCAGCGTGGACAGTCTAGTGGAGGACACTGCACATATCCTCCAGGTGACAGCAGTCAGCACCACGGCGAGTGGAGCCACAGCTACAGGCAGGTCTGGGAGGGAGGCTGCAGCTGCCTCGCATCTAATTTAGAGAGTGCCTGTCCCGGAGCTGAGCCTGTGGAAAGGGGAGAGGGTCTGCTTGGGTGAGGGTGGCACCTAGGGGCCGAGGCCAAGAGTGTTGGGACCTCCGCTGTGATTTGTGAAGGTGGCTTGTGGTCTAGAACAAGAGGAAATGAGTGCCAAGGACAGAGAGGAGGAAGGTTGAGGCCAAGGTGGCCCCCTGCCAAGATGCTGCTGGACATCTGCTAGGTTGGGCACTGAAGGTGGAGCCATTTGGACTTGGCCTTTAGTGACTTCAAAGAACCCCGGGCGATGGCTGAGGCTGGGAAGAGGGAGCTATGGAGGGTTGAGGGAGAGCCCCTCTCAAAGACTGGCCTAACTTGAGCGCGTGCAAGGGCACAGGATAGGAAGGGATAGCAGGCGGGCTGTGAGTCCCGAGTCAGACACATGGAGGCCCTGGCTCCAGCTCCCTTTTCTCGGACTGAGGGGGAAAAAAACACCTGTATACAGGTGTAGATGAGGCGCCTCTGTGCCTCACTTCCCATCATCTTGGCCCTCCCCACAACCCCGGCTTCAGACAGGTGTGACTGCAGCACCCTGAGGTAGGTGACCTAGGGGAGCTCAGGAACAGCAGCCTGGAAGTAGCAGGGAGCTCCATCCCCAGGGGCAGCTCTGGGTAATCTGGGTAAGGCAGCCATAGACAGCAGCTCCCCCTCAGCGGCCCCCTGCAGAGACCAGCTCAGAAATGGTCTAGGACTGATTCTCCTTCCCTGCCTCACTTTTTCTGGCCCCCTACTTCTGTTGCCTGGGATTGGTTTCTAAAGCAAACCATTTACCCACAAAGCCTCATCTCAGGCTCTGCTTTTGCGGGGAATCTAGGCCAAGACAGCACCACAGTGAGAATTACAAGGCTCGGGAGAGGCCTGGTGAGGTCCCTGCCAGGCCTGTCCCAGCCTTTCAGCTTATGGGAGGGAGAGATCTTGAGAGCACTTGGTGCTGACACTGCTGGAAAGGCCATAGTACCCACGCCCAACGGGGAGCAGCTGCACTGCTTGGAGGCAGGTGCTGGCTCTCAGAAGCTCCCTTCCCTGCAGCTCCCAAGCACCGTGCTTCCCACGCGCCAAGCACATGCTAGGCACTGACTCTTGGAGCTGACAGGTATTTGAGGCTCTATGCAAATTGCTTGCCTTCTCGACAGATCAGAGGCCATGCCTGGGGCATCATTTGGGCCCAGACTAGCTCATGGATGACCCTGACTTATTCTTTGTTTTGGGGTCTTTTTTTTTTTTTTTTTGAGATTGAATCTTGCTCTGTTGCCCAGGCTGGAGTGCAGTGGCATGATCTCCTCTCTGCAGCAGCCACCTCCCGGGTTCAAGCAATTCTCCTGCCCCAGCCTCCTGAGTAGCTGGGATTACAGGTGCGCACCACCATGCCCAGCTAATTTTTGTATTTTTAGTAGAGATGGGGTTTCACTGGGTTGGCCAGGCTGGTCTCGAACTCCTGACCTCATGTGATCCCCCCACCTTGGCTTCCCAAAGTGTTGGGATTACAGGTGTGAGCCACCACGCCCAGCCGATCCTTTGGTTCTGGGCTGAATGGAACCCACCCCCCAAGAGAGCCCCCCAAGTACACTTTCCTGTTGTCCCAGAAGCAGGAGCACAGTCACAGGCCTTGAAGCATCCGCTTGCCTGCCCGCTCTGCCAGCTCACCCTCCCTTCACCGTTTCCCAACTGCCTGGGTGCTCCGTCAGCACCTGAGGACTCCACAGCGCTCACACCTAAAGCCCTGTTCCCAGAGCTCAGCTGCCCCTGGACCACTCCACCCCCATGCCCATCCGTGCCTCCAAATTACACAAAGTCTGAGACTAAAACCCTTTTCCCCGGCACCTGTTTCTGCATCTTCTGTGGTGTGTGACACTGCTGTGTATCTGGTCGCCAAGTTAGAAGCACTTTGATCGATCACTACTGCCAGGGACAGCACAAGTCCTTCTTCCCACCCGAGGGGGTGCCGCGGCCTCCTAACTAACCTGCCCCTAATCCCCACCATTCCTCTTGCCTTTTCTCTCCCACCCCCCACCTAATCAGGGACCTCTCCTGTGGAAAGCGGAAAGCATTGCATCTGTCTCCCAGAAAATGCACAGCCCTTCATTCTGCCCTAACCTGACTTCAGGGGTGCGGCCAGGCACCTTCCCTTCAGCTCGGCCTGCCCCGGGCCCAGTCATGCGTCCCCGTCCGTCTCTGGTCCTGACGAACCCCTTCCTCCACCTTCTGCAGGGGGACTGATTCTTGGGGCCTCTACAACTTAAGCCTCATTCTGTGCTGACCTCTTTGTGCTAACTGTAATGAAGTGATTTTAAATTTTTATTTTAGAAATAGTTAACTAGCGTTCCTGGTATAAAAGGCCTACGTGAAGTGTGAGTTTCTCATCCCTGTCCTCTGATCACCTAGTTCTCTCCATAGGCGGCCATTGCTGCCAGTTCCTTGCATATCCCTCAAGGGATGATCACACATTTGCGGGCATGCATGTGTGCACACAAATGACATACTCTACACACTAGCTTTGCCCACCTGACACACTGATAGTCTTCTTAGCCTTCCTGCATCAGCACATATGTCTAAAGTCACTGTGGGCCGGGCGCAGTGGCTCACGCCTGTAATCCCAACACTTTGGGAGGCCAAGGCGGGTGGATTACCTGAGGTCAGGAGTTTGAGACCAGCCTGGCCAACATGGTAAAACCCCATCTCTACTAAAAATACAAAAAAAAATCGCTGGGCATGGTGGTGCACACCTGTAATCCCAGCCACTCGAGAGGCTGAGGCAGGAGAATCACTTGAACCCAGGATGTGGAGGTTGCAGTGAGCCGAGATCGCGCCACTGCACTCCAGCCTGAGTGACAGAGTGAGACTGTGCCTCAAAAAATAAAAAATAAAGCTGCTTCATTCCTTTGTATTGGCTTCATGGTATTCCATTTATGGCGGAAATGATTTATGGAAACCATCGTCAATTGACAGGCACAGAAGTATCCTTTGTAACATCAGCAGAATGGAAATCACGTCACTTCACCTATGTGCCAGTGTAGTTGCAGGATAAATAGAATCTCTGGATGAAAAGATCTGGTTCATTTTTCCATTTGATACGTACTGCTCACTGGCCTTCCAGAGCAGTTGCATCAGTTTCTCCTGTCTGCGTGAACAAGGCCGCTTGTTGCCCCACGCCCTTGCTAACGCTGTGATAATTGCACATTTTGATCTGAGGTGTTTGATAAGCTGTCGGGCTCTCTAGATTGAGCTCCTTGAGGTCAGCACTGTTGTGCTCTAGTTCCCCACAGCTGGGAATAATAGGCACATAGATGTGTAGTAACGGAATAGAGAAATCGGGTGCATTGCGGAGGAAAAATAAACGCCTGCTGGCCCCGTGCTTACGGATCAAAGGCCCTGCCATGGCTTATGAGTGACTCCCAGGGAGTGGGATTCCCAGCTGCCAATTCCTGGGTGTCCAGAGAGGAATTAGCTGAGGCTTAGGGTTTTCTGGGCCTTTTTCTTGTTTATTGAGCTGTCTGCTACTTAGGTATTTATTGCCAAAGGACTAGGGGAAGAAACATTCAAATCTGAAGGCCTGGTGATTGTAGATTTTTTTTTTTTTGAAACAGGGTCTTGCTCTGTCGCCCAGGCTGGAGTGCAGTGGTGGGAGCTTGGCGCATTAGAACCTGCACCTCCCAAGTTCAAGTGATTCTCATGCCTCAGCCTCCCAAGTAGCTGGGACTACAGGCATGCATGCACCACCACGCCCAGTTAACTGTTTTTGTTTTTGTTTTGAGACAGAGTCTCACTTTGTTGCCCAGGCTGGAGTGCAGTGGCGTCATCTTGGGTCACTGCAACCTCCACCTCCCAGGTTCAAGTGATTCTCCTGCCTCAGCCTCCCGAGTAGCTGGGACTATAGGCGAGTGCCGCCACACCTGGCTAATTTTGTATTTTTAGTAGAGACGGGGTTTCTCCATGCTGCCCAGGCTAGTCTTGAACTCCTGACCTCAAGTGATCCACCCACCTCAGCCTCCCAAAGGGTTGAGATTATAGGCGTAAGCCACTGCACCTGGCTGTAGATTTTAAATGAGATTGAATTCCGGATTCTAAGTCCTCCCCCTCCCTCCATTCCTTGGTGCCCTTCTTACCATCCACGCTCCTTAATGGGGAGTTGGCTGGCTGATACATGTGAGGAGATTGGCCAAGTTCTGGCCTGGACAAGCTGAAGACACCTTCCTGCCAAGATGGGGCAGGTAGTGCTTCTCACAACTACACTGGAAGCAGGAAGGGATGGTCCCACCTGCGCAGTCATGGGGAAGGCATCCGGGAGGAAGGGACAGTTGAATAAGGACAGCGGCTCGCCCGGGCAAGGGTGAGTGGCAGCACAGGAGGAACTGGCCCCTTGCAGTCAAGTAGGCTGTTTCCTTGTCAATGGAGGGTATTAGAATTTTGTGTGGTTCAGGCCAGGTGCAGTGGCTCACGCCTGTAATCCCAGCACTTTGGGAGGCTGAGGCGGGTGGATCATGAGGTCTGGAGATCGAGACCATCCTGGCTAACACGGTGAAACCCCATCTGTAGTGGCGGGCGCCTGTAGTCCCAGCTACTCGGGAGGCTGAGGCAGGAGAATGGCGTGCCAAGTTGCTACTACTCCGAAGTAGCTGGGTTTACAGGCGCGCCCCTGCACTCCAGCCTGGGCGACAGTAGGACCCTGTCTCAAAAAACTAAATAAATATATAAATAATTTTAAGTGTGTCTTTTGCTATATAGCAAATTATTTATGTTTTTTAGTAATAATTGCTAGATTTATTGGTGACTGCTTTGCCCCTAAGGACCAAGCATGCATTTCATAATTTAATCTTTATGTTAACCTCACAAGTAGGGACTGTCATTATCTCTGTTCTATAGAAGAGGAAGCCAAGACTTAGAGAAACGTGTCTTGCCCACATCATGCAACTAGCAAGTGCCAGAGCTGGGCCAGAAGCACCTAAAACCGTAGCCCACCTTACAGCCTCTGTCACTCTCTCGGATGCTGACTCAAGCCCTCACTCCACTGTGAAATCTTCTTGATCTCATTCACGCCCTTAACTTCTCTAGGCCTGTCTCCTCACATGCAGAGAAAGGATAATGGGCATTTCTTTTTTCTTTTTCATTATTTCTGCCTCCAGAGATAGCAATTTTTTTTTTTTTGAGACAGAGTCTCTGTTGCCAGGCTGGCGTGCAATGGCGTGATCTCGGCTCACTGCAACCTCTGCCTCCCGAGTTCAAGCGATTCTCCTGCCTCAGCCTCCCGAGTAGCTGGGACCACTGGCACGCGCCACCACACCCAGCTAATTTTTGTAATTTTAGTAGAGACAGGGTTTCACCATGTTGGCCAGGATGGTCTCAATCTCTTGACCTCGTGATCCGCCCGCCTTGGCCTCCCAAAATACTGGGATTACAGGTGTGAGCCACGACGCCCTGCCTGTGTGTATTCATTTATAAACTTACTTACAGGCACTGTTCATAACCAGTTTGTTCAACATCGGTCACACTAACACGCCGTTTTCCTCGTGCACCCACGATTCTAGGCCCAGGCCATTGCTGTCCTGAGGCTGGGATGACTATGTGCTGTCAGGCTCCCACTTCTCAGAGTGGGGAACTGAGGCCAGAGAGTCAAAGTGACTTGCCCAGGGTCACTCAGCTCCTACACGGAGGCATGGGCTGGGGACCCAGGTGGACTGGCTTTGAAACAGAACTCCTCCACTGAGCTTGGCTTCCAGGGTCACTGGTAAGTGGAGGGAAGGTAGACCCCTTCAGCTGGGCTACAGCCCATAGCTGAGCCTGTCCTGAACCTCCCCACAGCCAGCTACAGCGACTACAGCCCCTTGGGTCTTGGGTCACAGACCCTAAGGACCACTGCAGGGATGTCCTCTTGATGGGACTGGCTGTGGGGTGCCCCACTGGCGAACATCCCTTATAAGCCTGGATTTCGTCTCATCGCAGGGGTACAGTAGGTGTGCTTCAGCTTTCCTGCTTCTAGCAGAGAGCACCTTACCCAAATCCTGGGTGGTTGCCAGGGCCGACCCAAACTGGAAGCCAGCCCTCTGCAGCTATGCCCTGGTCATTACCCCTCCGTCTCCTCCACCTTTCCACCCACAGCCCCAGGCTGTCTCAAGTGGACCCATTGGCCCTTGAGCTTTTTCAGGCCCTTGTTGACACGCTGCGTAGCCATTGAGATCGACCCCACCGGCCTCTTCCTTCCTGGAGTGTGAGTCTGGGCTCCTCTGCAGCCCTGGGCCACTGAGTCAAAGACCTCATGGGTGCCCACGGAGTACTGGCCATCAGTGCCATGAGGCCAGGGCCTGCAGCACCGAGTCGAAGACCTCGTGGGTGCCCACAGAGTGGTGGCCCACTCAGCACTGCAGGCTGAGTGTACCACTACACAGCCTCCACAGCAGGATTCTGCCCTTGCCCGGCCCTGATTGCAGGAGCGGCTCTAATGACCGCTGCACCCTGATCACCTTTCTCAGAAAGACTGTTACAGTCCTGGTCCCCAGGAATCATGCCTCCAAGTGTCCTTGCCTAGTGTCGTCCCTTTACCCACCAACTCTGGGCTGGGTCATGGACTTGTTTTGATCAATGGAACCTTCACAGGCTTGACATGAGCTTTAGGGCCTGCCTGCTCTTGTTTCTGAAAACTCTGTTACCCTGTAAAGAAGCTTGGGACAGCCTGCTGGAGACAGGTGGTCAGGCTGACAGCCACCACAAACCACCAAACCTGTGTGTGAAGCCATCTGAAGCCAGAAGGCCCTGATGGAGCACCCAGGAGACCACACGAGTGACCCAGGCAAGCCCCGTTCCAACTATTCACCCACAAGATGCGAGCAAGTAAAATGGCCTGTGTTTTCAGCCAAGTTCTGGAGCAATTTGCCACGGCAATAGGTAACTGAGATGGTTGGAGAGGAGTGGGACTCAGGGAATTTGTGGCAAATTTCAGGCTGCAGAAAAGGCTGGGCTCCCAGACTTCAGAGTCCTTGGGTGTGTGCAGGCACAGCCCGCAGTGGCAGGCCACAGATGCCTTCGTGGAGGATGCCAGAGCCTGCCTGGTGAGCACATGGGTGAGTGTGAGCTCCTACCTCAGAGGCTGGGATGCCACCTCCTCTGCCTCTCTGGGGCTGAAGGCACAGGGCTCCCAGTGCAACACCTTCCTATAGAGAACCTGGCAGCTCCTTGGAGCCTCACCTATGAGATCCTGAGCCAAGCCTCAGGACCCCTGCACGGAGTGGACTGAACACATTTAGTTGGGGGTGTACGTGGCTGCCAGGCCTTTCTTGGTAGCTGTCCTCTCCACGGCCCTCCAGGCTGCTGAGCCTCGGTCCTCTTGGTTGAATGCCTTGTTCATGAAGGAGATTCAGAATTGAAATGTGTTCCCCGCTCCCCACCCCTCATTCCTCTGGCCACATCCTCCTGGCCTTCCTGCCCCAGCCTACATTGGGCTGCAGCACCTTCCAGCTCTGTGAAGCTGAATCTTGCCTGGCTAGGAATCAGGGGCTTGGATTCTGTCCCTGAATCACTGTGCTGTGAGACAAGCCCCTCCCGCCCCTGGTGTTCTGTTTCTCCATTTGAGTGGGGCCGGCAAGAGCCAGGTACATGCCCTATCCCTTTGGATGCCCTGGTGAGGAGGTGGCCACTCAGCTGCCTCCCCAACCAAATGGCCGGTAGATCCACAGCTGCCTCCCACATCAGTTGAACTGGGATGGGGTGCGGGGCATATGGGGCTGGGGGAGGTTCCCAGCCTTTCTGGGAGTAGCCAGTAAGGACCGTGTCCCTGCAGGCCTGTCCCAGCAAAGTGCCCGGAGCTGCATGCTCTGCACAGCCCTTAGGCTTTCCTGGGACCCAGCAGGGTGGGGCGGGGATGCCTTGGGGGCAGCCAGCCTGAGGCAGGTTCCAAACCCTGCTCTGCAATGTGAGTCCTTCCAGTTGTTGAGTCCCTTCTTGGTAAAAGGAAATCGTGCCTTTGAGGCATTTGTCAGCAAAAGCATTTCTTGAGCCCCTGCAATGTAGCTTTGGGCAGGTGATGAGCAAGACAGACAGGGTTCCAGCCCTGAAGGACCCTGAATTCCAGTCGGGAGACAGAGAAATGGAAACATCCACACAGGGAGGGTAGCAGCAGGTTTCCTATGATTGGATTAGTTGGCTGAACTGTGCCACCATTCAAGCCTGGGGTGCTGGGATGGGCCAGGAGGTAACCCCAGGCCTCACCCCACCCTAGCCCAGAGACTCCCTCCCTGTGTAGAGTCCAGGAAGGCTTTGTCGGTGATTGATCTGACTTCCAGAGATGCCGAGCCCACCCTGCTAGGGGTCGTGATTCATCCGTGAGCCAAGTTTTACCACTCAGTGGTGGTCCAAGGCTTTCAACAGTGGGAAGGTAGGCCCTGGATGTGCCACATGAAGGCAGAGGCTGGCAGGGGCACTGTGACCTGCACCTTTCCACCTCCCCGCCCCAAAGCTGGATCGTGGTCTCTGAATGCCATTTCCCACGGAAAGGAACCATGTTCTTTGGAGAAGTGACTGGATTTCGCTATGGGAGGAAGGAAGTATACAAGGGGAGCCTGGGAATCTGATGCCAGAGATCAAAGAAGCACCCAAAATGATGGGGTCACGTCCGAGGGACTTGGGAGCCAAACTAAAGGACCTCCTACTGGCCTAACATGCCATTAAAAAAAAGGACATTGATCAAAACAGTAAAGATAAGAATACAAAAATTAATAATGATAGGTTTTTAAAAAATTTTTTTTTTCTTTTGAGATGGAGTCTCACTCTATCGCCAGGCTGGAGTGCAGTGGTGTGATCTCAGCTCACTGCAACCTCTGCCTCCCGGGTTCATGCCATTCTCCTGCCTCAGCCTCCTGAGTAGCTGGGACTACAGGTGCCCACCACACACCTGGCTAATTTTTGTATTTTTAGTAGAGATGGGGTTTCACCATGTTGGCCAGAATGGTCTCAGTCTCTTGACCTCGTGATCCACCCGCCTTGGTCTCCCAGAGTGCTGGGATTATAGGCGTGAACCACCCGCACCCAGACTAAAGTTTCATTTGAGACAGGGTCTCACTGTGGCCCAGGCTGGAGTGCAGTGGTGCGATCATGGTTCACTACAGCCTCGACCTCCCGGCTCAAGTGATCCTCCCACTTCAGTTCCCCTGCTAACCCGCCTACGAGTAGCTGGAAGTACAGGCACATGCCACTGTGACTGGCTAATTTTTAAATTTTTTGTGTGTGAGACAAGGTCTTGCTTTGTTGCCCAGGTTGGAGTGCAGTGGTGTAATCACGGTTCTCTGCAGCCTCAACCTCCTGGGCTCAAGCAGTCCTCCCACCTCTGCCTCCCAAGTAGCTGAGACTTACAGGCACAAATCACACCTGGCTAATTTTTTTTCTTTTAATTTTTTTTTGTAGAGACAGGATTTTGCCATGTTGTCCAGGCTGGTCTCGAACTCCTGAGCTCAAGAGTGCAGTGGCACAATCTCTGCTCACTGCAACCTCCATCTCCTGGGTTCAAGTGATTCTCCCACCGCAGCCTCCCAAGTAGCTGGGATTACAGGCATAAGCCACCGCGCCTGGCCAGCCCAGCTAAATTTTCAACTTTTTTTTGTAGAGACAGGGTCTTGCTACGTTGCCAGGGCTAGTCTGAAACTCCTGGCCTCAAGTCGTCCTCCCACCTTGGCCTCCCAAAGTGCTGGCAGTACAGGTATGAGTCACTGTGCCTGGCCCAAGAACTTAAGTACTTTTTTCAGTGCATGTCTGCTGTTGCTAAATTCTTTCCTTTAAAAAAAAAATCTGGCTGGGTGCAGTGGCTCACGTCTGTAATCCCAGCACTTTGGGAGGCTAGAGCAGATGGATCACCTGAGGTCAGGAGTTTGAGACCAGCCTGGCCAACATGGTGAAACCCCATCTCTACTAAAAATATAAAAATTAGCCAGGCATGGTGGCAGGTGCCTGTAATCCCAGATACTCAGGAAACTGAGGCAGAGGAATTGCTTGAACCCGGGAGGCGGAGGTTGCAGTGAGCAGAGATTGCACCATTGCACTCCAGCGTAGGCAACAGAGCAAGACTCCATCTCAAAAAAAAAAGCCAAAAAAAAAAAAACTAAAGTCATCATTATTTTGCATTTATATTTGATAGATGTAAAATATAAATTTTCTGTTTGTAAAATATTAGGGTTTTATTTTTGTCTTCTGGCACATTAAGGATGTAATTCCATTGTCTTCTAGCTTCCATAGTTTTAAGCAAAAGTCAACACACAACCATTTTACTTCTCTGAAAATAACATTACTTTTTTTTTTTTTTTTTTTTTTCTGAGACAGAGTCTCGCTCTGTCTCCCAGGCTGGAGTGCCGTGGTGCAATCTCAGCTCACTGCAAACTCTACCTCCTGAGTTCAAGCAATTCTCCTGCCTCAGCCTCCTAAGTAGCTGGGATTACAGGCATGCACCACCACACCCAGCTAATTTTTGTATTTTTAGTAGAGGTGGGGTTTCACTGTGTTGGTCAGGCTCGTCTCAAACTCCTGACCTCGTGATCCACCTGCCTTGGCCTCCCAAAGTGCTGGGATTACAGGCGTGAGCCACCGCGCCCAGCCAACATTCCTTTTTTCTCTGGCTGTTTTAAATTTTTTTTCTTTGTCTAGGGCTTTCATCTAGTTGATGATGATTGCCTGGATGTGGCTTTGCATTTGTTCTGCTTCATTATGCTCCTGGGGGGTTCACTGAGCTGCTCAACTCTGTGAGTTGGTGCCTTTCATTTATTATTATTATATTTTAGAGAGATAGGGTCTTGCTTCATCACCCAGACTGGAGGGCAGTGGCACAATCAGGGCTCACTGCAGCCTTGATCTCCTGGGCTCAAGTGATCCTCCCATCTCAGCCTCCCAAGTAGCTGGGGCTAGAGGCACGTGCCACCATGCTCAGCAAATTTTAAATTTTTTGTAGAGACAGTGTTTCACCATGTTGCTCAGGCTGGTGTTGAACTCCTGGGCTCAAGAGATCCACCTGCCTTGACCTCCCAAAGTTCTGGGATTACAGGCATGAGTCGCTGCATCCAGCTGAGTTGATATATTTATTTATTTATTTTGAGATGGAATCTCACTCTGTTGCCCAGGCTGGAGTGCAATGGCATGATCTTGGCTCACTGCAACCTCCGCCCACCGGGTTCAAGCAATTCTCCTGCCTCAGCCTCCTGTGTACCTGGGATTATAGGCACCCGCCAGCATGCCTGGCTAATTTTTTTTTTTTTTTTGTAGAGACAGGTTTTCACCATGTTGGCCAGGCTGGTCTTGAACTCCTGACCTTAGGGGATCCACCCGCCTTGGCCTCCCAAAATGCTGGGATTACAGGTATGAGCCACTGTGCCCGGCAAGTTGACATATTTAATCAGGCTTCAAAAATACTTGGTCATTGTTGCTTTAACTACTGCTATGTCCCTTTCTGTCTTTTGTCACCTTCAGGGGCTGCAGGTCTACATTTCACATATGTCTCTGATGCTCAATTTTTGTTTTCCCCGCAGTATTTTTCTCTGTGTGCTTCAGATTGGATATCTTATACTGACCTGTCTTTGAGTTCCCTAATTCTACCGTCTCTATGTCCTGGCTGCTATCAAACCCATGCAATTAGTTCTCAATTTCAGATGTTTTATATTGCACTACTAGAATGGCCTTTTATTTATTTATTTTTATTTTTTTCAAGACAGAGTTTCACTCTTGTTGCCCAGCTGGAGTGCAGTGACTTGATCTCAGCTCACTGTGCACCCTCCATTTCCCAGTTTCAAGTGATTCTCGTGCCTCAGCCTCCCAAGTAGTTGGGATTACAGGTACCCGTCACCATGTCTGGCTAATTTTTGTGTTTTTAGTAGAGGTGGGGCTTCACTATATTGGGCAGGCTGGTCTCGAACTCCTGGCCTTGTGATCTGCCCACCTTGGCCTCCCAAAGTGCTGGGATTACAGGCATGAGCCACCACTCCCGTCCTAGAATGGCTTTTTATAGACTAAGTCTCCACTGAAATATTTTTATCTTGTCATATATCTTGCCCATTGTTTTCTCTATTTTCTTTAATATACAGAGCTGGAAGAAAAACTGGCAGAAACTCTGACATGAGAGAATTGCAGAAGGGATGAGACCCAAAATCGGCATATAAGCTTTGCTAAATCTCTGGCTGACCGCAAAACTATACATGAGCTGGCAGTGAGCAGAGATCGCGCCACTGCACTCCAGCCTGGGCGACAGAGCGAGACTCCGTCTCAAAAAGAAAAAAAAAGAAAGAAAGAAAGAAAGAAATGCCAAAGCAAATTTGGGGTAAGTGGAAATGACCCTAGATGGCATCTCAGTTCTACAGATAGAAATGAATAGCAACAGAAGGGTACATATGTGGGTAGACATATTAATAAAAAACCAGATGGGGGGCTGGTGGCAACCCAGCACTTTGTGAGGCCAAGGCAGGAGAATTTCTTGAGCCTGGGAGTTTGAAGCTGCAGTGAGCTATGATCGCACCACTGCCCTCCAGCCTGGGTGACAGAGCAAGACTCCGTCTCAAAAAAAAAAAAAAAAAAAAGTTACTATTTATTTATTTGTTATCATTATTTTTTTTTCTTTTTTTTTTTTTTTTTATTTGACACGGAGTCTCGCTCTGCTCTGTTGCCCAGACTGGAGTGCAGTGGCGTGATCTCCGCTCACTGCAAGCTCCGCCTCCTGGGTTCACGCCATTCTCCTGCCTCAGCCTCCTGAGTAGCTGGGACTACAGGCGCCCACCACTGCACCCGGCTAATTTTTTATATTTTTAGTAGAGACGGGGTTTCACCATGTTAGCCAGGATGGTCTCGATCTCCTGACCTCGTGATCCACTGGGAGGACCTCGTGATCCACGCCTCGGCCTCCCAAAGTGCTGGGATTACAGGCGTGAGCCACCGCACCCGGCCTTGTTATAATTATTTTCTTTAAGAAATAATGTTTCAGTCTGTTGCCCAGGCTGGACTGCAGTGACGCAATCATAGCTGACTGCAACCTCAAATTCCTGGGCTTAAACAATCATCCTGCCTCAGCCTCCAATAGCTGGGGCTACAGGTGCATGTCATCATGCCCAGCTAATTCTTTATTTGTTTGTGTTTTTTTTTTGAGACGGAGTCTCGCTCTGTCTCCCAGGCTGGAGTGCAGTGGTGCGATCTTGGCTCACTGCAAGCTCTGCCTCCCAGGTTTACACCATTCTCCTGCCTCAGCCTCCCAAGTAGCTGGGACTACAGGCGCCCGCCACCACGCCTGGCTAATTTTTTTTTTTTTTTTTTTAGTAGAGACGGAGTTTCACCATGTTAGCCAGGATGGTCTTGATCTCCTGACCTCGTGATCCGCCTGCCTTGGCCTCCCAAAGTGCTGAGATTACAGGCGTGAGCCACTGCGCCCAGCCACACCCAGCTAATTCTTTTATTTTTTTAAAAAATTTTTTTTGAGATGGAGTCTCAATCTATCACCCAGGCTGGAATGCAATGGTGCAATCTCAGTTCACTGCAGCCTCTACCTCCCGGGTTCAAGTGATTCTCCTGCCTTAGCCTCCTGAGTAGCTGGGACTACAGGCACCCACCACCATGTCTGGCTAATTTTTGTATTTTTAGTAGAGATGAGGCTGGGCGTGGTGGCTCACGCCTGTAATCCCATCACTTTGGGAGGCCAAGGCAGGTGGATTACTTGAGGTCAGGAGTTCGAGGCCAGCCTGGCCAACATGGTGAAACTACTAAAAATACAAAAAAATTAGCTGAGCATGGTGGTGGGCGCCTGTAATCCCAGCTACTCGGGAGGCTGAGGGGGGAGAATTGCTTGAACCCAGGAGGCAGAGGTTACAGTGAGCTGAGATTATACCACTGCACTCCAGCCTGGGCAACAGAGTGAGACTGTCTCAAAAAATAAATAGGCCCGGTGTGGTGGCTCACGCCTGTAACCCCAGCACTGTGGGAGGCCGAGGTGGGCAGATCACTTGAGGTCAGGAGTTTGAGACCAGCCTGGCCAACATGGTGAAACCCCGTCTCTACTAATAATACAAAAATTAGCCAGGTGTGGTGGTGCACGTCTGTAAGCCGAGCTACTTGGGAGGCTGAGACAGGAGAATCGCTTGAACTTGGAGGTTGCAGTGAGCTGAGATTGCACCACTGCACTCCAGCCTGGTCGACAGAGAGAGACTCTGTCTTAGAAATAAATAAATAAATAAATAGTGGAGATGGGGTTTTACCATGTTGGCCAGGCTTGTCATAATAATAATAATAAAATAATAATTATTATTATAATTATTATGTAATTATAATAATTATTATTATTATTTTGAGATGGAGTCTCAATCTGTTGCCCAGGCTGGAGTGCAGTGGCGCAATCTCAGCTCACTGCAACCTCCACCTCCCGGGTTCAAGCAATTGATTCTCCTGCCTCAGTCTGCCAAGTAACTGGGACTACAGGCACCCACCACAACGCCCGGATAATTTTTTGTATTTTTATAGAGATAGGGTTTCACCGTGTTAGACAGGATGGTCTCAATCTCCTGACCTCATGATCGCCTGCCTCGGCCTCTCAAAGTGCTGGGATTACAGGCGTGAGCCACCGTGCCCGGCCAATTCTTTTATTTTTAGTAGAGACAGGGTCTCACCTGTTGCCCAGCCTGGTCTCAAATTCCTGGGCTCAAGCAGTCCTCCCACCTCGGCCTCCCAAAGAGCTGGCATTACAGGCGTGAGCCGCTGTGACCAGCCCTGACTTTACTATTTAAAGCGAAAATAAGAATGCTTTATTTTGTATGTATAATAAGTAGATGTGGTAGATGACTGCAGCAGCCCTGGCGATGGCGCAGGTGGAAATATTCTACTGCTCTATTTTACTTGAAGTAATTCAATTCTAATTCTGAGAAGACTGGGATTAGTTAAAATGCACATTTTCACCTCCAGTGCCATCACTAAAAAACAATAATGCAAACACATATAGCCAGAAATCCAATAGGAAATTGTGGAATACTAAAAAATATTGTATTAACACAAAAGAAGGCAGGAAAGGAGCAATAGACAAACCAAAAGAGATGAGACAAAATAAATATTAACATGGCGGACCCCACTCTACCTTAACTCCAGCCGAAATCCCACGTGGGTGAAACAAACCCTCCGATTAAAAGATCAAGACAGTCAGACCAGGCAGGGTGGAGGCGACGGTGTCTGGGAAGCAGGGGAAGCAGGCTGAGCCAGGGCTTGGAGGGAAGGAGCAGGGGTGGTCCCAGTGCCCATCTCTGCATGGCCAGGGCCACCCGGGCCACTCTGAGTCCCTGCAGGAAGAGCCGGGCAGGGACTCACGGTCCAGGGAGCCTGCTTCTGGGCTGGGGGAGGAGGTCTGCTCTGGAGGGCCAGGCACGGGTGGGGCAGGTCCTGAGGTGGGGGTTCCGCCTCTGAGCCTGATGTCAGCAGGAGATACTTGTCCTCCCCACCATTTCCTGGGCTGACTCTCGGGGTTGTCTCTACGGCCGGGTGATATGAGGCCTACACAGCGAACATAGGCCCCAGGCAGCTGCCTGCTGGGTGTGTACGTGGCGGTTCCTCGGGTACACGAACTAGCAGGAGTGACTGTGGAGGCAGCCAGGACGTGTGTGCGTGTGTGTGTGTGTGTCTGTGTATGTGTATATGTGTGTGTGTGTCTATGTGTATGTGTATATGTGTGTTTATGTGTGTATATATGTGTGTATGTGTATGTGTACATGTGTGTATATGTGCGTCCCTGGGCGCGTGGATGCGCCCTCCCCTCCCCTCCCCTCTCCTCCATCCTGTCTGCCTCCTCCATACCTAGCCAGGGGCTGGTACGCAGGGAGTCCCACGCCTGCTGGCTGAAGGGTGGGGCTTGTGCTTCCGCCCATGGGCAGCTTTGCCAGCGCAAGGAGTTTCTCACCTGCAGCGGCCCCCGTGCATGAACGCTGACGCCTGTGACACCACGGTTTGTGCTCAATGGATGCCTGATGCCCTGGAGAGGGAATGGCTTCTTGGGGACAGCAAATTAGCCTGTGAGTCAGCTTCTTGAGGGGGCATGTGGGGTTCTCCTGCTCCCAAATCTGCACCTTCTGGTGATGTGCACGGCGCAGCCCTAGCCCCAGACCGTCTGCCTGTGCCCGTTCCCAGGTGCCTGCTGTTTCGGGCCTCTTGACTGTAGACCTGGAGCCGCTGCTCACACTTGCGAAGACAATGGAAGGCCAATCCCCACCCCCACCCCTGCTCTTCTGGCCATGCTAGGAATGGTCATAAGGTGTGATATTTTGAAAACATGAGCTGTATGTCCAAGAGTGTGGCCCGGCCCGCTACACTGGCTGTCTGGCGCCCTGGCTGCTGTATTTTGGTGACTGAGCCTTTTTAGCTTGCAGAGCATGTCACTTCCAAGATGTTTTGGACTGAAAAACCAGCATGCAGAGGCCTATTCTTATCAGCTATCCAGGGACACCGGCTGTGCCTGGGGGGCCTGGATGGGGGTCCCAGACTCTGTCCCCTCTGTGACCTAGGACTGACACACTCATGACCTGCCTCACCCATTCACATGGCCCAGCTCTCGTCCACCTTTCTTTTTTTTTTCTGTTTTTGAGACAAGGTCTCAATCGGTTGCCCAGGCTGGAGTGCAGTGGTGAAATCACTGTAGCCTCAACCTCCTGGGCTCAAGTGGTCCTCCCACCTCAGCCTCCTGAGTAGCTGGGGACCACAGGCATGTGCCACCAGGACTAATTTTTTTTGTTGTGTTTTTTGAGACAGAGTCTCGCTCTGTCGCCCAGGCTGGAGTGCAGTGGTGCGATCTCGGCTCACTGCAACCTCCACCTCCTGGGTTCAAGAGATTCTCCTGCCTCATCCTCCTGAGTAGCTGGGACTACAGGTGCGTGCCACCAGACCAAGCTAATTTTTGTATTTTTAGTAGAGATGGGGTTTCACCATGTTGGCTAGGCTGGTCTTGAACTCCTGACCTTGTGATCCGCCCGCCTCGGCCTCCCAAAGTGCTGGGATTACAGGCGTGAGCCACCGCTCCCGGCACAGGGACTAATTTTTTTTTTTTTTTTTTTTTTGAGACGGAGTCTTGCTCTGTCACCCAGGCTGGAGTGCAGTGGCACAATCTTGGCTCACTACAAGCTCCGCCTCCCGGGTTCCCGCCATTCTCCTGCCTCAGCCTCCCAAGTAGCTGGGACTACAGGCGCCCACCACCACGCCCGGCTAATTTTTTTAGTAGAGATGGGGTTTCACCGTGTTAGCCAGGATGGTCTCGATCTCCTGACCTCTGGTGATCTGCCCGCCTTGGCCTCCCAAAGTGCTGGGATTACAGGCGTGAGCCAGCGCGCCCAGCCCACAAGGACTAATTTTTTTATCTTTTGTAGAGAGAGGGTCTTGCTATATTGCCCAGGCTGCTCAAGTGATCTGCCCGTCTCAGCCTCCCAAAGTGGTGGGATTACAGACAGGTTCAAGCCACTGTGCCTGGCCTTATCTACCTTTCAACTCCCTTCACACTGCTGTCCCTGCCCCGGAAACATTGGCCACAGGGGCTAGTCCTCTGTTGACCCCCTCAGCCAGGCTCCAGGTCCAGCCACCCGCTGTCTGCAGCACACACCTTCCCATCACCCTGGGAGGGCTGCGTGGCACCCATGGTGTGAGAGAGGAGGCTGCGCCTGAGAGGTGCGTTAGTGAGCCTGACACACAGCCTGTGTGTGGCCTGGAGACCACTAGTTCTGGCTCTGAAGTCCACTGGGGCTCTGGGACCTCGGTGGGCCCTTGAGTCCGTGTGGCTTGACCCTTGGTTGTTTGGGGCCTGCTTCCCAGCTGCCAGCAGAACTGGGGCTCCCGTCCTCACTCCTCCTGCAGCTCAGCTCCAGAGCTCCAGGGGCCTGGGCCCTCTGCCCAGCTCATCCTCTGCTCCCAGTAGGCAACCCCCCCACCCTTGAGAGGGGGTTGCCCTATGCCTGTCCCTCTGGGGTCTGCTTGCCTATTCCTGTCCCAGCACCTGCCGGGTGGTCAGGTGGAGTGGCTTCAGGGGCAAGGCCCCCGCTATTTTTAGCACTTTCGGCTCCTGTAAACACCTCTCCCAGCCTCTCTGGCCCTGGAAGCCTCTCCTCCCCAGCACAGCCGGGACCGCGGCTGTCACACGCCCCTGCAAGGCCTGGAGGAGGGTCCCTGAAACTTCGTGCAGCACCCGCCCTCTCCTGCAGCAGAGATTGGCGCTGCGTTCCCAGCCCCTTCAGCTGCTTCTCCCCAGAGCCAGGTGCTTGGGTCCAGCCGTGCGGTGTGGACCAGGCCATGCTTGGGGACGACAATCGAGGCAAGTCCTACCTGCAGGAATCGGTGTGCTGAGAAGCAGGGCTTTGCACACAAGCTATATGTGTTGCCACACAGCCACCACTGCCATCCTAGGGGAGCAGCGGGCCACTGCCAGGCATCCCACACCTCCCTGCGTGACAGCAGCCTGGCCAGCTTTGAGCAGCCCTGAGCCTGTGCGGGGACAGCTCTTGGTGTTCCTGTTTTGCATTACCTTTTCACTGTTTGTTGAGACAGCCCAGGCAGCATCTTGGGGGCTAATCCCGGGGGCTGAGTCGCTGGAGAGGGGTCAAGGGGAGTGGCCTGTGGCTGCCATTAGTGCCTGTCCCTGTGGCCTCGGTCCCCGCGGCCTCGGTCCCTGCAGCCGCAGTGGCGCCTGCATGGAGGGGGCCCCCTAATCATGGTGCCTCGGCTGTGGAATGTTCTGGGAGCTAGTCAGAACGGACATGGCTGCCGCAGCTGACCCTCCCGCCTGGCGAACTCTTTCTGGCTAATTGTTCTGTTTGTTTGCCCAGAGCAGGTGGGGGCAGGGCCTCTTCCATCCATTATCGGCTCACATGGTGCCAGGGAGGCACCGTGTGCACACAGGCTCAGCATTTTGGTTTTGCTTGAATTAGCAAGAAGCAGCAGGGAGTGGGGTTTGAGATATCTGAATATTTGTGGCTGTGCAAACCCAGAATCAACAAATAATAATCAGCAAATCAAGAAAAATTACATCAACAATCAACAAATAATAATACACCAGGAATCCACTGGTTATGAGCGCAGCTCAGCACAGCGACATTTCTCAGCTCGTTGATGTCCCTTCCTCGGTGCGTGCTGAGTCGTTCCTGTGTGCCGAGGCCGGTGCGGGGTGCTGGGGCCCAGTCCCCTGGGTTCACAGCCCAGGCTGTGACAGAGGTGGGTTCTAAAGACTCCCGAGCTGGTGTGCAGTCTCTTCTTACACCCTTGTCCAGATGGCCGCGGGGCCCATCCTGCGCCCTAAAGAGCAGAGTCAGGGCCAGGAGCTGGGCACAGGCGGTTTTTCTGGGAGATGTTCCCAGGGGGTCTCCTGGGGAGAGGCTGGCTGGGGCCACTGCAGGTTGGGGGATGGAGCTGGTCACCTCTGTGGGAACCCAGGGCTCAGTCCCCCCAGGGACCATATGAAATCATATGTCATGCGCCTGAGGACAGCCGGCAGATGGTGGGGGGCTGGGTGTTTATCCAGGAACTCTTGACCCAGGGTTGAGGGTTGCCTTGGGGGTGACAACACTCCAGCACTTTCCACTGCAAAGGGTCCTTGCTGGCTGCAGAGAAACCAGGGAGCTTGGGGGTCAGTTCCACCCCTGGGCTGGTGTGGGCCTGACACAGGACCTGGCCCCGTCGGCACTGTCTGTCATGGCTGCGCAGAAATTGGGGTGCGGGACAGGGAGGCGGAGAGCAGTCAGACCTGGGCTCAGGGCCAGCCCCGCGAGTTCTTCAAACCCCATGGCATCTGGAAAAGGAGGCAACAGGGATCGGGCCTCGGTGGCTGATGTGACAGGTCTGCGGGCATAAGAGGCCCAGGGAGCAAAGGCAGCACAACCCTTCCAGCACCCAGAACGGCATGGCGGGGCCTGCAGACACAACCTTTCCAGCACCCAGAGCAGTGTGGCGGGGCCTGCAGAGAGCCTCCTGCGTGGCCTGTGCAGGGTGCAGCGCCCGCCGGCAAAGCCTGCACGATGGGGACAGAGCCCCCTCTGGACAGGGGAAGAGAAGTCCGGGCTGGGGATGGTCAGGGGGTGAGGCCTGAGGCCCCTGGAGCAAGTTACAGGGTTGTAACAGGAAGCTAGGGAAGTTTGCACTGTGCCACGCGAGTGCTTGCTAGGGCGAGCTCATGTCCTGGAACTGCACCCTGGTGCTGCGGGAGGCGGGAGGCAGAGGGCACAGTTTTGTTTGTTTGTTTGTTTGTTTGTTTTTCGAGATGGAGACTTGCTCTGTTGCCCAGTCTGGAGTGCAGTGGCACAATCTCGGCTCACTGCAAGCTCTGCCTCCCAGGCTCAAGCGATTCTCCTGCCTCAGCCTCCCGAGTAGCTGGGATTACAGGCGCCTGCCACCATGCCTGGCTAATTTTTGTGATTTTTAGTAGAGACGGCATTTCGCCATGTTGTCCAGGCTGGTCTTGAACTCCTGACCCCAGGTGATCCGGAAGGCACAGTTTTGCCTGTGGTTGCTGGAGGTCCCCGAGGGTGGCTCAGATGCCAGCACTGGCCCAGAGCTGTGTGGCCCTGGGCAAGTTACTTCTCCTCGCTGGGCCTCAGGGTTCCCATCTCTAAAACAGAGATGATGGGCCCTGCCCCGTGGGGCTGTAGTGAGGATTCAGCAAAATCACCATGGGGTGTGTGTCCCACAGGCAGGAGTGAGCATGGGGTGGGGGCAGCCTGTCCAGGGAAGCCAATAACAACCATCATCACAAGGCACCGCACCGCTGTGCTTCCCTTAGGACCCTCGTGCAGGGCTCCCGTGTCCTTCCACATCCCCTTCCCCCTTCCCTGCGAGAGCCTGAATCCTGGGAAGGGCCGCCTGGGCAGGCCTAGGCCCTCCTTGTACAGAGGTGGGAACTGGGGTGGGAGGGAGCTGGGGTGCCCCTAAGGGGCCAGTGGGTGGGAGGCGGGGATGAACACACATCCAGGGCAGGGGGAGCAACCCCTCTTAATCCAGGGCCAACACAGTGAGCATGCATGGCTTTTTCCCCCAATTTAAAATGAAAATAACTTTATTGAGACCCACGGACAAAACTTCTGTCCTCGTAATACTGATTTCCTGAGCTTATTTCTCAGCACTGGCTGCTGGGTCACAGTTCTCCTGAGGTGTGACTGAGCATCTGGTGGGCACTGAGCTGTTCTGGGCCCGGGCTGCAACGTGGCTGTGGGCTGCTTGGCCTGTGCGGGCTAGACACCAAGGCAGCCTGGGAGGCCCGCTGGAGTGGGAGGCCCGCTGGAGTGGGAGGCCCGCTGGAGTGGGAGGCCCTGATTCCTTCCCCAAAAACCTCGGGCTCTTGGCAGAGTCGTTTCCTCCCTGATTCGACCAGGGTTGAGTGCCATGGCCTCAGCACCAGAGGGACTCTTGCACTGGACTAGGTCCACGGGGACCCTCCCTGCCCCCGCCCTGCCCTGGGTCCTCCCTGGGCCCCCATCTGCTCCACTGCAGGGCACCCCTTCCCTTCCTCCTAGTCTTTCCCAGATGCCTGATGACTGCCTCACCCCCTCACTTCCTAGGAACAGTCCACCTGCTGCGTGAGGACTCTGGCCCCGCACGCCAGGGGAATGACTTTGTCTGAGGTCACCTGGAACCTCCCACTCAACAAATGCAGCTCGGGCCCTACCGGCCCCCATGGCCCTGAGGAGGGAATTAAAATGGGGCACTCCCGTCCTCAGGATGCTTTGCTCCATGTGCCAGAAGGCAGCCGTGACATACTGATTAGTTACAACACAGGTCTTTTACTATACACAGGCTAAGATGTCTGCCCTGTGCAGTGTCCCACCTGTGTAACCTTACAAGGCTGCCCCTTGTGCAGTGCACCACCTGTGTAACCTTACAAGGCTGCCCTTTGCAGTCCTCCTCCTGCTCTTCCTTGTAAGTGTTGAAGCAGTTGCTCATTAACGGTGCAATTCGGATCGTATCAGTGCATGTTTGTCACTTGAGATGTGCAAAGATCCCTACGCTGTGCTCACCCAGTGCCCTGCCTGGCACCAAGTAGGACACCAATAACTGTAGAATGAGCAACATTGAAATGTAAATGAGACTTTTTTTTTTTTGAGACAAGGTCTTGCTATGTCACCCAGGCTGGAGTGCAGTGGCGTGATCACTGCAACCTTGACGTCCTGTTCTCAAGAGATCCTCCTGCCTCAGCCTCCCGAGTAGCTGAAACTAGGCACACGCCACCACACCTGGCTAATTTTCATATTATTTGTAGAGACGGGGTTTTGCCATGTTACCCAGGCTGGTCTTGAACTCCTGGACTCAAGTGTTCACTCGCTTCAGCCTCCAGAAGTGCTGGGATTATGGGTGTGAGCCACTGTACCCAGCACTCGAATAAGACTCTTGTTAAGAGATGTTTGGAACCAACCCCACCAGGGTGAATGGAAGACATAATATCTATCTATGCCTCAGAATGTGCAGGAAAGAGAACACTGAATTGATTCCGCCAGCCCAGACTTTCTTCTCTTCTCTCTGTTGTCCATCACAACAACCTCACCCCACAAGACATCTCCACTCTCACCGCAAGACAGCAATGGCCACAAAGGGACCCACTTGGAGGACCTTGGCAGGATACTCCCCAGACATGCTGGCTGAGTCCTGCTCCAAACTCCGGCTTTTGGAGGTGATGAGCTCACTGTCGTCCAGCGGGGCCAAGTTCCCCATCCTAAGTATAGATGAAGTTGCATTCTTGGAATATATATAAATCCTTATTTTGGGATGGGCCTATTGGTGTCAGCGTCTGATGTCTGTGTGATTTTTTTTTGACCTGCGTATCAGCAGGATGGTGACACACCAGGAAGGTCGTAAACTGGTCCGTGTCACTGTGAACAACACTGGCCTAAGAGAGGAAGAAAATGCATTTGGAAAGCCCAGCACTTGGAAATCCATCTGGTGGCGGGGAGCATGGAAAGGATCTGGTGGCCCCGAAGAGTCACTCAAGGACACAACGGAGCCAAACACCCTTTTTCATTTATTTGGATAGGTGGAATTTAGTTTTAATTATTTAAGAGAATACTTCATGAGATATTTTCAAAGAGAAATGGGATCTTAATAATCTGGGGCTCATTACACTCCTAGGCCATGAAATCTTTATACATCTCTGCTGGAGGTGCAGAGCAGCAGCCGGGCCTGGAGGACTGTGAACTTGGAGCGTGAGTGAGCAGAAGGTGGTGGCTGTGCTGTGTTAGAGGCTTCATTTCCTTGTCTGGGGTCCTGAGTTCAAGGGTGAGGCCACTTCCCAGGTGAAGTCACGGGAAGGAGCAATTCCAACAATGGCCATTGACAATGAGGAGAACGGAGGCAGGCTGGACACAGTCACCAGACTGCGAGAGCCGGCCTGAGGAGACTTGGAAACTGTCCTCCGCCAACCTGGCTGAATTTCACTCTTACTAAAGTTAACCCCACTCGAAGACTGGGGAATTCCAGCACCTCAGGGGAGAGGCTGAGTTATTTTTGCAACCCCAAATTAAATGATGCATGGTCGCTGGCTGTGCATGCCACGGGGCTTGATTTCCATTCCCCTGATTCACTCTTCCCTCCTCCAGGGCGCTCAGGCTCATGGAAACTGAGGGAAGCTCAGGGCCCTGACGACCCACCAGGCCCTGGCCAGGACACTGCATCCTGCTGGAAAGGAATGCCCCGTGAGGGGCTCACGGTGGATTTTTAATCCCTGTTCAGGTTCCCTGCCCTCACCCGAAAGGCCCCCACCCTTGAGCTCCCCCGGCAGCCCTGCATCTCTCTGGGGTCTTCCCAGGATGTGCTACAGAAGCCCCAAGCTGCACACGACCCAGCTCCTCACAGGCCTTTCTCCCAGACCCACTCTCCTTAGGCCCCCTGCCCTGGGTGTCTGGGCCAGCCAGACCGCTTGCAGCCTCAGCAACCCCCAACAGCCAGCTGATCATCAAATCCTGTCAATGACAGATCCTGAGCCCACCTCAGACCAACCCCTATGACCCACTTGCCAGTTGGAGTCCTGGCCTCTACTCAGACCCTTGACATCACTGTCCTCCGGTCTGACTGGTGGCCACAGTGGCCACCCACTCTGCCTGCGCCTGCCTTGGTCCACACTACCAGGAGTTTCCTTCCTGAAGAGGATCCAAGGATCCCATCACACATCTCAGCAGCCTTTGCCTGGACCCCTCCAGATAGGATTCAGACCTGCCCCTGACCTCCCTACTGGCCCTCTGTGTCCTGAGCACATGGCACCCTGGTATCTCTCTGCCACAGCCCATCTTGGGTCTGCTGCCTGAAGACCCCTCCTCTCCTCCCGAGCATGGAGGGCCCTGGGTGATCTTAAGAGGCGGCGGAAGCATTGCCTCCTTTCAGAGCCTTAGCAACTTGATGGACGTTATGGAATAAATGAATGAGTTCTTCTCCAAAAGAGGGAGCAGGGGTTCTGTGTTCCTTCTGTCCACCATCATCACGGAATCAGAGCACATCTGAGATGGGGGGACACAGCAATCCTTTGCTCCTCTTCATTGATTACAGGGAAACTGAGGCAGAGGTGGAGCCAGCCCCTGGCCTCCTGACTCCCAGGACAGGCCAGAGGCTACGAGACCACAGCCTCCCGAAGGGGACTCCCAAACTGCAAGACCGGACCCTGGGCTCCCCATGGCTGGAGCAAATGCCTCTGTATGTCCTCCCTCTGGAAATTCCTCCCCGAGGGACCCTCCGGAGAGAAGGATGTGACACTAACTCAGGACTCTCGAGGGTTCTTGGGGCACCTTTGAGAAGAGTCCAAGGCACTAAAATAGACTGGGTTCCCAGGAGTAAACAACCAAAAGGCTTAGTTAGACTCCTACTTGGAAAGTATGCCTACCTGTATCCCTATGCTGCTTAAACACCCCACCTCAGCAGAACCCCGCTAGGCACTGGGGCCCGGGTTCCCTGCATCTCGCCCACTGTGTCGGCTAAGACCATTTCAGCTGCAAGTATGAAACCTGACACAAATGGCTTGCGTGATAAGGAAAGTAGTGGCCTTTTCCAAGGAAGGACTCTTGGCTCTAGGCTCACCAGTTTGGCCCCTTGGTGGCATCTGCCTCCCTGCCTCCCTCCCTCCCTCCCTCCCTCCTTCCTTCCTTTCTTCCTTTCCTCCCTCCCTCCCTCCTTCCTTATTTCTTCTTTCTTCTTCCTTCCTTTCTTTCTTCCGGCAGAGTCTTTCTCTGTTGCCCAGGCTGGAATGCAGTGGTGCAATCTGAGCTCACTGCAACCTCCACCTCCCGGGTTCAAGCAATTCTCCCATCTCAGCCTCCTGAGTAGGTGGGATTACAAGGGTGAGACACCATGCCCGGCTAATTTTTGTATTTTTAGTAGAGACGGAGTTCTGCCATGTTGGCCAGGCTGGTCTCGAACTCCTGAACTCAAGTGATCCACCCGCCCCAGCCTCCCAAAGTGCTGGGATTACAGGCGTGAGCCACCACATCTGGCTGGCTCTTGGTGGCATCTTGAAGGCCATTTTCTCACCCTTTATCTCTGCCAAGCTCAGTAGATAGGATTCTGTGTGTCTTCTTTTGACCCAACCATCAGCAGCAGCAGGGAAGGCATCTTTGCCTCTGTCTTTTCTTTCTTTTTTTTTTTTTTAGATGGAGTCTTGCTCTGTCTACCAGGCTGGAGTGCAGTGGCGCGATCTCGGCTCACTGCAAGCTCTGCCTCCTGGGTTCACGCCATTCTCCTGCCTCAGCCTCCCGAGTAGCTGGGACTACAGGCACACACCACCACGTCCAGATAATTTTTTGTATTTTTAGTAGAGACGGGGTTTCACCGTGTTAGCCAGGATGGTCTCGATCTCCTGACCTCGTGATCCGCCCGCCTCGGCCTCCCAAAGTGCTGGGATTACGGGCGTGAACCACAGCACCCGGCCTTGCCTCTGTCTTCTTATCAGCCAAGAAGCCTTTCCCAGCATTCCTCAATAGCCACCCCTCACATCTCATTGGCTAGGATTGGGTCACATGCCCCAGGCTAAGCCAATCATTGTCTAGGAGAATCATTGGCTTAGCCAATCAGAGCCTATGCCTGAGGCACACAGGGCAATGCCTAGACCACAGGACAAAATTGGGCTTTGTCAGCAAGGAAGGAGGGGTGGCTGTTGGGTGGCCTGTGAGGCTGTCACCCATGTCCCCTCGCTTGTTCTGACAAAGGTTTTCATAAAAGAGCCACTTCTAGCCTGTCGTGGTGGGACCCTCAGATGTCCCTGTGCCCTCCAGCGTCTGGGCAACCTGAGGTTCTGGTAGGAGGAGAAGGCTACTTTGTAGAAGTCTGGAGGGCCTGGAAGAAGACATCTCTGCCCAGACAGTCCATTTAGTGTAGCTCGGGCCACCCCTTGCCATCCCGTGTCTAGCAGGTGGCCTGGTGAGTGTGGACTCGTCAGGAGCCGGGCCTCTCTTCCTGCTATCGCCCTCAGTCCAGCCGTGAGCTCAGCCACCACCTCACCAGTGCACACATCGGCCAGACAGCCACCAGCATTGCCTGCCTTGGGTGCCATGGGGGTTTGGCCTGAACTCTTCACCAAGCGCGGCTCACGAAGGAGCTCACTTCATCCTCACACCAGCCCCAGGCGTTGCTGACATCCAGAGCTGGGGAAAGGGCAGGACAGAGGTTGAAGGAAGTCACCCAGAGTCCCACAGCTGGAACGTGGGGGAGCTGGGATTCTAACCCAGGGCTCACACTGTCGCCCACACCCATCCAGGTGAAAGTTTGTTTTAAAAATTACATATAATTCACATGCCATGAAATTCACTACTTTTAAGTGTACAATTTAGTGGTTATTTACAAGGTTGTACAACTACCATCATAATCAATTTTAGAACAAGTTCATCACCCCAAAACGAAACCATGCACTTCTTAGCAGTCACCCCTTCCTCCCCGCAGCCAGCCCCTGTAAACCACGAATCTACTTTTTGTCTCCAGGGACTTGCCTATTCTGGACATTTCACATAATGTGATTTTATGGCATGTGGTCCTGGGTGCATGGAAAATCTTCCTTGACTTCGCATAATGTTTCATCCTTGGTGTGGCCTATGTCAGTGCATTATTCTTTTTTTTCGTTTTTTTTTTTTTTTTTTTTTTTTGAGATGGAGTCTTGCTTTGTCGCCCAGGCTGGAGTGCAGTGGCACAATCTTGGCTCACTGCAAGCTCCACCTCCCAGGTTCACGCCATTCTCCTGCCTCAGCCTCCCAAGTAGCTGGGACTACAGGTGCCCGCCACCACGCCCGGCTGATTTTTTGTATTTTTAGTAGAGATGGGGTTTCACCGTGTTAGTTAGGATGGTCTCAATCTCCTGACCTCGTGATCCGCCTGCCTCGGCCTCCCAAAGTGCTGGGATTACAGGCGTGAGCCACCGCGCCCGGCCTCTTTATTCTTGTTATTGCCAAATAATATCCCCCTGTGTGAGAAGTCCACATTGTGTTTATTTGGTCATCAGTGGATGGACATTTGGATTGCTTCTACGCCCTGGCTCTTGTGAGTAACCCTGATGTAAATATGTGTGTACATGTTTTGTTTTGTTTTGAGACAGAGTCTTGCTCTGTCGCCCAGGCTGGAGTGCAGTGGCACAATCTCAGCTCACTGCAACCTCTGTCTCCCAGGTTCAAACGATTCTCCTGCCTCAGCCTCCCAAGTAGCTGGGACTACAGGCACCCGCCACCACTCCCAGCTAATTTTTGTATTTTTAGTAGAGACGGAGTTTCAGCATGTTGGCCAGGTTGGTCTCCATCTCCTGACCTCGTGATCTGCCCACTTCAGCCTCCCAAAGTGCTGGGATTACAGGCGTGAGCCACCGTGCCCGACCGTGTGTACATGTTTTCGTGTGGACAGGTGTTTGCATTCTTCTAGGGCAGGTGCCCGGGAGTGGGATCTCTGGGTGGAAGTCATTTTGACAAAATGAAAGCGCATCTTTATTTAAGAGGCTATTGAGTGGCATCAGAGTGTCCTGAGCACTGGAGAGGGAGGTGGGAGTTGGAACTCTGATCTGGGCTGTACTGTGTGGTGACTATAGGACCTTGGTCAAAGGCCTTCTCTGAGTTGGTCACAATGACAAGGGGGCAGGAGTGGACAGGCCCAGCCCTTAGTGGATACTCGCATCCCCCAGCCCCTGGGGAAGGAGCTAAGGTTTTTCTGACACCTGTGCTGGGAGAGATGATGATACCCATCTAGAGGGCAGAGAAGGAACAGGACGTGGGCCTGAGCCCTGGCTCCCTGCCAGAGCCTTCTGCTGCTCAGAGCCAGGAAGACAGCATTTTCCTGCTGTAATCGCCACCAATTTTCATTTGCACTTGAATGTCTACCCCGTTTTACTCTATTGTATCTCCTTAGACTTGAAAGTAAACCTTAGCTCATTCTAATGAAAGCCATGCAAAGCTCAGCCAGAAATTTAATCGTATTTACTAAGAAGCTAATAAATATTTACTACAAAATTCATTGCTCCGTAAAATTGAAGACAACACTTTCTGCATGCTTTTTCAGCTGTGAGGCCAGGCTGGGGAAGAGGGGGAGACAGTCTGGGAAGGAGAGAGGAAGGATCCGACTTGTTTCCTTGTTAGAGCTAAACTGTGGTCTTCCCTCCAATGTTTTCTGCAATGGGAACCCATCACTTGCCATGACTTTGATCTGAGCTTGATCGTTTTATTCAGAAGGAAAGCTTTCCTACAAGCAATTCATTTCCGTTGCATTTCCAAACCAGATCTATTTGATTATGCATGGGAAGCTTACAACATTTTCCACTGAGACGGTTTTTGAATTAACTGAAAACTTAGCTGTTTCATAATTTCTGAATTGTAGATTTTTGGCTCCCCTTCTTGGTCTCATAACTCCATCGATGGGTCTTTTTAAATCTGAAATTTGCCATAGGCTGAGTCCTCAAAGAAAGATATATACCCTTGACATTTGAAAGAAATTAATGGAAAATCACTAAATCCCTTCAAATGCTACATCGAAATGTAGTTACAACTCTTTCCTCAGGCCCAGTGAGGATTGAATCATAGCAAAATCTTCATGTTTAATATTGAAATTTTATCCAGGAGACCCCCCCCAAAAAAATGCCTTGCAACGGGCAGCTCAGCATTTCCCAGACCTGCTGGGAGCGCTCTCTGGCTCTAACTTGGAGCTGTGGCAACTGGAAGATGAACCCGTGAACCTGGCTTTTCCCAAACTGCAAGTCTAAGGCTCCAGAGAAGTCAGAGCCCCAAGGGCTAAAGCATGAGCCATGGTTGGGGGTTCTCTGGAAACACACCAACAGCTGCTTCCCATTTGCCTCCAGAATCTTCAGGAGCTCAGAGCCTCTCAGTGTGTGTGTCACACCTGCTCACGTGCCGTTGGCTGAAGCAAGTGACATGGCTGGGCCCAAACGGAAGGAGTGGGGAGCAGATCCTCTCCGTAGAAGGAACAAAGTCAGATGCCAAGGGGCACGGGCGCAGAGATAGGAGGACGGTGCACCACCCTGCAGTCCGCACTGAGCCCTGCCAGCACCACATTCATGGGCTGCTGCACCCATTCCCTAACCGTGGTGAGTGCGGGCTGTTGACAGCACGCCCGCCTCCTTTTCAGAGCACGGCCTTGGCTGACAGGAGCCACACATCCTGGCTGTGCTCTTCCTCACTGCCTGGGAGTCACAGCCGATGGCTGGCCGGGCCCCCTTTCTTCAAGGCGGGGCAAAGCAGTGGTGTGGGCTGTGGTCCAGAGAGCACCTGACTTGAGCCTACACCCTTGCTCGGCTCTTTCCCCTTCCCCGTGCCGCTGTCTTCCCTCCCTCCCAGGCGTTTATTGAAGAGCCTTCCCTCAATAAGCCACGCGCCCTGAATCCCTGCTCCAGCTCCACTTCCCGGGACCTCCAGGGCCAAGGCGGTGCTTTCCAAGGGTGGTCCATGGTGTTTCCTGCCCAGCACGCTTTTCGACACTGCGGTCTGACGCTCCTTCTGAGATAGGGGAGGTCTGTGTCCCCTCCCCTTGAGTCTGGGCAGGCAGGTGACTTGCTTGTAGCCAGTGGGGTATGGCAGAAGTGACACTATGTGACGTCCGATGGTGGTCGTCAGTGTGGCACAGGAACACCTGCTCTCAAAGCTGCCAGACTGCCTGCCTGCTGCGAGGAGGCCGGGGGCACCCCTGTGGGCACACGCCTGGCCAGCCCCACACTAGTCAACTCCAGCCGTTGTCCGAAGGCAACTGCAGGACAGACTCCAGCTAAACCTTGCCCGAGTTCCTGACCCCCAGAAATCTGGAGAAAATAAAAAAAAGATCGTTGTTATTTAAGCCACTAGGTTTTGTTTGTTTGTTTTGTGTTTGTTTTTTTTTTTTTTTGAGACGGGGTTTCGCTCTTGTTGCCCAGGCTGGAGTGCAATGGCACGATCTTGGCTCACTGCAACCGCCACCTCCCCGGTTCAAGTGATTCTCCTGCCTCAGCCTCCCGAGTAGCTGGGATTACAGGCATGTGCCACCATGCCCGGCTAATTTTGTATTTTTAGTAGAGATGGGGTTTCTCCATGTTGGTCAGGCTGGTTTCAAACTCCCGACCTCAGGTGATCCACCCGCCTCGGCCTCCCAAAGTGCTGGGATTACAGGCGTGAGCCACCGCTCCTGGCTGAATGGTCTTTTTTCTCTGTTGGAAACCCTGGAAGCCTGCCCATTTCCAGAGGGCCTGAGGTGTCTCTGGGTCTCCTCTCAGACTTCTGCATCTCCAACCTGCTGGAGCAGGCCCACACCCTGGGCTGTGTGTCTCTGAAAGAGGAGCTGGAGTTTCAAGGACTAGGAGAGTGGGGAGGGGCCAGGAAACACGTGGCCCTGCAGTCAGAGCTCTCAGGAGTTGGGATTCTGTGTAGAGATGTTGGTGTTTATTCCCAGCCCTCAGGGGCTGCCCACTCTTCAGTCTTTGGGGGGAGGCTGAGGATGGTGAGCAGGTTGGGGGAGGAAGGGGGAAGCATGAGCAGGGTCGGGGACTGGTGGGGAAGGAATAGAGTGGTAGGGAATGGCAGGCATGGGGGGAATTGCAAGGGGGTTGTAGGGAGAATAAGGGAGGATGGTGGGGGAACTGGTTGGGGGAATGGGGGTAGAATAGGAGGATGGGGAGGGATGGGGGAAATGCTGGGGGGGAATGGTGGCAGGTATAAGGGGATGGGAGGGGTGGGTAGAGTCAGGGAATGGCTTGGAGGAAATTCCAGCACTTTTGAAATTTTCCCAACTTCAATGCATCTAAATGATGCTACTGGATTTTGCCTCGTTATGAAAAGCATTAGAAGTTGTATGTTTAGGGCCAGGCGCGGTGGCTCATGCCTGTAATCCCAGCACTTTGGGAGGCCGAGGTGGGCGTATTACAATGTCAGGAGATCAAGACCATCCTGGCTAACACAGTGAAACCCCGTCTCTACTAAAAATAAAAAAATTAGCCGGGTGTGGTGGCGGGCGCCTGTAGTCCCAGCTACTCGGGAGGCTGAGGCAGGAGAATGGTGTGAACCCGGGAGGCAGAGCTTGCAGTGAGCCGAGATTGTGCCACGGCACTCCAGCCTGGGCGACAGAGCGAGACTCTGTCTCAAAAAAAAAAAAAAAAAAAAAAAAAAAAAAGTTGTATGTTTAGGCTGATTTTTTATTATTATTATTATTCCTGACCAAATGTCAGAAATTCTATTGCATTTTTAGGGTTTCAGGTCCTTTGACTACCCACTGGCAGCTGGACACCCATTCAAGGGCAAAAAACCCCACAACCCACAGTTCTGAAAACAACGTCAGCGAATTCATGGCTGCCCCTCTTCAGAGTCCACGCAGAGGGTTATGAAGCCTGGGTGCAGTGAAGTTAAAGAGGTGGGGAGGAAAGGGGGCCACCGGCTCACATGTGTGGGGTTCACAGGAGGGCAGTGGCAATGACAGACCCCCAGCCCGGCTGGGCAACTTTGCAGGGTTTACAGTTTAACAGGCTCAGAAAAGACCCCGTTCTTCAACTGTACAGTGGACGGAGTGAACGAACGAATTTTTTTTTTTTTTGAGACGGAGTCTCGCTCTGTCGCCCAGGCTGGAGTGCGGTGGCGCCATCTCGGCTCACTGCAAGCTCCGCCTCCCGGGTTCACGCCATTCTCCTGCCTCAGCCTCCCGAGTAGCTGGGACTACAGGCGCCCGCCACCATGCCCGGCTAATTTTTTGTATTTTTAGTGGAGATGGGGTTTCGCCGTGTTAGCCAGGATGGTCTCAATCTCCTGCCCTCGTGATCCGCCGGCCGTGGCCTCCCAAAGTGCTGGGATTACAGGCGTGAGCCACTGCGCCCGCCCACGAACGAATATTTCAAAGACACACAGCAGACGTTACTCTTGATGGGTCCCAGAGCAAGCTCGATTCTTACTCATCCTTAAGAATGGTGAAAAAAAAATGGAATGCAGGCTGTGGACAAACTGGAGAATTTTTCTTTAATCCTATCCTTTTTTTTTTTGTTAATTTTTTTTGAGACGGAGGCTCACTCTGTTGCCCAGGCTGGAGTGCAGTGGCATGATCTCAGCTCACTGCAAGCTCCGCCTCCCAGGTTCAAGCGATTCTCCTGCCTCAGCCTCCCAAGTAGCTGGGACTACGGGTGCCTGCCACCATGCCTGGCTAATTTTTGTAGGGACAGGGTTTCATCATGTTGGTCAGGCTGGTCTCAAACTCCTGACTTCAAGTGATCTGTCCTCCTCAGCCTTCCAAAGTGCTGGGATTACAGGCATGAGCCACCTTGCCCGGCCTCTTTAACCCTATCCTAACTTTTGTTTTCTTTTGGGAATCAGGAGATGTCACATTTACCCAAATGAGTGCTAGGAAGAGGCATCCAAGTTCCACTTCCTAATTACCCTGGGAACTTGAGACAGCACACGCGTATTCAAATCATTTCCCCAGGGAGGACCAAGGCAGGGGGAGGCCCGGGGATGAATGTCATCCTTTCTGGGGGTGACCTGGAAGTGGCTGCTCAGAGAACTTCTGTTCTGGGGTGTTGGCTGCACAGTTCCGGCATTTGTAGTTGCAGAATGAGGTGCCCTAGTAGAAGAGCAAAATCCCCAAACGAAAGTTAGAGCATCCGATTTTGGTTCCTTAACCATCTGCAGGGAAATTTTGTAGTTTGCCACATACTCAAAAAGAAACAGCAAGGGAGGAAAGGCGATTTCCCGTGACCAAGCCGTCAGGGACAGCCACTCCAGGCTTCCTCCTGAGTGCTCAAGGGCCCAACCTGGCAGGGCCTTACCCTCCTCCAGCAGCTTCCTGGGGTGGCCTCACGCGAGCCTGGTGACTGACTCTTAAACAGACTGGTGCCTACATGATACCCCAAAAGAGGGGATGTGTGTCACCCCAGAGGCATAGGAATGAGCCCAAGACACCTGGGCCGGGGGCCACAGGGTCGGCAGAGAGCCCAGGTGGATGCTCACTCCAGTTCTTGGTCCCTTTAATCATGGCCTAAGGCTCCCTATGCTTCTGGAAGGAGACCTTAGCTTCCGGAAGGATAGCTGGTGTTCAGCAAACTCTTGTTAAACTGATGAAGCAGGGTTATTTCCATAGCTTGCTAATTCCAAAGAGAGTAATTATTTACTTAAAGAAGCTCTTAGGCCGGGCGCGGTGGCTCACGCCTGTAATCCCAGCACTTTGGGAGGCCGAGGAGGGCGTATCATAAGGTCAGGAGATCGAGACCATCCTGGCTAACACAGTGAAACCCCGTCTCTACTAAAAATAAGAAAATTAGCCGGGTGTGGTGGTGGGCGCTTGTATTCCCAGCTACTCGGGAGACTGAGGCAGGAGAACAGCGTGAACCCAGGAGGCAGAGCTTGCAGTGAGCCGAGATAGCGCCACTGCATTCCAGCCTGGGCGACAGAGCGAGACTCCAACTCAAAAAAAAAAAAAAGCAGCTCTTAGACTGTCATTTCAATGGTGAATGCCCCCTGTGACATGAGTTGATTTGGGTACCTTTAGAAAATAGTGGAGGAAGCTGGGTGCAGTGGCTCCCGCCTGTAATCCTAGCACTCTGGGAGGCCGAGGTGGGCAGATTGGTTAAGCCCAGAAGTTCGAGACCAGCCTGGGCAACATGGTAAAACCCCATCTCTACAAAAAAAATACAAAAATTAGCCAGGTGTGGTGGCACACGGCCACCTGTAGTCTCAGCTACTCGATAGGCTGAGATGGGAGGATCGGCTGAGCTTAGGAGGTCGAGGCTGCAGTGGGTCACGATCGTGCCACTATACTCCAGTCTGAGTGACGATGAGGCCCCATCAAAAAAAAAAAAAAAAAAAAAAAAAAAAAGAGGCCGGGCGCGGTGGCTCATTCCTGTAATCCCAGCACTTTGGGAGGCCAAGGCGGGTGATCACGAGGTCAGGAGTTCAAGACCAGCCTGGCCAAGATGGTGAATCCCTGTCTTTACTAAAAATACAAAAAATTAGCCGGGCATGGTGGCAGGCGCCTGTAATCCCAGCTACTCAGGAGGCTGAGGCAAAGAATTGCTTGAACCTGGGAGGCAGAGGTTGCAGTGAGCCAAGATTGCGCCACTGCACTCCCGCCTTGGCGACAGAGTGAGACTCTGTCAAGGAAAGAAAGAAAGAAGAAAGGAAGGAAGGAAGGAAGGAAGAAAGAAAGAGAAAGGAAGGGAAGGGAAAAGAAAGAAAAGAAAAGAAAAAAAAAAAGAGGGAAATTGAAAGTTGGTAGTTATGGAAAATCACCTACATTGCAATCATGCACGGGATTTAACGTCTTAAAACAACTAATTTACCACAGAGGTGCAATGAGACCCCGAATTTGTGAATCCACTGATTTTTTAAATTCTTGCTACCCAAGACAGAGAACACAGGGGATCTCTGTGTTATGGGGCTCATCAGACCCCTTTATTTAGCCTTCAGATGGGAAGCCCCACCCCACCCTGCCCTGGAAGAGCCGCCTTCTTGGGGAGTTGCTTTCATGGACCCAGCTCCAGGGAAGATGGGTGGCCTGGATTCCTTCATTGCTACTCACCCAACTCAGCCCTCCAGGACCTCTCAAGGCCTTACGGCACCCCCGAGTTTGGAAATTCTACTTGTAATTGGGTTTATTAATTAGAGTTCATGCTTCAGGTGAATAAGACACAAATACAATTGGGCTGCCCCACACATAACCTGGGTAAGAAGAACAAAGTCAGAGTTGGTCATTGAAACAACTCCCAGAGACAAACAGCAGCAGGGGTTGAGAGTGGATTCTTTTTTGGGGTAGGGGCAGGGGACAGGGTCTTGCTCTGTCACCCAGGCTGGAATTCAGTGGTGCAGTCATGCTCACTACAGCTTCAATCTCCCAGGCTCAAGCGATCCTCCCACCTCGGCCTCCTGAGTAGCTGAGATCACAGGCACACGTCACCATGGCTGGCTAATTTTTAAATTTTTTATAGAGATGGGGTCTCATTATGTTGTCCAAGCTGGTCTCAAACTCTTGGGCTCAAGTGATCCTCCTGCTTTGGCCTCCCAAATTGCTGGAGTTACAGGCAAAAGCCGCCGCTCCTACACAAACACATACACACACACACACACACATTTTATATATATATAATGTATATATATAGAGAGAGCGCCAGGTTTTTGATTGGCCTGGACTGGGTGGAGGTCTGGCCTTGAGTTTCTTTCATGTTCACACTTGGTGAGGCCAGGGGGTGGCCAAAGACCCTCAGTCTTTTTCTTTTTCTTTTCTTAATTTTGTTTTTGAGACAGGGTCTCAGTCTGTCACCCAGGCTGGAGTGCAGTGGTGCAGCCTTGGCTCACTGTAGCTATGACCATCTGGGCTCAAGTGATCCTCCCACCTTGGCTTCCCAAGTAGCTGGGACTACAGGCAGACACCACCATGTCCAGCTATTTATTTATTTTTGATATTTTGTAAAGACAGTCTCATTATATTGCCCAGGCTAATCTCGAACTCTTGGACTCAAGCGCTCCTCCTGCCTCAGCTTCCCAAAGTGCTGGGATTATAGGCATGAGCCATGGCCCTTGGCCAGACTCCAATTTTCAGCCCCGCAAATGCACTTCAAATTCACATATTAAATAAAGGAATCTTGCTTATTATGGCAATGAGAATTCAAGACAGGTTCCTCCAACTCTTCCAGACAGATGGCCCTACCATAAGCTTCTCCAGTGTGGACATGCCAGAGCCAGCCTCAGCTCTGAGCCCAGCCCCGGGCCACAGTCCTGTGTGGGCAGTTACTTATTATGAAGCATGACACAGTGAAACTGGAGGCGTATGGATGGGACAGATGAGACTTGGGGTGGATGGCCCACTTACTCATTCACTCATTCATTCATTCACTTAGTTGAATGTTCTGAGGGCTGCCCAGGGCTTCCTACCATGGAGAGTGAGCATGGTCTCCACCCTCTCCAGGCTGTGGGCAGCCCTGGGGAGAGGGAACCAGCCAGGAGGACCAAAGCCTCTGGCAGAGAACTGGGTGGCGAGAGGAGGCCTGGCATTCTCTGCTCAGGACAGTTCAGGAGCGCAAGTGAGTTGACCCATGATCATTTTTATTGACTGATTGACTGCTTTAGAGACAGAGTCTCGCTCTGTCGCCCAGGCTGGAGTGTAGTGGTGCAATCTGGGCTCACTGCAACCTCTGCCTCCTGGGTCCAAGCGATTTTCCTGCCTCAGCCTCCCAAATAGCTGGGACTACAGGTGTGCGTCAACACGCCTGTTTAATGTTTGTATTTTTAGTAGACACTGGGTTTCACCATGTTGGCCAGGCTGGTCTCAAACTCCTGACCTCAAGTGATCCGCCCGCCTCGCCCTCCCAAAGTGCTGGGACTACAGGCGTGAGCCACCGTGCCTGGCCCCCAGTGTTATTTTAATTATGTGGGGGTAGATATCATTTTTACCCATGGCAACTGATCATGGAGCCCAGAGTTAAACCACCTTTCACATACTGAGGAAAGACGGGCTGATCCTTCCACAGTATTACAGTGACAGCTTCCAAAAGACCGCCCTGTGCCTTTCTTCTGGATTATCATGGCACCCCCCAGGACACGTTGGCCTCGTTGTCCTCACCAGCACTGGCTGTCTTCTCGAAGCTCCCTTGGGGTAGGGCAGGCTAACTTATTTCCGCTGTACAAAAGGGGAAACCCTGGGTCAGGAGGTACAGAAGTGCCTTCCTAAGAGCATATGGTTAGTCATGAGTTGAGTTCTGCTTTTTCGATTTCTGGTGGAGAATTCTCTTGCTCTAGTGATTCCTCATGGGTTCATTTTTCCTAGGGAGCTCATCACCATTATTTTTTGGGGGGCCTCTTGGCAAGAAGAGCTGGGGGCTTGTCCTCTGGTGTCCTCCATGCTCCAGGCACGAAGCCACTGTGCCAGGCCAGGGGCCCATTTGGGGGTGAATATCACGGGTTTATCATGAATTTGCCTGAAGTTCAACAGATATTTATTGGCTGGAAGAAAGTGGAGATTAACTAGAAGGTTACTTTTGATAGAATACAAGCTGTCAATCAAACTTTACAGTGGCCGCCCCCTCTCAGAGTAAAACCAAAGTCCTGTCAGGACCCAAAAAGCCATGGATGTCCGGCTCCCGACACCCCTACCCCACCCTGGTGTCTATCCTTCGCGCCTCTCTCCCCGCGCACAGGCTGCAGGCACACTGGCCTCGAGGAGTGCTCACCAATTTCAGGGCCTCTGGCCAGGCTGTTCCCTCCGCCTGGGCGCTCTCCCCACTGGTCCTGCGGGTCTGCCCCCTTCTCTCAGGTCTACATTCACAGGGTACCTCCTCCACTGCCCTCCCTGGCCTCTTGGAAATGCACTCTTTGTCCAGAATCACCCCTCTTGGCTCTGACTGGAAGGAAGAGGGGAGAAGGCACACAGATACCTGGGGAGGAGTGTTCTGGGCAGAGGGAACAGCAGGTGCCAGGGCTGTGAGGAGCGAATCAGCGTGGGTGCACTAAGACTTCCTGGAGGCCAGTGTGCTGGAGCAGGTGATCGAGGGGAAGCACAGGGCCTGAGGTGACCATCACGGTCCCCATGGCTCTTCCGGGGACTCCACCACTGCGAGCAGCTCAGCCAAAGCTGCCCTTTGGGAACAGCAGTGACGTGGCCAGAGCCACCTTGGCACACAGACCATGCTCCGTGAGTGCCACGTGCCGTTTTCTCTCCACTGGTTCCGAAGTGGAGTTTTTAAAAAAGGACTAGAGATGTTTCTATGGCATTTGGAATTGACATTGAACAAACCTAATATGTATCCATTTAAAAACTAGATCAGCACTTTGAGAGGCCGACGCAGGCGGATCACTGGGGTCAGGAGCTCGAGACCAGCCTGGCCAGCATGGTGAAACCCCGTCTCTATTAAAAATACAAAAATTAGCCAGGCGTGGTGGCAGGCATCTGTAATCCCAGCTACTTGGGAGGCTGAGGCAGGAGAATCACTTGAACCCAGGAGGTGGAGGCTGCAGTAAGCCAAGATCACACCACTGCACTCCAGCCTGGGTGACAGAGGGAGACTCCGTCTAAACAACAACAACATCAAGCCAGGCACAGTGGCTCACACCTGTAATTCTAGCACTTTGGGAGGCAGAGGCGGGCAGATCATTTGAAGCCAGGAGTTCGAGATCACCCTGACCACCATGGCAAAATCCCCCATCTCTACTAAAAAAAAAAAAAAATAGGTGTGGTGGCGCACATGGGAGGTGGAGGTTGCAGTGAGCCAAGATCGTGCCACTGCACTCCAGCCTGGGAAACAGAGTGAGACCCTGTCTCAAATAAACAAACCAGATCAATAGGCCCTGCCTATTGGGCACCCACCATCACTTCTGTGGCAGCCACCAGATGAAGGGCGATGCCCCATCGCCCCCTTGCTCTGCCTCAGGGGCGGAGGCACCTAATGGTTTCCAGTGTTTGGTGTTATTCCTCTTGAAGAGTCCCAGATGTGGGGTCACTGGGTTGAGAGGGATTCGCCTCTGTTTTGAGCACTCAGGACGCTTGTGTTATCAGTTGCTGTCCACAGCTGCGTGCCGATTTTCACTCCCCCAGCTCCCACTTGCTGGAACCGAGAGTCAACTGTGGTCTGTTCATGACACAAGATAATGTCCCATGGTGGTTCAAATTTGCCTGATGTTCAACAGATGTTTATTGGCTGGAAGAAAGTGAAGATCAAATATGAGGTAGTTTTGATAGAATACAAGCTGTCAATCAAACTTTACAGTGGGTGCCCCATCTCAGACTAAAGTCCTGTCAGGACCCAAAAGGCCATGGATGTCCGGCTCCCCATGCCCCTACCCCACCCTCGTGTCTATCCTTCACGCCTCTCTCCCTGCGCATGGGCTGCAGGCACATTGGCCTCGCGGAGTGCTCACCGACTACGGGGCCTCTGGCCGGGCCGTTCCCTCTGCCTGGGTGCTCTCCCCGCTGGTCCTGTGGGTCCGCCTCCTTCTCTCGGGTCTACATTCACAGGACACCTCCTCTGCCGCCTTCCCTGGCCTCTCCCTCCAAGCCTCCGCTCTCCCTCCCCTGCCACTACTTTCTCTGTAGCTCTCATAGATTCACGTGTGGTGATCTGTTCTATCTCCACCCACGAGAAAGTAAGCTCCGAAAGGCCAGGCATGCAGTTGGTTTTGTGCTGGTGGACAGCTGGGGGGTGGGGCATGCCCAGCAAGCAGCTCTGGACTGAATAAGCACGGGGAAGGTGGGAGGGGTCGCTTCCGTCCCGCAGCCTGTGACCCTGCAGACTTGTCCTCAGCCTCGGGGGATGAGGGAGGGTACCGCATCTGCCCCTGTTCATGGTGGGATGCATAGTGCAATGTTGACAAATTAGATAATTTCTGTACTTTTCAAACATTTTGTTTCATTAATCCAAGACTTAATTTGGACCCAATAATTTCCCCCCTCCTAATTTCCAGTGTGCAGGGAGGACCAGGGCTCACTTCCTTGGCTGTTGCCACATGCGACGAGTTGGGCCCTCCAAGGGCCCACCAACCACTGGCTTTGCTGGCTGAGTGGAGCAGGCTGCTGAGGGCTGGGGCTGAGTTGCTCGGGATTAGGTTGGGGTTGGGGGCCACAGAGGGGCCATTCTGAGCCTGCAGGTCGGGGACAGTGATGAGACAGAGCGGTGCGGCCTCTGAGTGGGATTTTAAGGAAGGCATGAGGTGTTCACAGTGGGCTTCGTGAGTTTTGCTTCATCCCGATCCTCTTCCCGGTCTCCCATGATGCCTTCAGCAGAAGATGCTTTTTCTTAGGAGTATGATGGAGTTGGATCTATTTTGAGAAGGCATTAAAGGTCGAGGTGGGCCAGGTGCGGTGGCTCACGCCTGTAATCCCAGCACTTTGGCAGGCCGAGGTGAGTGGATCACCTGAGGTGAGGAGTTTGAGACCAGCCTGACCAACATGGTGAATCCCCGTCTCTACTAAAAAAATACAAAAATTAGCCAGGCGTGGTGGCGGGCACCTGTAATCCCAGCTACTCAAGAGGCTGAGGCAGGAGAATGGCCTGAACCTGGGAGGCTGAGGTTGCAGTGAGCCGAGATCATGCCATTGCACTCCAGTCCGGGCAACAGAGCGAGACTCCGTCTCAAAAATAAAGGAAAGAAAGAAAGGAGGGAAGGAAAGGAAGGAAGGAAGGAAGGAAAGAAGGAAGGAAGGAAGGAAGGTCGGTCGAGATGGGCGTGAGGCTCCAGGCAAAGCTGCCTGTAGGATGCCAGCCACGTCCAAGATTCATGTTCTCCCAAAAGATTTCGGGAAAATGCCAGAGATGTGTGTGTGTGTGCGTGTGCGTGCATACAAATCCCAGAATGGGTTCCCTAAAATGAGGATGGCTGGGGGCAGTGGCTCACGCCTGTAATCCCAGCACTTTGGGAGGCTGAGAAATGAGGATCATTTGAGCCCAAGAATTCCAGACCAGCCTGGGCAATGTAGAGGGACCGTCTCTACAAAAAAAAAAAGTAGTTGGGCATATGGTGACACACATGGTGACACACACTTGTGTTTTCAGCTATTCAGGAGGGTGAAGAGGGAGGACTGCCTGAGCCTGGGAGGTCAAGTCTACAGTGAGCTATGATTGCACCACTGCACTCCAACCTGAGTGACAGAGTGAGACCCTGTCCCAGAAAAAAAAAAAAAGGGTATCTTCATCTCCCCGAGTGGTCCACGGAGAAAATCAGAGCTGGTTTTCTTCTAATTGATTGTTATTATTATTATTTTTGAGACAGAGTCTGGCTCTGTCACCCAGGCTGGAGTGTGGTGGCACAATCTTGGCCCACTGCAACCTCCGCCTCCCATGTTCAAGCGATTCTCCTGCCGCAGCCTCCCAAGTAGCTGGGATTACAGGCGCGGGCCACCACGCCCAGCTCATTTTTTGTATTTTTAGTAGAGACGAGGTTTCACCATGTTAGTCAGGCTGGTTTTGAACTCCTGACCTCAAGTGAACTGCCCGCCTGGGCCTCGCAAAGTGCTAGGATTACAGGCATGAGCTACAGTGCCCGGCCTCTGATTAATTATTTTTATTTTGATTTTTTTGTAGAGACGAGATCTCATCGTGTTGCCCAGGCTGGTCTCAAACTCCTGGCCTCAAGCGATCCTCCTGCCTCAGCCTCCCAAAGTGCAGGGATTACAGGTGTGAGCCAGCTAGCCCGCTAGAACTGTTTTTCTGTGGCCGGGGACCCCAGCCTCTCACCTTCCCTGTCATCACTGCCCTCTCCTCCCCTCTCGAATATCCCGCGTGAGGGGTTTGCACACCCACGCCCATCTCGACCTTCCTTCCTTCTTTCCTTCCTTCCCTCCTTTCCTTCCTTCCCTCCTTTCTTTCTTTCCTTTATTTTTGAGACGGAGTCTCACTCTGTTGCCCAGGCTGGAGTGCAATGGCGTGATCTCGGCTCACTACAACCTCAGCCTCCCAGGTTCAGGCCATTCTCCTGCCTCAGCCTCTTGAGTAGCTGGGATTACAGGTGCCCGCCACCATGCCTGGCTTGCTCTGCCTCCCCACCCCCATTTCCTCTGCATTTGTTTACAAGCATCCCTGGCCCGAGAAGGGCACCAGCAGCTTGCTTCTTTGCTGGCGACCTCTGCTGTCAGCCAGGGTCTACTTCAAGGACAGGATGGGCTTCCCAGCCCAGCTGCCCCACTGTGCACTCACGACAGAGCGGGGTGCTTTGGCGCCACGACCACCCCAGCTCCCTGAACCCCCTTCGACATCTTCAGCAGCTCTTTCAGTCTAAAATGGTGTTTTCAAACTTCAGGTCATGAATCAAAAGTAAGCTTAAAGGGTAATGGCCACCATTAAAAAATAAACAGAACGGAAAATATCGGAGTGCGCCGCAGGTTTGAGATGATCTGTTGTTACGTGTGTGTACACACACAGGTTATGAACAACTGGGTTACCATGTAAAATGTATTCAAAGGTTCAGAAGCCACTTGTTGGAACAATTAGTAAAACTGTGATTCTGCCGTGCATCAGGGTCCGCCCCCCGAGGCTGGGCACCATGGCTCACACCTGTAATCCCAGCACTTTGGGAGGTTGAGGTGGGCGGATCACCTGAGGTGAGGAGTTCAAGACCAGCCTGGCTAACATGGTGAAACCCTGTTTCTTTTTTTTTTTTTTTTTGAGAGGGAGTCTCGCTCTTTCACCCAGGCCGGACTCTTTTGCCCAGGCTGGACTGCAGTGGCGCTATCTCTATCTCTGCTCACTGCAAGCTCCGCCTCCCGGGTTCAGGCCATTCTCCTCCCTCAGCCTCCCGAGTAGCTAGGACCACAGGCGCCCGCCACCGCACCTGGCTAATTTTTTGTATTTTTAGAAGAGACGGGGTTTCACTGTGTTAGCCAGGATGGTCTCGATCTCCTGACCTCGTGATTCGCCCGCCTCGGCCTCCCAAAGTGCTGGGATGACAGGCGTGAGCCACCGCGCCTGGCTGTGAAACCCCGTTTCTACTAAAAATACAAAAAATTAGCCAGGCATGGTGGTGTGTGCCTGTAATTCCAGCTACTCAGGAGGCTGAAGCAGGAGAATGGCTTGAACCTGGGAGGTGCAGGTTGCAGTGAGCTGAGATCGCGCCATTGCATGCCAGCTTGGACAACAAGAGTGAAACTCCGTCTCAAAATAAAATAAAACAAAACAAATCAAAACCAAGGTCCCCACCCCCCACCCCCAGGCCACGTGTAGCATGTTTGAGTGAGAGAAGTTGCCAGCACCCTTCAGCCCAAGTTGACCCACAGGGGCCAGTGGTTTTTGTGTGGGAAGGCGCCACCTGAGGCACAGACCATCACATTCAGGGAGAGTTATAAGAAAACCCCTTTCCTAGCCCCAAAGCCCCTGGCACTCTGCCACGAATACCTTTTCCTTCTCACTGAAAGACAAACAGGATGGCCTTCTGAGCTGTTGCATGTCTGTGAGTCACTTGAGTATCTGCATGCACTTCTCCAAAAATGCAGCAAGCAGAACATGTAATGCTACATCAACTCCTGTGAGAAATGCGTCCAAAGATGGTGTCGGTTTGTTGTTGGACGTTGCCATAGGGAACAGAGATCTGCCTTTGAAGTACAGCGAGGAGAGAGCTCTCCTTCCTGCCCATCACTGCTGCCCTGTGGCTCTAACTGCAGGGGCGAGAACACCCGCCACCAACCCCCAAAGCAGTTGCCCTGCTTGGGGCAAACTTCTTTGTCCTGTCCCCCTTCAATTCCCCACAGCAGAGGATCTTCAGAACTGCTCAATTGGAGAAGAAAAAGGAGGAGGAGGGGAGGGAGAGAAAGGGAGGGAATAGGTCTCACCAGCAGAGGGCTCAGCCTGGTTGTGCCTGACTTCATTCTCAATGTTGCTTTCTAATGCTAGGCTGGAGCATGAAAAGAGCCGCAGAAAACCCTCTCATGGGTCTTTGGACCTTCTGCCTTGCTTCTTCTTTTCTTTTCTTTAATTATTTATTTATTTTTATTTTTTTGAGACAGGGTCTCGCTCTGTTGCCCAGACTGGAGTCCAGTGGTGCCATCATGGCTCACAGCAGCTTCAACCTCATGGACTCAAGCGATCCTCCCGCCTCAGCCTCCCAAAGTGCTGGGACCACAGGCATAAGCCACCATCCTACTTTTTTTTTTTTTTTCCAGACAGAGTCTCACTCTGTCGCCCAGATAGGAGTACAATGGCACAATCTCAGCTCACTGTAACCTCCGCCTCCTGGGTTCAAGTGATTCTCTTGCCTCAACCTCCTGGGTAGCTGGGATTACAGGCACACTCCACCACGCCCGGCTGATTTTTGTGTTTTTAGTAGAGACGTGGTTTCACCATGTTGGCCAGGCTGGTCTCGAACTCCTGACCTCAGGTGACTTGCCTGCCCGCGGCCTCCCAAAGTGCTGCAATTACAGGTGTGAGCCACCATGCCCGGTCCATGTCCTGCTTCTTTTAAAACAACCAAAAATAGTCCAGCCTAGGAAAGGGAGTCTTTCCTGATTTTGGCAAAGTTAAACCAGGCCATAGGTAACACACAGCATAAGGCAGGCGTTGGGAGTGGGCCCCAGTCGACAGGGTGCCAGGACTGTGGGCTAAGCAGGGCTGGGGACATGGGAGGCCTCAGTGCCTGGGCTATGGGAAGTGGTTGGGACCCTGAGCCTGAGGTCAGTAACATCCCAACTCCTGACAGGCAAGAAAGGGCACCTGAGGCTCCCAAGGGGAGTCCACCATGGGGGTGGGGGAGACCGCTGGAGTCCATAGGTCCCTGTGAGGGACGGCGAAGGCGGGCCTGTCACCTCTAAAAGAGCTGTGCCTGTGGCGCAGACGGGGGTGCCACTGTGGCCTGGTGAGTGTGGCTGTAGAACAAGCATCTGTTGGGCTAATGGAGCCAGAGACATGGTCCAATGTCTCTGATGTCCAGATAGACTTCCAGCAGCCAGGTCGGACTATCTGGGGTTCTGGAACGTTCCATGGGTGAAGCTGTAGGAGGAGATGCTGGACTTCCTGCCTCCACTCACATGAGTCACTGGAGCAATACAAGAAGGCAGACTGGCCTTGGCTACTCACACTGGTCTCAGCTCTGGGGTAGGGCTCTTTATAAGCCTTCTTGAGAAGTGAAAAATGCAAAGTCCTTTCTGTCCCCTCACCACTGACTTGCAAACTCCAGCGAAGGCCTCACCCCTCAGCTGGCCCAGAGCCTCCCAGAAGCCCTCCCTTCGCTTCCCACCTCGCCAGGCCCAGCCAGGCTGGGTGCTGCCTTGGTGGGCCTAGGTGAATCACTGACACACCACTGATGCCTTTGGGGCAGAAGGCAGAGGCCTCGGGAGAAATGCGCAGGCCCCAGCGGCCTGGTGGAGGGTGCAGGGGGCGCAGGGGCAGCCAGGACCGCCGAGGACGCTGGGGGCACGTGGCAAACTGGCTACCCTGTCCACCCGTGAGCAAGACACCACTCCGGGGGCGTGGGAGGGTCCAAGGGAGGGAGAAAGGAAAGTGCCACCAAACTAATGTGGAGCCCTGCCCTCTGCATGCGAAAAGGGGCTCCACGGCCTGAGTCACCCTCAGCCCCACCTGCGTGTGCGCGAGGGTGCGTGGCCTGGTACGCGTGCGCACGGTGTTGGTGAGCGTGTGTGTGCGTGTCCGCTTGAGGGGAATGTGACCGTCGTGTATGCGTCCGCGACAGTGCGGGGGGCCGCATATCGGACCCGTGCGTGTGCGTAGGGGTCGCGTGTGGCCATGGGCACACGGGCGTGCACGCACGGGGGCTGCGTATGCTATGCTGGCGTGGGGGGTGCGGGCGAGGTGGCCGCGGGGAGGAGCGGCGCCAGCACCTCTCGGCCCCCACGCGGCCTGCGTGGCTTTTTGACCCGGAAAGGCGGGGACGCGGGGACGCGCGGCGGCGGGGGCGCGGCGGGGGCGGCGCAGAGCGAGGAGGCCCGCGGGGCGCGCGGCGGGGACGGGAGGGAGGCGGGGGGCGCCCGGGGCCGTCCCCGCCCCGCGCCGCGGCGCCGCCGTTGCTAAGGCCGGGCGGGCGGCCGCCGGGCGCTAGGGCCCTTAGCAACGGGTCGCGGGCGCGCGCGGGGGGCCGGCGGGCGCGTGGGGCCGGCGGCGCTCGCGGGCTCCTGCCGCTCCCACGCGCGCGGGCGGCGGGGGCGGGGCGGCGGGCGCGCCGGGGATTTCCAGCGCGCGAGAGGAAGTGCCTGCGCGGGGCTGCGTGAGGGAGCGAGGGAGCGAGGGAGCGCGGCGCGGCCGCCGCGTGCGCGAGCCGGGGTTGCAGCCCAGCCGGGACTTTCCAGCCGGCGGCAGCCGCGGCGGCCGCCGGCTCTTCCCCGCCCCCCGCCATGGGGCAGCCCGGGGAGCAGAACGCTGCGGACCGCGGCGGAGGACGCGCCCGGCGCCCCTGAGCCGGCCGAGCGGCGACGGACCGCGAGGTAAGGGGCCGCGGCGGGCGGGCGGGCCTCCGGCGCGCGGCCGGGCGCCTCCATCCCCGTCGCCTCCATCCCGCGCCCTGGGCGGCGGGGCCCGGGGGCCTCGGGGCTGCCCGGCGCGGGCCCGGCGCGGCGCAGGCCCGGCCCGTCCCAGCGGCGACGGCGGGGCGCGGCTTCAGCCTGGCCCCGCGCCCCAGCCGGGCTGCCTCCCGCCTCCGGACGCCTCAACTTCGGCAAACTTTGTCCCGGAGGCCGGGCTCGGGGCCCGAGGGGGCCGGGGCGCCCGCACCTTTTCAGGAAACGGGGCGCGCAGGCCTCGCTACGGCCGTGACCCCCGCTGGCGTTGAGGACCCGGCACCCCGCGGGGCCGCGGGTTTCACGCGGGGGGACGGGCGGCTCAGGGGCTGCGTGGCCGAGCGCGCTGCCCGGGCCGGCCGGGGGGGCCCGGGCGTTATTGGAAAGTTGGTCCTGAGTCATTCCGCCTCAGAGGCGCCTCCGACCGCTTGGCGGGCGGCGCGGGGGTCCGGGTATGGGCAGAGGGCGCGAATCCCCCTCGCGCGGCCGCCGAGGGCCGGCGACTCCCGGGGCACCGGGCGGCTCCTGGCCGCGGGCTCTGCGTCTTCCCCGCGGGCGCCAGGCGGCTCTCGGCGGGCTGGCCGGTTCCACGCCGCCAGCCAGCCCCGTGTGGGGACTTCGGTCTAGTATTTGGACCCGAGGAGATAATTCTGTGTGGAAAATTCTCTCCCTTCGGTTGGAAACAGTAACAAACTGGAAACGGATGAGGTGTTATGGACGTGCTTGGAAATGCAAGAAACCTTCAGATTACGAGCTGTTGACGGGACCAGTTGTATTTCACGTTTTTCGAATTAAGCTCAGAATCAGTTTTCAGAATGACATGTGATGCGTGGTGCGTGGTGTGTGTGCCTGTGTGTGTGTATGGATATAATTCATTCATTTTTGTGGCGTCAGAAAGGTTATGTCGAGCGTTGTAGCGGCTTCTTAATTTACATTCACGGCATACAACTGAAGAGGAGCCATTATTTATTTTTTTTCCTAGCATTTGCTGCGACTACACACTGCCGGAGCGTTTGGAAATGTTGTTTGCTGTTACCCTGTATTTGTCTATAAAATTCTTACTGTAGGGAATGGCCAAGTGGACCATCAGTTCGTCCTGAGATCTTCTCATGTCTCTCACGTCTTTGAAAATGGCCTGTGAACAGACTGCATCATATGTAGGATGTCTGGCAAAATAGTGTACAGCGTTCTTTTCTCAAATGAGAGGAAATGTGTACCTTTTCGCCGCGTTGTGACAATGTAAATGTTAAGAATTAGTCTAAAGATGAAAATTCTTTGGCCAAAACAAGATAAGCCTTATCGATATGAAAACTGGAAAACATCACATGGGACTGGAAATCCTGTGAGTGGGTGCTCATGACGGAAACCCTGACAGACCTTGGATTCCAGCATCGCTGGTGAAAATCAGACCTTATCATGGATAAGGGTTAAGATGTAAGGTGTCTCACCCAGACGCCATCTGTTCCAGCTGTCAATGCAGAAGCCAGGAAAGGAGAGAGAGCTGGCCAGGGAGAATTCCAGCTTTTTTTTTTTTTTTTTTTTTTTTTTTTTGAGACATTCATGTGAATTTCTCTGCGAGGGGAAAGAAGACCAATTATTTTCCTTGGATGCTGTCCCTTCTTTTGGAATTAATAAGATGGCTTCACTCAGTGAGAGGCTGTAAAGACATTTCACTGGAAACAGGCAGTAACAGTGGCCAGTTGTTTCTGTTAATACCATCAAAATATCCCTACTCTTGTTTGTGCCTTGAAGAAAGTCCTTCATTTAACTGAGACATCTGAGCCTGCGTTGCGGATTCTGATTCTCTAAATACTCCTGCAAGAATCCCTTTAATTTTTCACTGTGCAACTCAAGAAGGACCTTTCTAGGGTATTGTCAGGATACGTATGCTAATGATATTGTCAGGTTAGGTGAGAATGATTGATCACTCCCTTAAAATCCTTTTTTATGATGTTAAAGCTGTACTTTAAGAAAGATAAAACTGCCACTGTGGCGTTGCAAGTCTGAGCTAGCTCAAGCAAACAAAGGAAATTGCGTTAAATTTGCCCAACTCTATTTTCTCATCTTCATATAGCAAGACTCTCCAAACAGCAAGTGATCTAACCTATCAAGTATTATGCAATAGCTGAATTTCCTTGCAATGGTCAGTTTAAAGAACTGTTAACTTAGCAGAGGCGACGTCTCGTGGCCAAGGCCCTTAGGGTCCACTCCATGGAATCAGGACCCCTTGCTGCTGCTTTGCGAGTGTTCATGGAGGAAGAAAAATCACTTGGTGTTCTTTTTTTGCATGGAAGAGTCATAATAACTGACTTCAGATACAGAGAAAGTGGGAAGAGTGAGAAAGAAGGAGGTGAGGCCAGAGGATTTGGAAGGCTACCAGAGAGAAGCAGCCGAGGCCTGATTGTGGAAATGATGCTTAGACTTGCTTTCAGCAGGAGTGATGAAGCCAGAATGAGGGAGGCCCAGACGCCCGGGAGAGGTACAGGGGATAGGTGCCATGTGGTTTGCACCACCGCAGCAGGCTTTGGGTCCCAAAGACGCGAATGGAAATAGAAGAAAATGCAGTTTTAAATAGAAAAGAAAAAAAAAACCGAGAAAATGTTATGTGTGCTTGTGTAAAATTTATTATTCATAATTAAAATACAAAATGGCTTTCTCATTTGAGAAAGCCTTTATTGACTAAGTTCTGCACAACACTATTCCAGGAAAGGGGGTGGGGAGACAGACCACCCTAGGGAGAAGGCAGAGTTTTTTACTATTAAGCATAATACCTTTTTTTTTTTTCTTTCGGTGAAGCTTATTGTCGGCCTGTACAGATGACTTGGAGTAGGCTGGCAGGTAGTGGGATGTCATAAATGTTGATGCCTGTTGGTTTCTATCAACTTTAGGAATCAGGTTGGAATCGATGCTGCATTCTGTATTCCTCGAGATAAGTGGATTGTTAATTGGGACTTGGGAGTCTTTTTCTCATTTAATTAATATTCAGTTAATGTGCCCTGAGTTCTCATAATGTTCTGGTTACCGTGCTGGGAAGAGTGAGACACAGCACCCATCTGCTAGGGTGTGATTTGCAGGGATATAGGCCATCTTGGCCCCTGTGCACAGTGAAGGGACATGCCAGAAACCAGCAGATACTTGACTGAGACAGACCAGGACAGGAGCTTGTGGCAGGAAGGATAAGGAAAAATGCAAATCTACCATCCTGCCCTCAGGGTGCTAACCCTTCGGGGGAGAATACTTTCTCCCACCAGGAAGAAACCAGAAAGTAAAAATGTAGGATGAAATGAATTAGTGGATTGTGTAGAATTCTGGAAGCGTGGTGGGAATCCACCATAAGGGAAAGAGAAAGTCTTCTGGGAAGCGGCGTTGAGTTGAGGCCCAGTGTCAGGAAAGCTCTGGTATAGTGGGGCCATCTGGTCCCTCTTACAGGGCCCCCTCCCACTTTGTTTTGGTAAGATGGGATCTGACGGCTTGCCATCCTGTCACTCCTTGCCAGTAGATGCAGTGCTGGCCATGCTGCTGGTCATTGGGTTTCCAGTTGGGAAGTTGCATGTGCTGGCCTTTGGCTCTTGCCAGGCAGGGCCTTTTGTGACTGGGAGCTCATGTGGGTCATGCATACTGTACTGTGAAGGGCATGGTCTGTGGAGGGGAACAGAGCAGCAGGCCCTAACCTGGGTGGCACCACTTTGCTGTCCCTACCATTTTTCATTGCAGGTTGAAAGTCTCCAAAGTGGCAGGGGAAGGGGTGTAAATGTTAAACAGCCCCTTCCTAGCCTGGCATGCGCACCTGTGGTCCCAGTTACTCCAGAGGATGAAGTGGGAGGATCATTCTAGTCTGGGTAACACAGTGAGATCCCTGGCTCTAAAATAAATTTATTTATTTATTTTATTTTATTTGAAACAGGGGCTCACTCTGTTGCCCACGCTGGAGTGCAGTGGCCCGATCTCGGCTTGCTGCAACCTCCGCCTCCTGGGTTCAAATGAGTCTCCTACCTCAGCCTCCCGAGTAGCTGGGATTACAGGCGCCTGCCACCACGCTTGGCTATTTTTTTTTTTTTTTTTTGAGACAGAGTCTCACTCTGTCACCCAGACTGAAGTGCAGTGGCGCGATCTCAGCTCACTGCAACCTCCACCTCCTGGATTCAGGTGATTCTCCTGCCTCAGCCTCCTGAGTAGCTGGGGACCACAGGTGTGTGCCAACATACCTGGCTAATTTTTGTATTTTTAGTAGAGATGGGGTTTCACCATCTTGGCCAGGCTGGTCTCAAACTCCAGACGTCAAGTGATCCACCTGCCTCGGCCTCCCAAAGTGCTGGGATTACAGGTGTGAGCCACTGTGCCCAGCCTTCCCAGCTGATTTTTGTATTTTTTAGTAGAGACAGGGTTTCGCCATGTTGGCCAGACTGGTCTTGAACTCCTGACCTCAGGTGATCCACCTCAGCCTCCCAAAGTGCTGGGACTACAGGTGTGTAGTCCCACCACACTCGGCCTATTTGTTTTTTTTGAGATGGAGTCTTGCTCTGTTGCCCAGGCTGGAGTGCAGTGGTGCAATCTTGGCTCACTGCAGCCTCTGCCTCCTGGGCTCAAGCAATGCTCCTGCCTTAGCCTCCTAAGTAGCTGGGACTACAGGTGCTTGCCCCCATTCCCAGCTAATTTTGTATTTTTAGTAGAGAGCGGGTTTCACCCTGTTGGCCAAGCTGGTCTCAAACTCCTGACCTCAAGTGATCCACCCATCTCAGCCTCCCAAAGTGCTGGGATTACAGGCGTGAGCCACCGCACCCTGTCTTGGCTCTAAAATTTAAAAAAAGTCCTTTCCCCAACCTACTCCTCTGTCATCCATGTTTAAATGACCTAAGTCTCCTTAATTCTCAAGAACTGAAAAATTGGGGGCCCTACATTTCATTTCACAATTTACTTTTTTACTACGATTTGTTCCATGCTGATTTCGAGCATTAAAAAAAAAAAAAAATTAAATGGAGGCTATTTGGTGGTAACTTCTCATGAGGCCATTCTACCAAGAAAGATATGGCGACCTGCTGCTTGGACATTCTGATTTCCTTTCCAGCTGAAACACTGATTCTGTGGCAGAACCCAAAAGCGTATTTATTGGAAACTTGATTTCTTTAAGTGGAAAGAAAAGCTAAATTGATTAACCAAGTGGGGTAATATAATCTGTAAGGCAACAGTAGCATCAAAGTGGTGAAATGTGAATCTCCAGGAGTCATGAGAATTGTAATGAAGGTTTCCTGAGATTAATTTTGTGTTCTGGAAGGTTAATGCCCGTTAGGAGGCCTGCGTACACAAGGTAATGAGGTGCTCGTTAGGCCTTCCCTCCTTCCACCAAGGGCCAGGCACATGGTAAGCTCTGGGTCAGTGTTTGTGTCCAGATTCTGCAAGCCGGGGAGACAGGAGGGATGTGCCAGATGCCCACAGTGGTTCCATGTGTTTGGAATGTGTGTCGGCACTTGGGTGTGCCTTGTAGCTGCCTCCTTTAACGGTGTGTTCCTGGAGGTCAGGCTTCCATCCTCCCGTTCTGATAATGCTTAGCTCCAGGATTTGTTGCATTATGGGGGTTCTTTGATGGAAAGTTTTATTTGACAATGTAATTTTCTTGGATGCTTTTAATGACTTAAAAGCTGGAAGAACAGGAAAACTAGTTCTCTTGAGCTCTTTCATGTCCAGTAATTCCCAGAAATTATAACTTTATGCTGGAAATTAAACCTGCTATTTGAAACCTTATTACAGGGTGAATTAAGAGTTTAGGTTTCAGAGGCTTTTCTGTGTGACTTTCCCCTTAGTGGGAGGGGGTTTGGTATGCCCATTAAGTTTTATCTTAAAATTTAATGTGAATTTTACATTGTACTCAGTAACGTGGCTGATTGTTTTAATATAAACTTACTTCGTTCCCTAAATCTTTCAAAACTGTTGATTCTCCAAAAGATGTATTGTGTTTCTGGAATCCCACTGTGTATCCCTGGAGCTGTCCACCCCACAGCTGGAGAAGTGTGGCATGGTGGAGGGTACCAACTTTGAGGATCTGAATTCCAGTCTGCCCTCTGTATTTAGTGGTAGAATGACCTTGGGCAGGCTGCTTGGCCCCGCTGAATTGATGTCCCTATCTATAAAATGGGGCTACTAGCACCAGGGACATCACTTGCTTATTATGAGTAAGATGGATGGGAAAGCATTGTGCAAATGTTAATTTTCATAGTATTAGGGGATTGAGATGTAACAGAGTAAGAATGTTAAGATCTTACAATGTAAATATCAGATCTTGTTAGTTAGGGACCACAGAAGTTTTCTAGTTGAGGTCTCTTATTTTATGTGGGAGGCAGCTGAGGCTCTCAGTGTTTAGGTAAGTAATTCTCCCAAGGCAAATAATGACAAAGCAAGGGCTCTTCACGCAGGATAGGTTTTTCCCTGCATTTTTCCTGTTCCCAACGTTTGCTCCTGGGAAGATGCTTGGCCTTTTTTTTTTTTTTTTTTTTTTTTTTTGAGGTGGAGTTTTGCTCTTGCCCAGGCTGGAGTGCAGTGGCACGATCTCGACTCACTGCAACCTCCGCCCCCTGGGTTCAAGCTATTCTCCTGCCCCAGCCTCCTGAGTAGCTGGGATTACAGGCACCCGCCACCTCGCCTGGCTAATTTTTGTATTTTTAGTAGAAACAGGGTTTCACCACGTTGGCCAGGCTGGTCTTGAACTCCTGACTTCAGGTGATCTGCCCGCCTCGGCCTCCCAAAGTGCTGGGATTACAGGCGTGAGGTACTGGGCCCCTCTGATGCTTGGCTTCTGATTCCAGCTAGGGTCAATTGAGAATTATTGAATCACCCACACTTTCTTTGAGAACTTTCTAAGTGCTAGGGGCTATGCTCGTTGCTAAAGCTAAAAAGTCAGATAGGATGCCGTCTGATCTCTGTTTTCAAGGAGCTTCCATGTGATGAATGAGCCAGAAGAATAATTTCATTATGGCACCATGTAGTAGGTGCCACAACAGTGGAACAGAGGCTCTGGTGCATTGTGGAGGCGCTGTGCAGTTTCAACCTGGGTTAGGAGGAGGCGTTTCCCAAGGAGGTAACTCTTAGGGAAGCTAGCAGCAGGAGTGGGGAAGCCTGGGCTGGCAGGGAGTCGCCTGGCAGAGGGCCCGTGAGTCGGAAGGGGTTCTCCTGTGGCTGTCCTTCAGGGGAGAGGGTACAGGAAAAGGCACCCGGCCACTTCTGGGTGCTGCCTTTGTGACAGCCTAACTTCTGAGGCAGGAATTCTCCCCATTTTGCAGATGAGGAAAAGGAAGAGCAACAGGCCTGTTGGACCCCAGAGTTCATGGTTTCACCACAGCTGAATTACAGTGCAGTTTTAGATTTTCTTCAGATTCTAAACTTCTTAGTTTTGCTTTCAGAGTAGACTTAGTTTTGCTGCTGTAGAGTGCTTTTTAAACAAATTGTGTATTTTTCATGCAGCCTTTCCCTTCCATCCAACATCTGTTTTGCCTATATGGCTGATACTCTAGGCCGCACTCCGTTCCATCTCTGGCGTAAGTTCCTTTCTTACAGCAGCCTCCTCGGATTCACTCTCCTTTGACACATTTGGATGGGAGGTTCTTTACGCAGTGGCTCAGATGCTTCTTACAGCTTGCTGAGTAACAGTCCCTAACCTGATTTGCTAATGTGTTTTCTTTCTCCTTTCTCTCTTAATTTACATTTAAACTGGTAGTCTAGTAATAATGATAGTATTTAGTCATTGTGTCTTACAGGGTTTTACAAACATTAGCTTGTTAGTGATGAACAAGTCCCCAAGGCCTGGTCACTCTGCAGAGAGCATAATGGTTGCAGGCTAGTACCTATTCATCTTGAATTTAATTATAACTGCAGATTGCCTGTGGAAATATGAGTTAAAGGCATGGAAGCCCTTACCACTGTTAGCAGGGAAATGATGTTTGGCTATTTTGGAGAATACTTTAGCTCTTCTGTGAGAACCACTGTCAAGGTTTTGAACGTGCAACCAGGAGGGGTCAGTGGTGGCTGAGCAGAGATGTAGGGGCTTGTTTCATGGCCATTTGTACCTGCTCCAGGAAGGGCTGTGAATAACGGAATGCAGCCAGACACTGAGGCCACTAGGTCAGGTCCTTGGGATGACAGAGGGTAGATTTCTTTGTTCTTAGACCTAAGTTGGCCCTTGTTGGGTGGAGGTGGTGGCGTGAGAGCCTTCCCTGCCTTCTCCAGGTTGAAGGATATTTCTGTGCATCTGGGATAGGTCTCTAGGGTTGAGACGACAAGCTTCTCAAGGGTTGGCTCACTTCATTCTTTCTATTTCTGCAGTCTGGTCTATGATGTACACAGTAAAAAGGAGATCAGTTTATGTATGGAAGGAATTAGACCTGCTTTGAATTCTGGTCTGTCCTTCAGCTAACTATGCTGTTAAATTACTCTTCCTTTCTAAGCCTCAGTTTTCTCATCTATGCAAAGGTAACTGTAGAGTTCACAGTCACGTGGAAAAGCCTCTGAAACCTAAATTCTCCCTCTGGAGATGGATGGTGGTGATGGTCGCACAACATTATGAATGTATTTAATACCACTGGACTATACACTTAAAATGATTACAATGATAAATTTTATGTGTAATTTACCATAATAAAAAAGTAATTGTGAGACTTAAAAGTGAGCCTGGGCTGGGTGCGGAGGTTCATGCTTGTAATCCCAGCACATTGGGAAGCCGAGGTGGGTGGATCACCTGAGGTCATGAGTTCGAGACCAGCCTGAACAGCATAGTGAAAACCCATCTCACCTAAAAATACAAAATTAGCCGGGCGTGGTGGCACATGCCTGTAATTCCAGCTACTTGGGATGTTGAAGCAGGATAATTGCTTGAACCCGGGAGGCAGAGGTTGCAGTGAGCCAAGATCGTGCCATTGCACTCCACCCTGGGCAACAAGAGTAAAACTGTCTAAAAAAAAAACGAGCCTGTGCCAGGTGCAGTGGCTCATACCTATAGTCCCAGCACTTTGAGAGGATGAGGCGGGGGGATCGCTTGAATCCAGGAGTTCTCAACCAACCTGGGCAACATAGTGTTATAAGACCTTGTCTCTACAAAAAATTTAAAAATTAGCTGGGTCTGGTGGCGTGCTCCTGTAGTCCCATCTAACTACTCAGGAGGCTGATGCGGGAGGAGTGCTTGAGCCCAGGAGGTCGAGGCTACAGTGAGGTGTTACTGTGTCACCATACTTCCGCACTTTAGCCTGGGTGACTCAGTGAGATCCTGTCTCAAAACAAGAACAAGAAAAATCAGAGCATGTGAGAGAATATAAGAACCTAATATTTCAGAAGTGATCATTTCTCTTCCCCTTTCCTTTCCTGAGTGGTTTGATAAAGGGAATGACTTATTAGCAATGTGGATGACAGGCTGTCTTGGAAGTATGGCCTGTCCCTGGAAGAAATACCGGTGGGAGTAGAAGGACATTATTGGACTGCAAATAAATTATTTATAAAAAGGGTAAAATGTCTAGAAACTGAAATCACAGTATATTTGCACAAAAGGAACATCTATAGATATCTCCCTTTTTAAAAAGCAATTTTAACATATGAATTTTTATATATTTAAATTCGTATTTTAGCACTTTTTTTTCTGTTATTTAGCAATAATAATATTCTTCAATTTGGGCTGGGCGTGGTGGCTCACGCCTGTAATCCCAACACTTTGGGTGGCTGAGGTGGGCGAATCACTTGAGGTCAGGAGTTCGAGACCAGCCTGGCCAACATGGTAAAACCCCATCTCTACTAAACCAAAAAAAAAAAAAAAAAATTAGCTGGGTGTGGTGGCACATGCCTGTAGTCCCAGCAACCTGGGAGGCTGAGGCAGGAGAATCGCTTGAATTCGGGAGGTGGAGGTTGCAGTGAGCCGAGATGGCGCTACTGCACTGCAGCCTGGGTGACAGTGAGACTGTCTCAAACAACAACAAAAACAACAACAACACTTCGATTTATTCAGGCCTCTGTTCACATTTTACCTCTTCAAAGGGGTCTTCTGAACACCCTAATTAAACAGCCCATGCTGTTGCTGTGGTCACTTGCCTTGCTTTTTTTTTTTTTCCATAGCAGAAAATGGTTTTCCTTTCCTTTTTCTTTTTTTTTTTTTTGAGATGGAGTCTCCCAGTCACCCAGGCTGGAGTGCAGTGGTGTGATCTTGGCTCACTGCAACCTATGCGTCCCAGGTTCAAGCCATTCTCATGCCTCAGCCTCCCGAGTAGCTGGGATTACAGGTATGCACCACCCCACCTGGCTAATTTTTGTATTTTTTTAGTAGAGACAGGGTTTCACCATTGTTGACCAGGCTGGTCTCGAACTCCTGTGCTCAAGGGATCTGCCCGCCTCAGCCTCCCAAAGTGCTGGGATTACAGGTGTGAGCCCCCACACCCGGCCTGCAGAGAATGTATTTCTATTACCTTAACCTGTGTACTAGGAGTGTGCCTGGCATATGGTAGGTTCTCAAGTATTTGCATAAATGAACCAGTATATTATAGCCCAATGTTTTATTGAGGCAAAATTCACATAACATACAATTAAGCATTTTAAGTGTGCAGCTCAGCCGTATTTAGTGTATTCACAATGTTCTGCAACCACCAGCTCTCTCTAGTTTAAAAATCAGGCCAGGCATGGTAGCCCGCACCTGTAATTTCAGCATTTTGGGAGGCTGGGGTGGGAGGATCACTTGAGTCCAGTAGTTTGAGACCAGCCTGGGCAACAGAGGAAGACTCCATCTCAACAAAAATAAAGAATTAGCTTGGTTGGGTGTGGTGTCTCACGCCTGTAATCCCAGCACTTTGGGAGGCTGAGGCGGGCGGATCATGAGGTCAAGAGATCAAGACCATCCTGGCCAACATGGTGAAACCCCGTCTCTACTAAAAATAGAAAAATTAGCTGGGCGTGGTGGCGCATGCCTCTAGTCCCAGCTACTCAGGAGGCTGAGGCAGGAGAATCACTTGAGCCCAGGAGGCAAAAGTTGCAGTGAGCTGAGATCACGCCACTGCACTCCAGTCTGGGAGACAGAGCAAGACTCCATCTCAAAACAAAACAAAACAAAACAAAACTGGGCACAGTGGCTTGAGCCTGTATGTAGTCCCACCTACTCCAGAGGCTGAGGCAGGAGGATCGCTTGAGCCCAGGAATTCGAGGCTGCAGTGACCTATGATCACACCACTGCACTCCAGCCTGAAGGACAGATGGAGAACCTATCTCTTAAAAAAGAAAAACAACTTTTCATCCCCCTTTACCCATTAAGTAATCACTCCCATTCCCCAATCCTCCCATCCCTTGATAACCTCTAATCTGCTTTTGGTCTCTGTGGATTTGCCTATTTTAGATATAGCATCTAGGAATCATATAACTTGTTTTTTGTATCTGGCTGCTTTCACTTAGCATGATGTTTTTGAGGTACATCCAAATTGTAGCATGTGCCAGTATTTGTTCCTTTTTATTGCTGAATCATAATCCATTGTATGTACATACATGCCACAATCTGTCTATTCATTTGTTCATGGGCATTTGGATTATTTTCACTGACTATTAAGAATAATGCTGCTATAAACATTTGTGTACAAGTTTCTGTGTAGGTATGTTTTTATTTCACTTGGGTATATACCTAGGAGTGGAATTGCTGGTCATACGGTAATATCGTGTTTAACTTATTCCCACCAGCAGTGTTCCAATTTCAGGACATCTTTGCTAAATTTATTTTTTTTGTTTTGTTTCTTTTTCATGTCATATGGGTAATGTGCCGACGTCATAACAAGGTTTCAGAGTGGCACCTCTCACACCTTCATTTGAATACCCAATCACACTTATGAACTACAAAAGGATATATGTGTGTGTGTGTGTGTGTGTGTGTGTGTGGTATGTGTATATGTATGTATATATTTTTGTTTAAAGCTATTCTAGTTAAAGTGGTATCTCGTGGTTTGGGTTTGTATTTTCTTGATGAGCAAAGATATTGAATGTCTTTTCATGTGACTCTTGGCCATTTGTGTATTTTTGGAGGGAAGACAATGTTTGTTGAGTTCTTTATATATTCTGAATGTTAAACTTTTTTTTTTTCTTCTTTTTTTTGAGACCGAGTCTCCTTCTGTTGCCCAGGCTGGAGTGCAGTGGTGCAGTGGCATGATCTTGGCTCACTGCAATCTCCGCCTCCTGGGTTCCAGCAATTCTCATGCCTCAGTCTCCTGAGTAACTGGGACTACAGGCACACGCCACCATGCCTGGCTAATTTTTGTATTTTTAGTAGAGATGGGGTTTTGCCATGTTGCACAGGCTGGTCTAGAACCCCTGGCCTCAAGTGATCCACCCACCTCAGCCTCCCAAAGTGTTGGGATTATAGGTGTGAGCCACTGCACTCAGCCTCTTCTGAGTTTTATTGTTTTAGTTTTTACCTTTAGGTTTTTGATCCATTTCAGTTAATTCTTGTATATGGAATGAGATAGGAGTCCCAATTCATTCTTTGTATGTTCTTATTTAGTTTTCCCAGCACCATTTATTGAAAACACTATTCTTTCCCTATTGAATCGTCTTGGCACCCTTGTTAAAAATAAATTGGCCATAGATGTTTGCATTTATTTCTGGACTCTCAGTTCTATTCTGTTGCTCTGTAAGTCTGTTACATCAGTACCACACTATATTAGTCTGTTCTCATGCTGCTAATAAAGACATACCTGAGACAGGGTAATTTATAAAGAAAAAGAGGTTTAATGGACTCATTGTTTCACATGGCTGGGGAGGCCTCACAATCATGGTGAAAGGCAAAGAAGGAGGAAAGGTATGTCTCACATGGCAGCAGGCAAGAGAGTCTGTGCAGGGGAACTGTGCTTTATAAAACCATCAGATCTTGTGAGACTTACTATCATGAGAACAGCACCCCCACGATTCAGTTACCTCCCCCTGGGTTCCTTCCCATAACATGTGGGGATTATATGAGCTACAATTCAATATGAGATTTGGATGGGGACACAGCCAAACCATATCACACACTGTTTTGATTACTGAAGCTTTGTAGTAAGTTTTGAAGTAGTAAGTTTGGGAAGTATGAGTCTCCCAACTTTTTCATTTTCTATATTGTTTTGACTATTTGGGGCCAGTTGCAACTTTATATGAATTTGAATATCACCTTTTTCATTTCTGCAAAAAAGGTCATTGGAATTTTAATAGGGAGGGGATTGATTCTGTAGATTGCTTTGGGGGGTTGCAATCTTAACAGTATTGTCCTCCAATCCATGAACGTGAGATGTCTTTTCTTTTCTTTTTTTTTTTTTTTTCGAGAGGGAGTCTCGCTCTGTTCCCCAGGCTGGAGTGTAGTGGCACAGTCTCGGCTCACTGCAACCTCCGCCTCCCGGGTTCATGCCATTCTCCTGCCTCAGCCTCCCGAGTAGCTGGGACTACAGGCACCTGCCACCATGCCTGGCTAATTTTTTGTATTTTTTGTAGAGACGGGGTTTAACTGTGTTAGCCAGGATGGTTTCAATCTCCTGATCTCGTGATCCACCCACCTCGGCCTCCCAAAGTGCTGGGATTACAGGTATGAGCCACCGCGCCCAGCTGAACTTGGGATGTCTTTTCATTCAATTATGTCTCCTTTAATTTCTTTAAGCAATATTTTGTAGTGTTAGTGTACAAATCATTCATCTCTTTGGATAAATTTATTTCTGGGTGCTTTATTTTTGTGGGTTCTATTGTAAATGAAATTATTTTCTTACCTTTCTTTTTGTATTGCTCATTGCTGGTATATAGAAACAACTGATTTTTGTATGTTGGTCTTATGCCCTACAACCTTGTTGAATTTATTACCTCTAGTAGTTATTTTGTGGGTTCTGTGGGATTTCTTTATACAGAATCATGTCACCTGCATATATAATTTACCTCTTCTTTCTAATTTGAATGCCTTTTATTTCTTTTTCTTGCCTAATTGCTCTGGCTAAGACATTTAGTAAAATTTTGAATAGGAGTGATGAAAGTGAGCATCCTCATATTGTTCCTGATCTTAGGGGAAGCTTTTCACCATTGATTATGAAGTTAGCTGTGTTTTCTTTCTTTCCTTTTTTTTTTTGTTTTTGACACAGGGTCTTGCTCTGTCACCCATGCTGGAGTGCAGTAGTGCAATCATGGCTGACTTCAACCTCTGCCTCCCAGGCTCAAGCGATCCTCTCACCTCAGCCTCCTGAGTAGGTGGGACCAAAGGCACATGCCACAATGCCCTGCTGTTTTTTTTTATTTTTTATTTTTGGTAGAGATGGGTTTCGCCATGTTGCCCAGGCTAGTCCCAAACTCCTGAGCAGTCAGCCCACCTTGGCCTCCCAAAGTGCTGGGATTACAGGTGCGAGCCACTGTGCCTGGACTTTTTTTTTTTTTTTTTTTTTTTTTTTATCAGACCAGGTCTCACTCTTTTGCCCAGGCTGGAGTACAGTGATGTGATCATAGCTCACTGCAGTCTTGAACTCCCAGGCTCAAGCAGTGCTCCTTCTTTAGCCTCCCCGGTAGCTGGGACTACTATAGGTGCAAGCTGCCACACCCTGCTAATTTTTTAATTTTTGTGGAGACAGGGTCTTGCTGTGTTGCCCAGGTTGGTCTCAAATTCCTCACCTTGAGCAGTTCTCCTGCCTTAGCCTCCCAGGTAGCTGGGATTACAGGTGTGCACCAATATGCCCAGTTAATTGATTTTTTTTTTTTTTTTTTTTTTAGTGATGGGGTCTTGCTGTGTTGCCTAGGCTGATCTCAAACTCCTGGCCTCAAGCAGACCTCCTGCCTCAGACTCCCAAAATGCTGGGATTACAGGTGTGAACCACTGTGCCTGGCCACTGACTTTTTTTTTTTAATGGAAGGTTGTTGAGTTTTGTCAAATGCTTTTTGTGCATCTTCTGAGATGATCATATTTTTTTCATTGTTCTAGTAATGTAGTGTATTGTATTGATTTTGTTTTGTATGTTGAATCACCCTTGCATTCCTGGGATAAATCTCACTTTGTCATGGTATATAATCCTTTTAATGTGTTGTTAGATTGAGTTTGCTACTATTTTGTTGAAGATTTTTGTGTCTATGTTCATTAGGAATATTAGTCTGTAGTTTTCTTTTTTTTTTCATTTTTGAGACAAAGTCTTCCTTTGTCACCCAGGCTGGAGTGCAGTGGTGCGATCTCGGGTCACTGCAACCTCAGCCTCCCCAGTAGCTGGGATTACAGGCATGCACCATCATGCCTGGCTAATTTTTGTATTTTTAGTAGCGACAGGGTTTTGCCATGTTGGCCAGGCTGGTCTCGAACACGTGGTCTCATGTGATCCACCTGCCTTGGCCTCCCAAAATGCTGGGATTTACAGGCATGAGCCACTGCACCCTGCCTGTAGTTTTCTTTCCTTGTGATATTTTTGACTTCGGTATCTGGGAACCAATCTTTTTTTGAGACAGGGTCTTACTCTGTTGCCCAGGTTGGAGTGTAGTGGTACGATCTTGGCTCACTGCAGCCTTGGCCTCCTGTGCTCAAGTGGTCCTCCCACCCAGCTGCCTGAGTAGCTGGTACTACAGGCACTTGCCACCACACCCAGCAAGTTTTGTTCATTTTTTTTGTACAGATGAGGTCTCACTGTGTTGCCCAGGCTGGTCTTCGACTCCAGGCCTCAAGTGATCCTCTTGCCTCAGCCTCCCAAAGTGCTGGGATTACAGGTGTGAGCCACTGCTCCCAGCCCCCAGTTGTATTTTGACTGTGCATCATGTTTCTTCAGAATTTTGAAACCTGCCCTCTCCTAATTGAGAAAATTCTAAGAGGGTTTCCAAGCAGACAACCCTAACATCTCTGGCTGGGATGATGATGATTGTACCATGTACTTCCCCTCTTCTCAACACAGACACATTCATGTTGTAGTGCCAGCTGTAAGCATAGGAGTTGCACTTAATGGCTTACAGCTGGGGAAAATCATGGCTGATAGCACACCACCAGTGCAGGATCAGGGAAGGGAACTCTATTCCTGATGCCAGGACAGGAAAGAGATGTGCTTCCTTCATTTCATGAAAAAGCCACAGATTGTTCCGGATAATGGTTGCTGAATAAGAAACCACCCTAAACATCAGTGATTTAAAACAGTAATCTACTACTACATCTCATGGTTCTGTGGGCTGATCAAGCAGGGCTCAGCTGGGTGATTCTTCTGCTCCATGTGGCCTTGATGGAGGTAATTTATTGGTATTCATCTGTTGGCTGGTCCAGTCATGAGGGTCCAAGAGGGCCGTACACACATGCTTGGATGGTTGGAAGGCCAGGCTCAGGGGATCCTCCCTCTCCTTGTGCTCTCAGGTCCTCTGCAGATGGCCTTTCTCCTAAGGTGGTTGTGCTTCTTACATGACAACTCAGAACTCTTAGAGTGAGTGTTCTAGGAGAGGAAGTGGAAGCTGCCAGTCTCTCTCTCTCTTTCTTCTTTTTTTTCTTTTGAGATAGAGTCTCACTCTTTTGCCCAGGCTGAGTACAGTGGTACCATCATAGCTCACTGCAGCCTCAAACGCCTGGGCAGAAGTGATCCTCCCAGCCCAGCCTCCCAAGCAGCTGGGACTACAGGTGCATGCCACCTTGCATGGCTAATTTCTTAGTTTTTAACTTTTTGTAGAGACAAGGTCTTAACTACGTTGCCCAGGCTGGTCTTGAACTCCTGGGTTCAAACGATCCTCCCACCTTGGCCTCCCAAAGTGTTGGGATTACAGGCGTGAGCTACTGTGCCCAGTCTGGAGCTGCCAGTATCTTAAGCCTGGGCTTGGATATCAGTGTAGCATTATTCCTGCCATGTTCTAAAAAGACACAGAGTCCTCCTATATTTGAGGAGAGGGGACATGGACCCTAACTCTTGATGAAAGGAGGGTCGAAGAATTTGTGACTGTCCTTGATCTGGTATACGCATGGTGGCTAGATTCCATAGTGCTCTCAGTAATATATGTTAGATACCCATTTGAAAACTGTTGTGGATTAAAATGGAAATGCCAACTGTTGTGTGTTACTCATTTTCAGTGAGTACATTCTGTGTTCTGAATCAATAATTTCTAAAAAACTTTTGGAGTATACCTATTCATAAAATAATTACCTCTATAAAATGTATGTCTTATCAGCAGCCATCCTTGATCATGTGTTTGTCAAGTTTTTCAAGTACAGCTTTGGGTCCATACGTTTTTTCTTCCTATTACTAGTTCATTTTAAAAATTTGTTGAAACCTTCCCTTTTATTTTAAATAATATTGTGGGGTTTTAATATTTCTCTCTGTTCTTAAAAAAAGCTTCATTGAGAAAATATAAGTAAGCCTATATATCCTAAAGTTCCTTTCCTTTACTCTAGATCATTCTAGTAAATCCCCTAGAGACAGTTCTGGCTGTTTATATATAAAAGTGTGGTATAATTTGACAGTGTGTGCAGAGGTGTGTATGGATGTGCTCTCACATAGAAACCCTGCCTCCCCAGCCTGTCTCAGCTGATTGTTGCAACACTGAGCCGAGCAAACATGATGAGGTCACAGAGAAGTGAGGGAGTGGTTTTAAATAATGAAACAGGAAATCTCTGTCTTTGGCTCCAGTGGTGCCCCAGTGTTTTGGGATTAATGAGGGAAGAGCTATGTCTGCCTGTGTTCCATGAGTGCCCCTTGCTTGTACCTCTATGGAGAACCCCAACAACCCTGGCTGGAAAGCCACCTAATCCTGTGTTTCCCAAGCATAACCTCCCTTTGTTCCCAAGTAAGTCTTTCCTAGACACCTGAACTTCTGTGCAACATAGGCATGAATGAGGAGAGTGAGCTACTGTGGTGTTATATATATACACACACATATATACATGATATGTATGCATGATATGTATATATGTGTGTGTGTGTGTGTGTGTGCATAGTTTTCATCCATTGTTTCTGACTCATAAGTCCCATAGCCCTTGTTACAGTCTTTTGTTGTAATGTTGGGTGTCTTGCCTCCTTTCAGCTGCCCAAGGCAGGACTCTAATCTGACTGTGAGTCAGAAGACCCTTATTCCAGAGAGGGCCCTGCCTCATTCCCTAGAGGCAGGAATGCTGCACAGAGAGGCCAAGATAAGTCCGAACAGACAGGCCTTGCTGGGTTTAGATCATGGTTTTTTGTCCAGAAACATTTCTAGATGATTGTAAGTCATGCCTGTGTAATGAAGCCACCATAAAAACTCAAGGACAGGCCGGGCATGGTTGCTCACGCCTGTAATCCCAGCACTTTGGGAGGCTGAGGCGGGCGGATCACCTGAGGTCAGGAGTTTGAGACCAGCCTGGTCAACATGGTGAAACCCCATCTCTACTAAAAATACAAAAATTAGCCGGGTGTGGTGTCGGGTGCCTGTAATCCCAGCTACTTGGGAGGCTGAGGCAGGAGAATTGCTTGAACCCGGGAGGTGGAGGTTGCAGTGAGCCGAGTTGCACCATTGCATTCCCACCTGGGTGACACAGCAAGACTGTCTCAAAAACAAACAAACAAACACTCAAGGACAGCGTTCAAGAGCTTCCAAATGGCGGAACACGTGGAGGTTTCTGAGGATGGCCCGAGGGAGGGCATGGAGGCTCCCGCCTGGCCTCATACCTCGCCCTTTGCGTCCCTTCATCTGTGTCTTCTGCAGTATCCTCTACGATATACCGGTAACTGTAAGTACATATTTCCCTGAGTCCTGTGAGCCACTCTGGCAAATTAATCGAATCCAAAGAGGGCTTGTGGGAACCCCAACTTGAAGCTGGTGGGTCAGAAGTTCTAGAGGCCTGGACTTGCGACTAGTGTCTGAAGTGGGGATGGGGGGTGGACAGCCTTGGCGACTGAACCGCCAACAGCTTTGTTCACGCAATTCTTCTGCATTGGCGATTGTTGTCAGGTTGTGAGAGCAGGGGAAAAACACAGGTTGAGAGAGTTTTTCCCCAAACAGCCCCTGGTCGATGCCCCGGAATGACTGGCTGCTGCATGGAATTGCAGAGGCCTGAGTGCCTCTGCTTCTACCGTGATTCCTGAGGCCAAGACCTCTGGTCTGCATGGTCTGAAGTCTCTTACGAAGGTAAAATGTTATGTATATATTTTGAATAAGGGTACCTGTTCCTCATTCTGTCCTTTTGAATTCCAAAAGTGTGTTGGCCTGTGAGATAGCATAAGGGACAGAATCATTGCTCTCGTGAGCCTTTGGGCTTGCTTCCTTAGGCACTACGTACTTTCTCATTCCCCATTGCCTTCAGGATTCTTTCTGTCAGAATGTAGTGGCTGTGGCCTGGGGGTGACCAGCATAGGGGCCAAAGAAGGGTAATGAGTCTTGAGGCCTACAGAGGGTAGTAGGCAAGGCGGGAGGGCAAGGGCCAGGGGGCAGCATCATTCACACAGTTGAAAACGTGCCCTTGGCCTGTCTCCTCTCTGTGTTCTGCATCTTAGAAAATAGATATTGTCTTGTGTTAAGATGAATCAATATAGTTACCCCTTTTTATATTGTCTTAAGCTTCTTAGGAACTGCTTTGTATTTTAGTCACTCAGGCTTGGAGTGAAACATGTAATGTGTAGTTCAACCTGAAAAAATTGGTCTGAGAGGCGTCTTCATAGAGTCCCCAATTCTATATATGATGAGGTCTCATCAAGCTTTGACATTCTGCTCTTTTACGTGTAACACTACTAATGTAAATGTTTCTGGATTGTAAAGAATGGTGGGAAGCGTAGAGATTATCTGTTGGTAAGCCAGAGGCAGGAGGAAGAGGAGGAGGAGGAGGAGATAGTGGCGTCCCTCCTGCAGAAACCCCGCAGTGGAAGGACAAGATTGCAGGAGGAGTTAGAGACCAGTGGTCTAGTCCCCATCTGTCTTTGTGACCTTAGGCAAATCATTGAATCTCTTTGAAAGCCTTGTCTCCTTGCATGGCATATGGAGATTATAGTTGCTGTGAAAATAAAATAATCAGTTTTTAAAAATCCATAAAAATGAAAAATGGTATTTAAGGTTGAAGGCACTTGTATTTCTTTTTCTTTCTTTTTTTTTTTTTTGAGATGTAGTTTTGCTCTTGTCACCCAGGCTGGAGGTGCAGTGGCGTGATCTTGGCTCACCGCAACCTCCGCCACCCAGGTTCAAGCGATTCTCCCGCCTCAGCTTCCCGAGTAGCTGGGATTACAGGTTTGCACCACCACGCCTGGCTAAGTTTGTATTTTTAGTAGAGACAGGGTTTCACCATGTTGGTCAGGCTGGTCTCCAACTCCTGACCTCAGGTGATCTACCTGCCTCGGCCTCTCAGAGTGCTGGGATTACAGGTGTGAGCCACCACGCCCAGCCTAGGCACTCGTATTTCTTAGTCGGGAAAGAGAGGACAGGATATGTCCACCACACATTCACCAGTTCAGCATGTATTAACTACTGTGTGCCTGACTAAGCTTAGGTACTCAGTGTATTTTCATGTAAAGAAAAACAACATTTAAAACATTTAAGTGAGCACTGACCAAATCTAGCTTAGTTCAGAAAACCCTTTTTTTTTTTTTGAGACTGGGTCTTGCTCTGTTGCCCAGGTTGGAGTGCAGTGGTGCGATCACAGCTCACTGTAGCCTCGACCTCTCAGTCTCAAGTGATCCTCACTTTCTAAGTTTCCAACATTTTTTGGGCCAGGTACGGTAGCTCACACCTGCAATCCCAGCACTTTGGGAGGCAAAGGTGAGCAGATTGCTTGAGTTCAGGAGTTTGAGACCAGCCTGGGCTTTATGGAGACCTCATCTCTATAAAACAAATATAAAAACTAGCCAGGTGTGGTGGCGTGTGCCATTAGTTCCAGCTCCTCAGGAGGCTGAGGTAGGAGGACAGCTTGAATCTGGGAGGCAGAGGTTGTGGTGAGCTGAGATCGCACCACTGCACTCCAGTCTGGGCGACAGAGCGAGACCCTGTCTCAAAAACAAAATTTTTTTTGTAGAGATGGGGCCTCTATGTTGCCCAGGCTGGTCTCAAATTCCTAGGTTCAGGTGATCCTCCTGATTCGGCCTCCCAAATGGCCGGGATTATAGGCATGACCACTGTACCCGGCCTCAGCAGACCTTTGTAAAGCACTTCATGGGTGCCAGTCCTGCTGTTACAGTGCTAGGTAAATGCATAAAAATGCTCCATGAGGCATTCTGTGTTCTCAGGAAATTCAGACTGCCAGTTTCAGTCTGGAACGTGACACTTTATGAAGGAGGCAATAGAACAAAAAAAGGACAAATTACAGGATTAGTAATTATCAAAAGCTAATACCGAGGTCAGAATAGGACTCTTGTTCAGTTTACATGAGGAATTTAACCAAATGAGCTTCTGCAGAGAACCAGCATTAGGGTGGTGACCAGGCTGGGGTACATACATGTCATATCAGAAGTGACCTGAGACTGGGTGTGAGAAGCAGTGGCTGATTTGGACTACTGAAAGCAGAATTAAGAGTCTGGTGGCATTGGGGGGAGATTAGTGCTGTGGAAGTCCTGCTCAGAGTCTTTCTCATGATGGGTACATTTGGGAGGAGCTTAGCAGACATCAGAGGACCTGCAGAGAGTTGACACAGCGGGAGGAACCAGCTGCACTACCACTCATGTTCTTTTCCATCTTAGCATCTCGTGAGCATAATTCAGAATACACAGTTTGATTAAGTATGTGCAGATTCCATTCAGTTCATGAATTCATTCCCACAGTGTAGCCTAGCCCAAGTGTTAGCACTTCTTTACTTGTTTTTGTTGTTGTTGTTGTTTGTTTTTTTGAGACGGAGTTTCACTCTGTCGCCCAGGCTGGAGTGCAATGGTGCGATCTCTGCTCGCTGCAACCTCCGTCTCCCAGATTCAGGCAGTTCTTCTGCCCCAGCCTCCTGTGTAGCTGGGACTACAGGCACATGCCACCATACCTGGCTAATTTTTGTATTTTTAGTAGAGATGGGGTTTCACCATGTTGGTCAGGCTGGTCTTGAACTCTTGCCCTCAAAGGACCTGCGTGCCTTGGCATCTCAAGTGCTGGAATTACAGGCTGAGCCACTGCTCTTGGCCAAGCACTTCTTTTCTCATAGTCTTCTGCTAAGTATTTCCTTCTGTCAGCTGCCAGGCAGCAATAGTTTTCACATTTGTTTGTGGTTGTCCTCTAGAACTTGGCCTTTAGTGTGGTATGTGTAGGATTTTGTTGATTCCAAGGGAGGGTGAAAAATGCTGTGATCCCCAGAACCTGGGATGGCTGGGGTATGTTGTCTCTGAGGAATTTAATAACATTTTGTGGTCATTGCTGGAATCTTCCTAGACTCCTTTGATGGAAAGTAGGGACTCCAAGGGGAACTCCTGACTGGGCTTGCGGGCTGCCTTCTCAGAGCCCTACTTTATTAGTGATTTATTTCTCTTAATGGGCTATTAGAAATGACCACAAAAACTGAGGCCCCCACCCATACAATTTCTATCAGTTAAGACCCTGGAAATTCAGATTTAGAGGGAATTTTTAAAGAACTCCTGGGAGTGCTGATGCCCTGCTGGACTGGGAGCCTCTGGTCCAGTGGAAGCAGCACATTCCCTCCAGGAGCCCCAGTGCTTTAGGAATGCAGTTTCCCAGGCCCTGCCTCAGACCTGCCGACTCACAGTCAGCTCTCAGAGAGGCTGTTAGGTGATCATTGCGTTCATTTAAGTGTGAGAAGCACCGTGCAGGCTTTGGGTGAGAGAGTCGGGGTTCATACCTTGCCTCTCTTCTTTCCCAGCTGCATGAACTTGACCAAGTTATTTGGCCTTTCTGAACCAGGACCGTAGCACATAAAGTGAGTGCGATGGTGCAGGCCCCAGTTCCTCAGCCACAGTGCTGAAACCCCAGAGCCTCTGAAAATGGAATGTTTTTTCATAGATTTGGTGCCACTTGGCCTGAACTTATGTGAGGCTATTTATAATCTCTATTCCACTTAATATGAATATTTCATTATTTTACCACAGATGGTTAATTAACATGTTTCCTGTTCTTTTCCTTTTTTTTTTTTTTTTTTTTGAGAAGACTCTTGCTCTGTTGCCCAGGCTAGAATCAGTGGTGTGATCAAAGCTCTCTGCAGCCTTGAACTTCTGATCTCAAGAGATCTTCCCACCTCAGCCTCTCAAGTAGCGAGGACTACAGGCTTGTGCCGCCACACCCAGCTGATTTTTTAATTTAAATTTTGTAAAGAAAGGGTTCTGGCCGGGCGCGGTGGCTCACACCTGTAATCCCAGCACTTTGGGAGGCCAAGGCGGGCGGATCACGAGGTCAGGAGATCGAGACCACGGTGAAACCCCGTCTCTACTAAAAATACAAAAAATTAGCCGGGCGCAGTGGCGGGCGCCTGTAGTCCCAGCTACTCGGGAGGCTGAGGCAGGAGAATGGCGTAAACCCGGAAGGCGGAGCTTGCAGTGAGCGGAGATCGCGCCACGGCACTCCCGCCTGGGCGACAGAACGAGACTCCGTGTCTTCTCACTTTGTTACCTAGGCTAGTCTCAGACTCCTAGACTCAAGTGATCCTCCCACCTCGGCCTCCCAAAGTGCTGGGATTACAGTCAAGAGCCACCACACCCGGTGAATTAATGTGTTTTCTTATGGTTACTGCCTCAGACTTCCCTGGAGTGTTATATAATATATAATATATAAAATATGCGTACAATATTTCCTTTCTAAAATTCAAAAAATTCTGAACTCTGAAACACATCTGGCCTCGGTTTTGGATAAGGATTGTGGTGCTATAGATACCCAGCTTATAGGTGGGTCAGTATATGCCATGTTAGTGTGTTGGTATGTGTAGAAAACTCTTGGCAGTTAGCAGGCACCCAACAAATGCAGCTATTTTTGTTTGTTTGTTTTGAGACAGTGTCTCACTCTGTCACCCAGGCTGAGGTGCAGTAGTACAATCACAGCTCACTGCAGCCTCGATTTCCTGGGTTCAAGTGATCCGCCCATGTCAGCTTCCCAAGTAGCTGGGACCACGAGTATGAGCCACCACACCTGCTTAATTTAAAAAAAATTTTTAATTAAAAAAATTTTTTTTGGTCTGCTGCAGTGGCTCACATCTGTAATCCCAGCGCTTTGGGAGGCCGAGGCGGGCAGATCACAAGGTCAGGAGATGGAGACCATCCTGGCTAACACAGTGAAACCCCGTCTACTAAAAATACAAAAAATTAGCCGGGCGTGGTGGCGGGCGCCTGTAGTCCCAGCTACTCAGGAGGCTGAGGCAGGAGAATGGCGTGAACCCGGGAGGCGGAGCTTGCAGTGAGCCGAGATCATGCCACTGCACTCCAGCCTGGGCGACAGAGCGAGACTCCATCTCAAAAAAAAAAAAAAATTTTTTTTTTTTGAGACGGAGTCTCACTATGTTGCCCATTCTGGTCTTGAACTCCTAGTGGTCGTCCCACCTTGGCCTCCCAAAGTGCTGGGATTGCAGGCATGAGCCATTGCACCTGGACTCATTTTTTTTTTTTTTTTTTGAGATGGAGTCTCTCTCTGTCGCCCAGGCTGGAGTGCAGTGGCGCAATCTTGGCTCACTGCAACCTCCGCCTCCCGGGTTCACGCCATTCTCCTGCCTCAGCCTCCCGAGTAGTTGGGACTGCAGGCGCCCGCCACCATGCCTGGCTAATTTTTTGTATTTTTAGTAGAGATGGGGTTTCACTATGTTAGCCAGGATGGTCTCAATCTCCTGACCTCGTGATCTGCCCGCCTCGGCCTCCCAAAGTGCTGGGATTACAGGCGTGAGCCACCACGCCCAGCCAACTGTTTAAAGACATTTCAAGCCAAGAGCAGAAGTTGTGTTAGAAGGTGGCTGTATTAGTCCAATTTCACGCTGCTATGAAAAAATACCTGAGGCTGGGCGCGGTGGCTCACGCCTGTAATCCCAGCACTTTGGGAGGTCGAGGTGGGAGGATCATGAGGTCAGGAGTTCAAGACCAGCCTGGCCAAGATGGTGAAACTCCATCTCTACTAAAAATACAAAAAAATTAGCCGGGTGTGTGGCGGGCGCCTGTAATCCCAGCTACTCAGGAGGCTGAGGCAGGAGAATTGCTTGAACTTGGGAGGCGGAAGTTTCAGTGAGCCGAGATCGTGCCACTGCACTCTAGCCTGGGCAACCGAGCAAGACTCTGTCTCAAAAAAAAGAAATACTCGAGACTGAGTAATTTATTAATATAAAGAAAAGAGGTTTAATTGACTCACAGTTCAGCATGGCTGGGGAGGCCTCAGGAAACTTACAATCATGGTGGAAGGGGAAGCAAACACATCCTTCACATGGTGGCAGCAAGGAGAAGTGCAGAGCAAAGGGGGAAAAGCCCCTTGTAAAACCATCAGATCTCGTGAGAACTCACTGTCACAAGAACAGGATGGTGGAAACTGCCCCCATGATTCAATTACCTCCCCCCAGGTCCCTCCCATGACACATGGAGATTATGGGAACTACAATTCAAAATGAGATTTGGGTAGAGACACAGCCCTATCAGTGGCTTACGCTCCTGGCTTGGCCTCCTGGCAGGCTTTTTATAGAGGGAGTGGGATCCTTGCTGGTTATGAAGGACTTGTGTTCCTTAGAGTTACAGTCTTGGAATGTCAGCCCTCAGCTTCTTGTTTTTCTTTTCACCCAGATGGTGCACATAAGGAGGCAGCGTGAGGTGGGGTGGTGGCTAAGGGCGTGAGTGCTGGTGGCAGGCTGCCTGGTCTGAGTGACCCTGGGTCTTGGGCAGTTACCTTCCGTGTGTCTCAGTTCTTTTACCTAGAAATAAGGATAATGGTACTTACCCCCTGGAGTGTGAGATGGAAAGCATTTAGCATAGGTAAGCTCAGTAAAATTTAGCAGTTTTAGTTATCTAGGACTATAATGGAGGTTAAGTTGGCCAGAAGTATAATTTTTTTTTTTTTTTTAAGAGACAGGGTCTCGCTCTGTTGCTTTGGCTGGACTCAAGCTCCTGGGCTCAACTGATCCTCCTGCTTCAGCCTCCTGAGTAGCTGGGTGTGCACCCTGCACCCAGCCAGAAGTGGAATATCTTGTTGGGGCTGGGCTTAGAGCTGGAGCTGGTGGCCGGCTCTGCTCGCTTACAGAATTCTGTACGGTTTCTGATTTCTCTCAGCCCATCTGTCCTTCACTTGCAAGCATCTGATGACTGCTGCATGTACCATAAAAACATGCAAATATATAATTCTTGGCTTTGAGGAGGTGACCCTATGAAATTGACTTAAAAAAGTTGGGCTGGATATAGTGGCTGGCGCCTGTAATCCCAGCACTTTGAGAGGCTCAGGCCGGAGGGTCGCTTGAGCCCAGGAGTTTGATACCCTGTCTGAGAGAGAATTAGCTGGGCATGTTAGTGTGCGCCTGTGGTCCCAGCTACTCAGGAGGCGGGGCGAGAGGGATCCTTCCAGGCTGAGATGTGAGGGTTCTTTGAGCCCAGGAGGTCCATACTGCAGTGAGCCATGATTGGGCCACTGCATTCTAGCCTCAGTGACAGAGTGAGACTGTTTAAAAAAAAAAACAAAAAAAACTTCAGAGGAGTCATATGATTGACTTGTGTGTGTCTACGCAGACTCCCTTTTCTCTGTAGAGACTTACAATCTTCAGTTCTCTGGAGCGTTCTTCAGATTCCCTTGCTCCATGACTGACCTTGGCTAGGAAAATAATTGGGCCGTTTTTGGTGCACAGCAGATGAAAATTATCAGTATGTCCCTAGCTTTCCACTGTGAGGCCGCCGTAGCAACAGAGGACAGTGGATGTGTGACTTGTACCCTTTCAGAGGGCCAAGAACGCAATATCCTAAAGCAGCCTTTTCTTTTTTTATTTTTTGAGTCAGGGTCTCACTCTGTTGCCCAGGCTGGAATGTAATGGCATGATCTCAGCTCACAGGAGCATCAACCTCCTGGGCTCAAGTGATCCTCCCACCTCAGCCTCCCAAGTAGCTGGAACTACAGGTGCAAGCCACCACACTGGATAATTTTTGTATTTTTTGTAGCGACAGGGTTTTGCTATATCGCCCAGGCTGGTCTTGAACTCCTGGCCTCAAGTAATCATCCTGCCCCAGCATCCCAAAGTGCTGGGACTACAGGCATGAGACATCACACCTAACCCTGTTCTTGATACCTGGTTTTTGTGGTCCTTTTTTTCTAAAATTCATATGAATTTTGAGTTCTGCTGTATGATATGTAATATATATGTTCTAATATTACAAACTTCTAAAAATCTTTCTGTGCACCAAAATTGATCCTCCAGGACAGAAAAAATGCCAGTGGTTCTTGTCTATACCACCATATTTTGAGGAACACAAGGAAAGATTTTGACCTTCCCTGGACGTAGAAGAATTTGTATTGTGATTGACACATCTTTAATGCCTTAATTACTTGCCTTCAGTTTTCTTTCCTTTTGGTGCTTAAGGGAGTATTTGTTCTCCATGCATATTTGGTACCCTTTGGTTTAGATAATTTAGATAATTAGCAACTAGTTTTGGTCTCATTATCAGACATTTTACTCTGGACACCCCATCACCACTCCCATCATGGGGGAGTTTGGAGGCCAGGAGATTCACTGGATGCTTCTTTTCTAGTGTGTGCTCTTCTTAGATGGGAAGGAAAAAGGTAAAACCTCAAAAACTCTGTGGTAAACTGATGTGGGAATCTGATACTAAAAATGTCCCAAGTGATTTAAAGTGTGTAAGAATTACTCACTTTTCTGTGGAGAGCGATGTGCATAAAGACAGTGACAAGTGGAAGAAGATATCCAGATGAGACCCTCACTGCCCTCGGTGAGTGGATTGCAGGATGCTGGGAGCCCCCTTGCGTAGAGACTCACCGCTGGACTCCAAGCCCTCTGTGGCTTCTGCTGTGGCTGAGTCATCGCTGCCCAAGACTACTGTTGGGTTCTCCTCCCTGCTGGTGAGCAGTGAGGCACCAGGGAGCCCCTGCCTGCAGCCAGCTCGGTGATTCCATGCAGTTTTACATAGGGAAAGAATGCTCTACCTGGCTACGTTTTCCTGTGTCCTGTTGAAATGAAGAGGTTAGTCATGCATTCCCTCAGCTAGAGCGTGAGGCAGTCCTTCCGAAGATTGTCCAATTTAGACCCAGACTCTTCAAAGGAAATGTCAGCATGTTTTGATGTCATGGTTCAAAACCTCACTGGGATGGTTTGTGTGAGTACATACCTGTTTTACTTTTAGTTTCACTAGAGGATGTCATTTGGACTAGTTGTTTTTAAGTGAACATTTCAAACTTAACTAAATTTGATTCCTGTTTCCTTGGTTGTAGTTACATGGAAAGACCACTGGGTCTGGGACAGTGGTTCTCATCCAGAGATGGAGTTGGTGGGGTGGGGGTGGGGTGCAGTTTCGTACCCTAGGGGGCATTTTGCAGTGTCTGGAAACCTTCAGAAGTGGGGTGGGGGATGCCACTGGCATTGGTAAGTAGAACGAGGGATGCTGTGAACACCCTGCAGTGCTCAGCATATCCCTACAGCAAAGAGTTTTCGGGTTCAAAATGTTAGTTGCGCCAAGGTTGAGAAACCGTGGCTTGGAAATTGTTCATTCACCATACTCTTCTTGATTTCTAGTGAATGTATGACTGTTAAGATTTTATGTTTTCATAAGGTGAGGTACTTTCTACAGAAATTCAGTCTCTTTAGTCATTAAACAGCAGAGGGCACTTGGAGGCTAGAGTGCCCAGAAGTCCATCAAGCCAGTCTGGATAAACCCTTCCCAACATGCCATAATTTACATCAAAACTTTGGTTAGCAGAATGGGAATTTTTGAGTAGATACCATTAGAAAAATAAAATAATTTTCCAGCTGTGGTTCCCAAGTTCCCCAAACTTATGTCTTTAGTCCAAGCTGCCCCTTGAGCTTCAGCTTCGGACCTGCATATTTATTTAACAGCTATTGAGTCCTTGGTATGTGCCGGGCACCCTCCTGTGTACCAGGGCATGGCAGGAAATGATATGGGCAGCTCCCTGTAGTCATGAGGCCTGTGTTCTAAGGCAGACCTTGAAGACAGGGAAGTCCATGTGCTGATTCCAGAAGAATAGAGGGGGCCTGGCAGGGCTGGGGGGAGGTCAAGAGTGGAGTGCTTCATACAGCTGGTCTCAGAGGGGCTCATTGTCCCGGACCTGCAGGACAAGGAGGCGTTTTGTCCACAAACCTTGAGAGTGAGTGAATGGGGCATGACTGGGGCCACTGGGTGTTATTGCTTGAATGACACCTAACCTGTCTCTAGTGAAGCTCTTGATTCCTCCCTACCCCCATCCAGATGCTAGAAGACTGGGGAGCATTTCTTGGTCCCTCTTCTCTCACAATCTGTCGTTGGTGCTCACTTCTGCACCCTGTTTTCCCACGTCCCTGGTCCCCAGCCCAGGCAAGCCTTCTGCTGATGCCGGTGGCCCCAACTTGTCTATCCACTTCACCCCAGTTTTCTCCAGGCCTTTCTCCATGCTGCTGTCAGAGAGATCTAAACATAGGTGGCCTCCTGCCCTTCCCTGAAAACCCTTTACGGCCTCTGACTGCATTCAGTGCACCCTGCATTCCTCCTGATAAGGTCTTGCGTCTCCCTGCTGCCCCAGCTTCAGCCCCAGGAGCCTGCCTGCCCAGGAGGCCATCATTGTTCCCCCTGGACACTGCCTGTCCTGCCTGCTGCCTTGTCCTCCTTTCTCCAGGGGCCTGGGGCCTCAGTCTCTCCATGCCTGCACCTGGAGTCCTGTTGCCTGTGTCCTACAGTTTCCTCCTCAGCCATCCCCACAGGGCTGTGTCCCTTTCTACTAGCCATGTTTATTTTCTTGTGGAGATGGGGTCTTGCTATGCTGCCCAGGCCGGTCTTGGTCTCCTGGCCTCAAGCAGTCCTCTTGCTTTGGCCATCTTTAGATGATAACTCACTCACCTGTGCTGCCTTTCACTTGGAGGATGGGTGGATGATTCACAGGGACCTGCCCTCCTTCCCGCAGAGTTGGGGTTTTTGTGTAGGGGATTTTTCTGTCAGTTATTTTTTCCTCACCTTTCAGAGTATTAAAAGAACTAAGCCATTAGTGGTGAGGCATGAGGGCAGCGACCACAGCTCCAGGGGAGCTCTCTTATCCCTACAGCTGGCAAATGTTCCACCCTGTTTTTATGGCACACAGAAAGGTAGGCGCATAGTGATGTTGTTAGTAAGCTTTTGAAGTAGAGCATGGTGAGTTAGTTGGCCTTTTTACGAAAAAGGAAATGGAAAACTAGCACCATGGCCTTGGCATAATTACTCCAACATGCAAATCAGTACTGGAAGGAAGTTGAGGCAGCATACCTCTATGCTCCACTAGTCCTTAAGACACGTCTGAAAGAAATGAAATTTTATTTTGTTAGAGGTGAAGGAATGCATGGATGGAATGCATGGTCCAGGTGTTTATAACTGTGCATTTATTTGGCGGTTGTTTTGGATGGACAGGAAGTGGGAGGGGAGGGCACAGAGAGTCACTTTGGCCACGTCCCTGGTTTGCCACAGGCTGATACTGGAGCATTCCTAAGTTTCGCAATGGAGATGGATGTGAAAGAAGAACACACTAGGCCAGGTGCGGTGGCTCACACCTGTAATCCCAGCACTTTGGGAGGCTGAGACAGGCGAATCACCTGAGGTCAGGAGTTTGAGACTAGCCTGGCCAAGATGGTGAAACCCCACCTTTACTACAAATACAAAAATTAGCCGGGTGTGGTGGCACATGCCTGTAATCTTAGCTACTCAGGAGGCTGAGGCAGGAGAATTGCTTGAACCCAGGAGGCAGAGGTTGAAGTGAGCCGAGATTGTGCCACTGCACTCCAGCCTGGGCAACAGAGCGAGACTCCATCTCAAAAAAAAAAAAAAAGAAAAGAAGAACCATACTAGTCAGGTGCTAGAGGGCTTCCAAGGCAGCCTCCAAGGGAAGGAAATGTCTGAGAAGTTATTTAAGAGGATTTGTTGGAACAGAAAAACTTCCAAATTGGTCTAGAAGGTGGACCCTAGCTATAGACGCATTTTACAGGACATAATGTAAATATTAAAGGCACATTTTCAGTATTTGGGGAAAATATGTCCTCTGAGTCGAATGACCAATGGCTGTTTCTAGAAAAATTTTAGTTGTAGTTTTAATTTGATTGTCTTGAGCATGGTGATAGATTGACTTTTTTTTTTTTTAAGACAGTCTTACGCTGTTGCCCAGGCTGCAGTGCAGTGGCACGATCTCAGCTCACTGCAGCCTCCACCTCTTGGGTTCAAGTGATTCTCCTGCCTCAGCCTCCCGAGCAGCTGGGATTACAGGTGCGCGCCATCACACCCAGCTAATATTTATTTATTTATTTATTTTGAGATGGCGTCTCGCTCTGTCACCCAGGCTGGAGTGCAGTGGCGCGATCCCTGCTTACTGCAGCTTCTGCCTCCCAGGTTCGAGAGATTCTCCTGCCTCAGCCTCCCAAGTAGCTGGGACTACAGGTGCGTGCCACTACACGCGGCTAATTTTTTGTATTTTTAGTAAAGACTGGGTTTCACTGTGTTAGCCAGGATGGTCTTAATCTCCTGACCTCGTGATCTGCCTGCCTTGGCCTCTCAAAGTGCTGGGATTACAGGCATGAGCCACTGTGCCTGGCCGCACCCGGCTAATTTTTGTATTTTTAGTAGAGACGGGGTTTCACCAGTTGGCCAGGCTGGTCTGAAACTCCTCACCTCAGGTGATCTGCCTGCTTCAGCCTCCCAAAGTGCTGAGATTACAGGCGTGAGCCACCGCGCCTGGCCTAGAGTGACTTTCTTAAAGCTCTGTGTCTCCTGGAAATGGAATGTATCCCAAATGAGGATTATTTTTAAGCTTTATAATAAAATCTTTCACAGCATAGACTTTTTTTTTTTTTTTTTTTTTGAGACGGAGTCTTGCTCTGTTGCCCAGGCTGGAGTTCAGGGGCGCAATCTCGGCTCACTGCAAGCGCCGCCTCCCAGGTTCATGCTATTCTCCTGTCTGTCTCCTGAGTAGCTGGGACCACAGGCGCTCGCCACCACACCCGGCTAATTTTTTGTATTTTTAGTAGAGATGGGGTTTCACCATGTTAGCCAGGATGGTCTCAATCTCCTGACCTCGTGATCTGCCCGCCTCGGCCTCCTAAAGTGCTGGGATTACAGGCATGAGCCACCGCGCTTGGCCCACAGCATAGACTTTTAAAGACCATGTAGGCAAGAACAGATCTTTAAAGGGAAACCTCAGTTTGGCTTTTGAAAGTTCATCTGATTGAAGTTAAACTGATGAAACATACTCCATCCATGCATTACCAAAAACGTTGGAGCACGGCATGGCAGTAGTATCTAAAACAGATTGGCAAACTATGGGTCTAAGAATAGTTTTTATGTGTTTAAAGGATTGTAAAAATAAGCAAAGAAGAATATGTGACCCATGAAACATAAAATAGTTACTGTCTGGCTCTTTATGGGAAAAAAGTTTGCCAACTCTTGGCTTAAAGGGTCAAGAATGCTTTACCAAAAAACAAACAACCCCCTCCCCCCTACAACTGTAATGTTTGAGCAGGAGTTTTACAAGATAAAGAATTTTGATCTTGAGGGGATTTGGGTGAGGATGGGGCGGTGCAGTGGGAGAGAGAGTATAGATACTGTTCATCACACCCAGTGCAGTCGGCTCTGGTGGGAACATAGGGTGACCTCAGTGTGTGGTGAGGACAGTGATCATGGCCCCTTTTACAAGTTGAAGCTTAGTTCTGGAGTGGTGGACCATCAGAAGCTTTTAAGTAGGAGAATGTCAATGTCATAAATTAGAGTTAATTGTGAGAAATTGAAATAAGTATTCCATTTTTTTCTGAGATGTGCTCTCCTGAACTTATAAAGTAGTTCTTCAGAAGTGTTTGCAGTGTTCACAAGACACTGGCTCTGTGGTATTTGACATGCAGATGGGCCCAGAATTCCTGACTTAAGGCTAAAGATTTATCTTGAGCTTATCATGATGTGGGCTTATGATTGTTTTGATCAGCAGCTGACATCTGTGAAGCCTCAGTGATCCTATAAATTGAGGAACCTGAGAGAATCAAGAGAAAGACAACAATTCTTGCTGATGTCAGTAACTGTATTTCACCTGTTAAACTTCTGCATGGAGGAGGTCAGTGTTGTCTGCTGTGTCAGCATCAGCCTACCTGGGTGTGGACGTATTCTTTGGGAGATGAAACGTAGAAAAGGTACCCCGAGTCCATTACACATTCTGGATTCCCAGAAATAAGACATCTCTGAGGGCAGAACCTTTACAGTCACTTACATCAAGAAGGAATTCTTCAGGAGAAAGCTCGGTAAAGGTATCTTAACTTTGTATGTATACCCAGAGAAAACACATAAAGATAAAAATAAAATAATTTTCCTCATTATCCCCACACCATTAGCATCTTGGTGTATAGTCTTTGCATCTTTTTTCAGTATGTATGCACTTAGATCATCTTGTAGGACGCCAGTCCCATGCATTATACACTTTGTATCTCACAGTGGAGTGGAGGACAGCCTGATCCTTAAGGGGATGCCGAATTGCTGCATCCCCATGATTTTTGCTGCTTTGATTCTTCTCATGAGCCCCGTTGCTGCTGTCTGTATTAGCGTCCTTCTGAGCAAACAATGGGTACCTTTTTTTTTTTTTTTCTTAAGAGAGAGTCTTGCTATGTTGCCTCAGGCGGGAGTGCAGTGGCTATTCACAGGTGCTGTCGTACTGCCCTGGATGATAGTACACTGCAGCCATGAAGTCCTGGGCTTAAGCAGTTTTCGCCTCAGCCTCCTGAGTAGCTGGGACATTAGGCCCGTGCCGCCATGCCTGGCTCTTGACCATTCCCACAAGCCACACCTACAAGGAGCTCAAGGAGCTGTTTGCGCTGTAGGCGGTTTTTTTTTTTTTTTTTTTTTTTTGGTTTTTGTTTGTTTTTGTGCAGAGGTCAGATCTCTTGTCTCATAGTGCAAAGGCGATGAAGGCCTTCATTACAGTCTCTCAATTTGACTCTCAGTTTGATCGGAAGTTGCTAAGATGGGCTGACATTGTGAGGAGGATACTGCTACAGCAGTAGTGTGTGTGTGTGTGTGTGTGTGTGTGTGTGTGTTTGTACAGACTGTCTCACTCTGCCACCCAGGCTGGAGTGCAGTGGTGCAGTCATAACTTACTGTAACCTTGAACTCGTGGGCTCAAGTGATCCTCCTGCCTCAGCCTCCCGAGTAGCTAGGACTGTAGGCTTGTGCCACCATGCCTGGCCCTTTTTTTTTTTTTTTTTTTTTTTTTTTTTTGTACAGACAGGGTCTTGCTGTGTTGCTAAGGCTGGTCTCAAACTCCTGGCCTCAAGTGGTCTTCCTGCTTCAGCCTCCCAAAACACTGGTATTACAGGAGTGAGCCAGAGCACCTGGCCTGAAGCTATATATTATTGTTAACTGCAGTCATCCGACAGTGCTATAGAACACTAGACTCTGTTCCTGTCTAGCTCTCTCCCCATTTTTCCCATCCTCCTACCCTTCCTAACCTCTAGTATCCTGTGTTTACTTTTGACTTCTGTGAGATCAACTTTTTTTAGCTTCCACATGTATTAGTGAGAACATGTGGTGTTTAACTTTCTGTTTTTGGCTTATCTCACTTAATATAGTGTCCTCCACTTCTATCCATGTTGCTGTGAACGACAGGATTTCATTCATTTTTATGGCTAAATAGTAGTCCATTTTGTATAGATACCACATTTTCTTCATCTGTTGTTGGACACCTAGATTGATTCCCTGTTTGGCTATTGTGAATAGTGCTACGGTAAATATGGGGTATAGATGTCTCTTTGATGTCATGATTTCCTTTCCTTTGGATAAATTCCCAGTAGTGGGATTGCTGGATCATATGGTAGTTCTATTTGTAGCTTTTGAGGAAATTCCATACTGCTCTCCATAGTGGCTGTACTAGTTTACATTCCTACCAATAGTGTGTAAGAGTTGCCTTTTCTCAGGCCGGGCGTGGTGGCTCACGCCTGTAATCCCAGCACTTTGGGAGGCCGAGGGGGGCGGATCACGAGGTCAGGAGATCGAGACCATCTTGGCTAACACGGTGAAACCCTGTCTTTACTAAAAATACGAAAAATTAGCCGGGCACGGTGGCGGGCGCCTGTAATCCCAGCTACTCAGGAGGCTGAGGCAGGAGAATGGCGTGAACCCAGGAGGCGGAGCTTGCAGTGAGCCGAGATAGCGCCACTGCAGTCCGGCCTGGGCGAAAGAGCGAGACTCCGTCTCAAAAAAAAAAAAGTTGCCTTTTCTCTGCATCCTGGACAGTATTTGTTATTATTTATTTGTTTATTTATTTAGTTTTGAGGTGGAGTCTCGCTCTGTCGCCAGGTTGGAGTGCAATGGCACAATCTCGGCTCACCACAATCTCCGCCTCCCAGGTTCAAGCAATTTTCCTGCCTCAGCCTCCCGAGTAGCTGGGATTATAGGCATGTGCCACCACGCCTGGCTAATTTTGTATTTTTAGTAGAGACGGGGTTTCTCCATGTTGATCAGGCTGGTCTCGAACTCCTGACCTCAGATAATCCGCCCGCCTCAGCCTCCCAAAGTGCTGGGATTACAGGTTTGAGCCACTGTGCCTGGCCTGTATTTTTGATAATAGCCATTCTAACTGGGGTGAGATGATACCTCATTGTGGTTTTGTTTTGCATTTCCTTGATGATTAGTGATACTGAGCATTTTTTATGTATTTGGCCATTTGTATGTCTTTTGAGAAATGTCTGTTCAGGTAATCCCCCTGCCCCGGCTTTTTTCTTTTCTTTTCTTTTCTTTTTTTTTTGAGACGGAGTCTCACTCTGTCACCCAGGCTGGAGTGCAGTGGTGTGATCTTGGCTCACTGCAACCTCCACCTCCAAGGTTCAAGTGATTCTCCTGCCTCAACCTCTTGAGTAGCTGGGACTACAGGCGCACACCACCACGACCTGCTAATTTTTGTATTTTTAATAGAGATGGGAGTTTGCCATGTTGGCCAGGCTGGTCTTGAACTCCTGACCTCAGTTGATCCACCCGCCTCGGCCTCCCAAAGTGCCAGGATTACAGGCGTGAGCCACCCACCTGGCCAATTTGCCCATTTTTTAATTGGATTTTTTTTTTTTGCTGTTGAGATGTGTGAGTTCCTTGTATATCAATCCCCTGTTGGATGAATAGTTCGCAAATACTTTCTCCCATTCTGTAGGTTGGCTTTTCATTCTATTGTTTCCTTTGTTTTGCTGAAGCTTTTTAGCTTGATATAATCCCATTCATTTATGTTTGCTTTTGTTGTCCGTGCTTTTCAGTTACTCATCAAATCTTTTCCCAGACCAATGTGATGAAGCATTTCCCCTATGTTTTGTAGTAGTTTTATCATTTGGGTCTTATATTTAGGTCTTTGATTCATTTTTAGTTCATTTTTGTATAGGATGAGAGGTGGAGGTCTAGTTTCTATTTTCACTCTTCTGCATATGGATATTTAATTTTCACAGCACCATTTGTTGAAGAGACTGTCCTTTCCCCAATGAATGTTCTTGGCGCCTTTGTCAAAAATCAGTTGGCTGTAGATATGCAGGTTAATTCCTGGGTTTTCTATTCTTTTCCATTGGTCTGTGTATCTGTTTTTATAGACACATACCAGTTGTTTTATAGACCAGTACCGTGTCGTTTTGCTTACTACAGCTTTGTAGTATATTTTAAGGTTTGGTAGTGTGATACCTCCAGCTCTGTTCTTCTTGCTCAGCATTGCTTTGGCTATTTGGGGTCTTTTGCAGTTTCATACAAATTTTAGGATATTTTTTCTATTTCTGTGAACAATGTCATTGGTATTTTGATGGAGATTGCTCTTTTAATTATCTTGATTTCTTTTTTTCCCCCCCAAGACAGGGTCTCACTTCGTTATCTAGGCTGGAGTGCAGTGGCATGATACAGCTCAGTGCAGCCTTGACCTCCTGGACTTAGGTGATCCTCCCACCTCAGCCTCCTGAATAGCTGGGACTGCAGGCACATGCCACCACATCTGGCTAATTTTTTGTACTTTTTTTTGTAGAGACGGGGTTTTGCCATGTTGCCCAGGCTGGTCTCGAGCTCCTGAGCTCAAGCGGTCCACCCACCTCAGCCTCCCAAAGTGCTGGGATTACAGGCATACACCACTGCACCTGGCCTCTTTTCAATTTCTTGATGGTGTTCTTTGATGTACAAAAGTTTTTAACTTTAAATGAAGTCCAGTTTATCTACTTTTTCTTTGGCTTATTGTGCTTTTGGTATCCTTTTCTTTTCTTTTCTTTCTTTTTCTGAGACAGAATCTCGCACTGTTGGCCAGGCTGTAGTGCAGTGGCACAATCATGGCTCACTGTAGCCTCGACCTCTAGAGCTCAAGGGAGCCTACTGCCTTAGCCTCCTGAGTAGCTAGGGCTACAGGCGGTACCATTATGCCTGGTTAATTTTTTAAATTATTTTTTGTAGAGACAGAGTTTTACTATGTTGCCCGGGCTGGTCTCAAACTGCTGGGCTCAAGCAGTTCTCCTGCTTCAGCCTCCTAAAGTGTTGGGATTACAGATGTGAGCCACTGTTCCTGGCTTGGAGTCATTTCTAAGAAACCATTGCCTAATCCAAGGTCGTGAAGATTTACATCTTTCTTCTAAGAATTATATAGTTTTAGTTCTTTTCTGCTGTGATCATGTGTGTATGTGTTGGTTTTTTATTTTTATTTTTTTGAGACTGGGTCTTGCTGTATTGCCAGGCTGGAGTGCAGTGCTTATCCATAGCCATGATCATAGTGTACTGCAGCCTTGAACACTTGGGCTCAAGTGATCTTTCTGCCTTAGCTTCCCAGGTAGTTAGGACTACAGTGCATACCACTGTGCCTGGCTTATTGTGTGATCTATTTTGAGTCAATTTTTGTGGTGTGAGATAGGGGTCCAGTTTCATTCTTTTACATGTGTATATTTACATTTTGTAGTTCATTTGTTGAAGGGACTACTTGTATTAGTCTGTTCTCATACTGCTATAAAGAAATTCCCCAGACTGGGTAGTTTTTAAAGGAAAGAGGTTTAATTGATTCACAGTTCTACATGTCTGGGGAGGCCTCAGGAAACTTACAATCAAGGCAGACGGGGAAGCAGGCACGTCTTACATGGCAGCAGGCAAGAAGGAGCGTGTGTGAGTGCAGGAAAAACTACCATTTATAAAACCATCAGATCTGGTGATAATTCACTCACTGTCATGAGAACAGCCTGGGGACACCACCACTATAATCCAATCACTTCCTTCCCTTGACACATGGGGATTACAATTCGAGATGAGATTTGGGTGGACACAGAGCCAAACCGTATTACTATTCTTTCTCCATTGAATGGTCTTGGTGCCCTTATCAAAAATGTATTTTCCATAAAAAAACACCAATTGACCATAAATATAAGGGCTTATTTCTGGACTCTAAATTCTATTTTTTTTTTTTTAAGAAACAGGGTCTCACTCTGTTGCCCAGGCAGGAGTGTAGTGATGCCATCTCAGTTCTCTTCAACCTCCGCCTCCTGGGCTCAGGTGATCCTCTCACCTCAGCCCCCCAAGTAGCTGGGACTACGAGCACATGCCACCACCCTCGCCTAATTTTTGTATTTTTTGTAGAGATGGGGTTTTACCATGTTGGCCAGGCTGGTCTCGAACTCCTGAGCTCAAGCAGTCCACCCTCCTCAGCCTCCCAAAGTGCTACGATTACATGCATTAGCTACCATACACCGATTGTACAGGCCACAGGCTAGCCCCACACACCAGATTTTGAAGATTAAGTGTGGTTTAAAAAAATGCAAAATATCCTGTTAATAATTTTTGATAATATTACATGTTGAAATGATAAAGTTTAATGTTGTGTTAAATAATACACAGTAAATTTTACTGACTTCTTTTTACTCTTTAATTGTAGCTGCTAGGAGATTTAAAATTATTTTTGTGATTCTCGTATTTCTGTTGGACCAGAGGTATTTTTTAATAGCATGACATTCTGTTACATGGTTGATTATATGATGATCATATGATTGTGGCAGTTTCTTGATTCGATTCTCTGTTGTTGGACACTTAGGTTGTTTCCAGTCTTCTCTGTTTTCCACGGTGCTGTGATGACTGACACTGTGGATGGGTAGTCATGCACTCCTGTGCCCGCTGCCAGGAAAGAGCTCATAAGGAGGACCTGGGAAGCATTTGCTGCACTTCTGAATCTAGCGCATGCAGACTCGACCCTGTGGGTCGAGCTTTGGTGAGAAGTGGTTGGATTTGGAACGTATCTTGAAGACGAAGCTGACTGTCTTTGCTGATGGATTGGATGTATGGCATGTGAGGAAGGGGGTCCTTTATGATCTAAGGAATTGGATGGTGCCATTTCCTGAGCCAGGCATTGCCAGAGGCAGATCAGAGAGGAACGGGTACCAAGGGCTCAGTGTTGGACCTGTTAGGTTTGAGATGCCTTTTTGATGCTCAAGTGGAGATGTTGAGTTGGTTATTGGATATACAGGTCTGGGGGAATTACAGGGAAAGGGGTGCTGGAGATATATTTGAGAATTATGAAAAGCTGTTTGAGCATCAAGCAGGATGGGTGAGACTTGACCACTGGATTTTGCAACTTGAAGGTCTTTGGGGACTTGGACAAGACTGGTGTCAGGAGGCATGACAAGTGGAAGTTTTCAGGGGAGAATGGGATGTGTGTGTTAACAGCTTCTTGAAAGAGTTTTCTCTAAAGTAGAATGATGGGGGAGTGGGGGTGCTGGGGACACATTAGCACTTACCGTGCTCTGGAAGGCAGGGTGTTCAGGAGGGAGGTTGACAGAGGAGGGCCTGGGATCCAGTGCCAGAGTAGAGGGTGGACCTTGCCCATGGGATCTGGAGGGAGGGCAGAGTAGACAGGCAGGCCTTCCTTTCAGCAGTGGGAGGAGGAGAAAATACCAGCTTGCCCCTTTCCAAAAGCTGAGAGTAAGGGTGACAAGGGGGAAAGAGGTATTATAGGTATGCTATGGAGTTAAAGGTAAAGTTTGCATGAATTTCGAATACAAAATGTAATACTTCATATCCATTGAGTTGCTTCAAAGTGCTTATCCTCAGGGTTCTCTCTCCTGTGCCTTTGGGGGTACTTTGGTGAAAAAGTTTGAGAAGCCACTTCATTATTGTAGTCTATTGTTACGTTGTTAAGTCTCACCCAAGTGAGTATTTAACCTTAAAGAGTTTGAGATTCACTTGCCTATTTTGTTATCCATAATAGAGCTTTTGCAGCTGCTCCAAATATCCCTCCATTTGTGCATCTTAATAGTTGTTTGGCAATCACCTTATTCTGCACTGGGAAGGCTGGAGAGGGGTGGGGAGCTGCGGGGTGTCTGGAGGCAGTATGGCGAGCTCGAGATTCCCACCCTTTCAGAGATGAGGTGGTGGAGGCAGGCAGGGCCTACTAGGCTTCTGAAGCAACACTCGCCAGGGACATTTTAGTGACCTTTTCCCCGTGTTCTCAAAACACTTTACAAATACACCATTTGTCTTTAATTCTGGCAGGGTGGTTTGGGTGAGCTGGGGGTAGTGCTGTTAGCCAACCTTTTACAATATTTAACAATCAGTAGAGATTAAAAGCTGTTTGGCCTCTTTCCCATTGATCACATAGCCTTTTTCTTTTTGTACAATTTTAGTATGATTAACCCTCCCACCCCCATTAAAGTTCTTCAGCCTTCTTAGTAGAAAGCTCTGTGAAGTTTGATTCACCCACGGAAGTTACTTCATGGAGTGGAAGCATTTGAGAAATCAGATCTTGGCTTTCTTCTTGTGGACAGATCAGGTGGCTGAGGCCTGGAGGGAGCTTGATTTGAGATGAGTAGTTTGTATGCCTGACTAAGTCAAGTAGCCACTTACTTCCCTTCACACTTAATCAAATCCTAACTCTCTAACTGAAACTTTGTACCATTTGACCAGTACCTCTCCTTTCCCCATTCCCCCGCTCCCAGCCTCCGTAACCACTGTTCTACTCTACGCTTCTTCACCTTCTACTTTCTTAGATTCCACATATAAATAAGACCATGTGGTATCCGTCACATATTTCACTTAGCATAATGCCCTCCAGGCTCTTCTGTGGCCATGGATGATAATCATGTATTGTATATTTCAAAATTGCTAAAGAGTAGATCTTAAATGTTTTCATCACAAGAAAAGGAACTTGGTGAGGTGATGGATAGATTAACTAGTTTGATTTAATCATTTCACAATGTATACATAGATCAAAACATCCCATTGTATCTTATAAATAAATACAATTTTTTTTGTCAATTAAATTTTTTAAAAATTACAAGAGGCTGAGGTGAGGTTACAGTGAGCTGTGATCATGCCACTGCACTCCAGCCTGGGTGACGGAGCAAGACTCTGTCTCTAAAAAAAAAAAAAGTGAAGTTAAAAATTAATTAATTTAAAAAAATCCCAACTCTTCCATCACCCCAGCCCTGCATCCTTCTCCCTTCCCCCAAGACCCCCTCCCCTGCCACTATGCTCTGATTCCTAGAGCGGTGTGTCCCTGTCCTGCCACTCTTGCTGTGCCTGTGGCTGTCCCTGTTCCTTGGGTAGCTTCCCTGTTACTCCTCAGGGGCTTCCCTGGCCACCCTCTGCTCGGGCCCTTCCTGAGTGTTACATCAGCACCTTTCTTGCCCGCACCCACCACCAGCCACAGCTTGTGTTTGCCGTGTGAGCCGGAGCACTTGTTTGTCACCTCACGGTCTTCCCCTCCATGAGGGCAGGCACGGCAGTCTTGCTTTCATTCTTGCTTTCATGCAGTCTACCCAGCTGTGGGCGAGATGTGTGCACATCGCTCAGCATGTTTGTAGAATGAACACATGTATAAACTAGACTTGAATGGAGATTATTGTTCTCTCCTGGCCATTAAAGGTGCTTCTTCCTGCTGCTCATTTACATCTCAGGTGTTACCATCTCTGGCCAGTGCCTGCCCTGTTGTTGTCATCTAACAGTCATGGGACCACACCTTTGTGACTCTCAGGGCCAGAGGTGTTTGGGAATGTGGAATTTTTGAGATTTTTAGAACAGAAATAGTGAAAGTACCGTATAGTATAGGACATCCTAGGCAGCACCATATAATCAAGCACATTAAGATTTTTGCAGCAAAAAGTATATGAATATTCACACTAAGTGGGACAGTGAGACTATGAATAGCTTCACATCAGATCAGGGCATACCGCCAAGTGAGTTATGAACATGCTTTCAGTTTTCAGAGAGCTTTTTGGATTTTCAAATTGCAGAGAAGGGATTATGGACCTGTCTTAGTGAGCATCTGCTTGTCACGCATTATGCAGCGTGCTGAAATACAAAGGAAGAAAACATCACGCCTGCCCTCCCGTGTAGGGGGTGGGTGGTCACCACATGCGGGTGGTGAGCCCATGCTGGGAGGGCACTCCCGGCAGGTCCTGTTGTTCTCCCTGTCATCTCCCCCTTTCCTTTGCGAGCGTCCTCTACAGGTGCGGTTTCAGGTGAGCCACATGGGGGGCTGGCAGAAGGGGCACTGCATTGTGACGCAGGGTCAAATGTGTCCCTCTCAGAGTGTAGGAGGTAACCGTTCTGGATCGCCTGGATCCTGCCCTTGGGTCTGGCTGCCCGGGTCCAAGGAGGAAAGGGCCGACTCCAGGTGATGCTGCAGACCAGGAGCGCTGCCCTCACTTCCTAACCTTCTGCACTTGGGTGCCGGGGCCCCCTCTCTGCAGTCACACACTCTGCCCTCTTAGCTGGGCCTAGAGCTTTAAACATTAACTGGATTCAACATACGTTTTTCTGACTTTTTAAATATAATGAGTATAGTTTTATTTTAATGTTTTTCAGATGCATTTTGATGTAGGTAGGTACCTTTACATTTTAAAAATTTATTTGCTTTCTGAAATGGGACCAGCATATATATATATATATATATATATATATATATATATATATATTTTTTTTTTTTTTTTTTTTTTTTTTTTTTTGACAGGTTCTTGCTCTGTCACCCAGGCCAGAGCACAGTGGTGCAATCACAGCGCACTGCAGTGCAGCCTCAATCTCCTGGGCTCAAGCGATCCCCCACCTCAGCCTCTTGAGTAGCTGGGGTTATAGGCACCCACCACCACACTTGGCTAAGTTTTAAAAAATTTTTTTATAGAGACAGGGTCTCACTATGTTGACTAGGCTGGTCTTGAACTCCTGGGTTCAAGCAGATCCTCCTGGCTCAGCCTCCCAAAGTGCTGAGATTACAGGCATGAACCACCACACCCTCCTGGTACCTGCATTTTGAAAATGTTTCATTGCCAAGCCTGCAGGGAAGTCTGCCCTTTTTTTATTAGAAAATGAAGAGCTAATTCTGAAATATGCCTACTAAATATGCATATCTCAAGCACTTTAAAAGGATGTAGGGTGAAATAGTCTGTTCCTGAAGCAAATATCACTGTGTGTTCATTCCATTATTTCCGTAGCTTTTCTGTGGCTTTTGATAAGTTGTGTAGAATGTATTAAGTCTCATCTGAAAATGTATATTAAAGATTGTTCTTTTAATTTAAAATGATTTGTCCAAGGTACTTGACTTAATGATTCAAGATTTAATGAGCCGTGACACTTTTAGTAACACCGTCTCAATCTTTCAGATTTTATAAAAGATATTAAAGTTTTCAGAAAGTTGAGAATGGTCTTTTGTAATGTATTTTAAGATAGTTAAGAATAGAGTTTATATAATTAAGATTAGGATTTGTATTGCAAAAACTCCCTTCAAGACGCATTTTGGGCCTTTATGAGCGAGTAATCATGACAGGACAGAGTGGCTTCACCCACAGTTTTGTGGTTAATATTTGCAAGTCGTTTATTTAACAAGGTTGAAAAGAGGCTTCCTGGTGTCTTTTATAATTATCCTTTTCTGGGGACCAACTTATAAAGTAAAAAATACCTGGTGGCATTATCTTTGCTTCAGATGTATTATGTTTATGGAATTGGAAATGTTTGATTTCTTAGTGTGTGTGTATCAGTGGATTATGTAGTTTAAAATGTTTGCATCTGTATTGCATGCATAAACATGTCCGTTTCCAAGTGTGGCCTTTAAATACTCAGGGTTTTGTGGCCGGGCACGGTGGCTCACGCCTGTAATCCCAGCACTTTGGGAGCCCGAGGCAGGCAGATCATGAGGTCGGGAGTTCGAGACCAGCCTGGCCAATATGGTGAAACCCAGTCTCTACTAAAAATATAAAAATTAGCCGGGTGTGGTGGCGTGTGCCTGTAATCCTAGCTATTCGAGAGGCTGAGACAAAAGAATTGCTTGAACCCTGGAGGCGGAGGTTGCAGTGAGCCAAGATTGTGCCACTGCACTCCAGCCTGGATGACAGAGTGAGACTCCATCTCAAATAAAATAAAATACAATAAAATAAAAGACTGAGGGTTTTTTAAAAGGTCATAATAGAAAAATTTTATGTGTTTTAATTGTTTAAATGTTTTCTTCGGGATTAAAAAAACCTGAATGTATTCTGGGAAAATGTTAAATGGATGCAACACTATAAGATTTTCCACAGAAATATGTTATTCACCGTGAAGCACAATGGGAAGGCTCCATTAGCACTTTAGATGGTATCATAACTTTGGAAAAACCATTTCACCATGCGAGTATTTACAAAAACTGAAGCTGTCCCTGTCAGGTTTTGACAGAGCTTAGCTATATAGGTAGTAAGTGACGCAGTGCCAAAACCAGTCTTAAATTACCTATGTTGTCAATATGCAGATTTTCTCTATTTAGTATTTAAGCTATGAATTTACCAATCTGAGTAACTTGAAATGCAGTATCATAAAAAGAATCAGATCTACCAAACTGAAAATGTGTGCGTATCTAAAGTAGTTTCTTTTCTTGATTTTGGTTAAGTTAACAGGAGTATCTTCACATCTGTAATTTCTGGTAACTTAATGAGAACACACTGAACTTTTGGGTCACAATAAATTTTCCCATTATGTAAAATATTTTACACACCGGTTGACTCATTGTGAATTGTGAGTCGACATGATTCTCTTCCTGCGGAAAACAGAAACACATGCTGGCCGGGCGCTGTGGCTTATGCCTGTAATCCCAGCACTTTGGGAGGTGAAGGCGGGTGGATCACCTGAGGTCAGGAGTTCGAGACCCAGCCTGACCAACATGGAGAAACCCTGTCTCTACTAAAAATACAAAATTAGCCGGGCATGGTGGCACATGCCTGTAATTCCAGCTACTGGGGAGGCTGAGGCAGGAGAGTTGCTTGAACCCGGGAGGCAGAGGTTGCGGTGAGCCGAGATCACGCCATTGCACTCCAGCCTAGGCAACAAGAGTGAAACTCCATCTCAAAAAAAAAAAAAAGAAACACATGTTATTGTAATGATGATTTGAGCCAATTACAGGATTGTGCTTATGTTACCACATTGACTAGGTGCTTTCTGTGAGTTGGGTTGTTGAAGAGTTTGAGGTAGACAGATGGCAGTGGGTGGGAATGAGCGGGGAGCTTTTGTTAGGTTTAGGGAATGTGGTCTTTCCACCATCATTTAGTTGTTTATTTTATGCATAGGCTTATTTTCGTTCTTGTGAGCATTATGTTGAGTTAATGTGTTTTCTTTGACCTCAAACCTTCTGAAATGTTTCTGGGTCTTAAAGATTCAGGTATTATTTATTTCATAGTAGACAGAATCAAGTAAATGAATACTTTCTTGGGGGAGAGTGTTGATAAGTTCCATAGCGACACCTCTCCCTCATGATTAAAAGTGCTACATTTGCACAAATATGTGACTTATATTTTATATTAAAATTAAGATCAACTTTTTTCTTGAGAAGTTGTTGAACTTTTAGATTTGGGAGAGGGGGAGTTCTCACAGGAATTATGAATTGTTTTGACTAGTGAGAAGCTTATTTAACATTTTTGGAAGGAGTACCCCAAAAGTAATGCATCTTTTGGCATAGTGGAAACTTGCAGTAACGTTTTCTTGTTGTTTTTTAATTGATTGGGTGACCTGCATCTCATTAAGTGGTGTCTATTGGATGTTTGGCCTTTGGCTTGATTGTGTCCGCTTTTAAAAAATAACTTTATTGAAATCGTCACATTCCATACAATTACCTATTTAAAGTGTCCATGTCTGTGGTTTTTAGTATATTCACAGAGTTGTGCAGCCATTGCCTACTTTGGACATTCTATGGAAATGCGGTTGACAGGATGTGTTTTCTGTGTGCAGTCTCTGTCACTAAGCACCATATTTTCATTCATATTGTGCATGTATGCATCGGTTGTTCCTTGTTAATGTCGAATATTATTCCATTGTGTGGATGTTCCACATTTTATGTATTTGTTAGTCCATTGATAGACGTTTGGGTTGTTTCTACTTTTTGGCTGTTGTGTGATAGCGCTGCTGTGAACATTCATGTACAGGTTTTTGTGTGGACATGTCATTTCTCTTGGGAATATACCTAGGTTGTTTGTATCTGCTTTTGCTGCTTCTTTTACCTACAGTTCAGATTCCCATTTATGTTTGTACAGACAGTTTGCTACTTGTGACTGGGGCTTGTTTGACCTTTGTTGCTGACCTAGCGACTTCTTGTGTCATGTTTAAAGCCCCTGAGACCCTCTGTTGCCTAGAGAAACAGGCAGAATTGCAGTCTCTTTCCTTCCTAAGACCAGATCACATCTGGTGGTCATGAAATGGTCTTATCCTGTATAGATTTTTGGTAAATAAGTATGTATCTAAGCCAAATAAATTTTGTGTGTATTTTATATTATTTTTCTTCTCTCTGCTTCCTCTTGGGGACATCCTTTGTTCTGTGGCCCCAGTGGCACCTAGAGTGAATATGAATGATTTGTCTATGTTTTCCCTTCAGGCGGAATGCCGATTACTTGGATTTTTTCTTGTTAATTTTGGTGACTGAGTTGCCTGTTTTTGAAGTGAAAAATACCTGCAGATAGTAGGGTTGCCCTTTAGCATTTTAAGTGTCTAAATGAGACCTATTGGGATGTTTCCATAGTTTGCATCAAATTCATGTAAATGCGCGTTAATGATGTTAGCTAGTCTGCCTGAGCTAAATTACTAATTTCATTACTACTATTTAATAAAGGGGCAGGATTTGCCATGGTCATTCTAGTTAATGGTAAGAGCCCTGTAGGTCTCTCATCATATATCTAAGCTGAATTAAGGTTGAAAATATTACTGAGTGCCTTGTGGCTCTATTTGGTAACAGTCATGCCTTACATTTTGAGACAGCTAATCCTTTTACACACCAGGTGACTCATGTGAATTGTGAGTAGACACGATTCTCTTCCTGCAGAAAGAGAATGCATTCAGTCAGTTGAAAATCAACATCATGTGGTTTGTAGGATAGGTCTTACTCCTTTCTTAGACAAGGAATCTGGGATCCAGAAGGAGTGAGCGGTTGGTTAGGAGGAGTCAGTGCCAGAGGGAGGCAGCATGCCCTTTCTGCTCTGCCCACGCTGTGAGGACACCGGGCCGTGCCTTCGCCAGGAGGAGGTCATGCCAAGTCCAAAGCGTCAGGCCGCTCAGAGCCAAGCAGCTTTGCTGGAGCACCCACTGGTGCACTTGGAAAGTGATTTCTCCTGTTAAAGCCTCGCTGCCACCTCAACTGTAAACTGGAGACAGTAGGAAGCCACCTTCACAGGCCTGCGGGGACCTGGCACCCGTGCACCAAACCTTGCTGCCCTTAATCAGATGGTCGAATTGAGAGGCAGTTGGAAGGGTCCTGTGGTGTGCTCCTTCTGGGACCTTCTGCCACCCCTTGGAGGCAGGTTGCGCCCCTGCCCGTCTCTTCCCACCAGTGGACACTCCCTTCAGCCCTGGGCCAGCTGTGGGGCCCTCCTCTGTAGGCGCTGGCTGTTCCAGGAGGCACAAGAGTGTTGGTGTGGGACCTTCCCACTGCTCGAGATCCCCCACGGAGAGCCCACTCAGGCTACGCTTGGGCTTCTGGCCGTGTGGGTCAGCGTCACAGGACGGACAGATCAATGGGGGAAGAGTCATCCTGCAGCGCTGCCACCACTGGAGGCTGGTGAGAGTGGCGCTGCCACAGAGAACAAGCCTTGATCCCTGACTTGAAAGTCAGAGTTCTTCTGGAACTTCTGTGGGGAGTGCCCAGAGTGGCACCTAAATACGTCTAGAAGCGCTTGATGAAAGTTCCTCTGAGGCTTTTAAACTGCTTGAGTGAGTCTCTCTGAAGCACGGTGATGGCAAAAGGAAACCACCTCACGCTACCTCTTTGTGCCTTCTCTTCTCTCCTCATCTCCTGTAGGCCGTAGGTGTTCCCTGTCAGGAATTTACGCGGAGGCATGTCTGCTGTGGCCAAATGTGTTCATTCATTCATATCTCACAGTAAGAGGGAAGGATGGGGGAGGAAGACTGCTGTATTTCCTTAAAAGTTTTTCTGTAACTCGAATCCCTCCCACCCCCGTGAGGTAACAACGTCTTTTCCAGTTGGTGTCAGTGAACTCTGTTTTGGGTATCTACAAAAGCAGAAGGGGAGGTTAGGATGTGGCTGGAGGAGGCTGGTTCCTGGGTGTAAATCCTGGCTCTTCTGCTTGAACTGACTGTGCCTCAGCATCCTCGTCTGTCTGGTGGAGCCGCCTCACAGAGGAACAAGTGAGTTGTGCGTGTGGAGCAGGTGGCTGACATGTGGTGAGTCCTCCAGGAATGTGGCAGCAGAAGGAACACGTTGAGCACCGCAGATACCACCCTGACCGCCACTGCAGGGCTTCTGTGCGGGGGCAGCTGCAGAGCCGCCGCTTCAGGACAGCATGGGAGCTGCTGGAGGTCGGGGGAGCTCAGGGAAAGGGCCTTGCTGCCAGGGGTGGGAAGGGAGTCAGTGAAGACGTCCTGGAGGAGAAGATTCCAGAGCCTGAGATGTGAAGTAGGTTAGGTAGCCAGAGACAAGGCAAAGAAGGGCCATTTTCATCAGAGAACAGCATAACATTGGCAGAGGTCTGACATGTCATTTCCTGTTACTAGAATTGGGGAGTGACCAGTAGATTCTTTAATTTGTTTATTCATTCGTGCAGTCCTTCACCTCACACCTGTTCAGGGTCCGGCTGGGCTCTGGACATAGGGTGGAAGAAAACCATCTGAGCAGAGGCCGCGTGGACTGTCACCTCTGTCAGGGGTGCCAGGGCTGCCAAAGGACAGCTGTTACTTATGGGTGGCGGCGTGGTGAGGTCGCACAACACAGAGCTGCCCTGCTGTGTCCATGCCCTGGTGCCTCCCCGTGGTCACCATGTGCCTTGGGCAAATGGAGGCCTCAGGTCCCAGACATAGGCTCTGTCAGTGGTGGTGGCGGTGGCTGTACCTGCTCCGGGCTGCTGTGAGGGAGGGACGGGCTCCGGCCACAGGCGTGCAAGGTCCCCTTGCAGAGGACCTCCCGCACCTGCTGAGGAATGTGTACAGCCATCTGGAGGGTGTTCTCCCCCTGGCCCTCCCTGTAGTCCAGCTGAGTCCACGTCCTTCAGCCCCTTTTCAATGTTCCTTTCTCACAGAACCTTGTCCTGGAGGTGCACTCGGGCCCGGGTTCTTCCTCCTGTGCGGTGCCAAGCCCTCCTCCACCACGCATGATGGTGTGTTTTCCATGACTCTTCCTCCTAGAGCACCGGTGCCCGCCCTGACGGCGGTTCCCCACAGTCAGATTGAGTATCCCTTATCTGAAATGCTTGGGACTAGAAGTGTTTCAGATTCTGATCTTTTCGGATTTTGGCATATTTGAATATGCATAATTGGATATCTTGGGGATGAGACTTAAGTGTAAACACAAAATTCTTTTCATATACACCTTATACACATAGCCTGAAGGTAATTTTATGCAATATTCTTAAATATTTTGTGCATGAAACAGAGTTTTGACTGTGACCCGTCACGTGAGGTCAGTTGGGGAATTTTCCTCTTGTGGTGGTATGTTGGTACTCAGAAAGTTTCGGATTTTGGAGCAGTTTGGATTTTTGGATTAGGGATGCTCCATTTGAATATTCTTTTTATATACAGCACATGGTCAGTGCTCACTAAACTTAGTATTGCATGAATGAATGAAAACCAAAGGTCATTTACTAAGCGTGCTACTATTTCAGAAGCCTCTTTTTCCTGATTTGGTTCTATGGTCAGTGGTTTAATATTTCAAGTGCTCTGACCACGTAATGGTTGTTACCACACTGTGAAGGTGGCTGGGTGTTCAGTGATTGCTGCCCACAGAGGACCTGGAAGTGCTTGCTGTACTTGGTTTTCTGGAATGGAAATCATGGCTCATTCCCAGGAGCCCCTCAGCAGGGGCTTTGAGTCTGGTGCTAAGCAGCAGATGTGCAGATTCCCGCAGGGCGTACCTGAGCCCGGAGAGGGGGCGTCGTAGCGCACAGCGCACTCGTTTCCGCATTCCCACCCCGCACGGCCAGTTGTCACAGCCATCCTCCAGTAAAAAACACAAACCAGTCAACCTCTAGGAGACAGGTAGGAAATCTAGAAGAAGCCTCAGGTGTTCACAGCATTTTTTAAAGATTCTTTAAAAATCTTCGTGATTGGAAAGACTGCTTCCTGTGCCAGAGAGTCTCTCTCCAGCGCTTTTGCTTCTGAGGTTGGTAGCTTTCAGAAAGACTGCAATGCAGCGGTTACCAAAGTCCTTGTTAATATGGAAACAACTCGTGGTGAAGCCTTTTGCTCCCCTTCACAACTGCTGACTGTTGCCTGCAGTCGGAAGGAGGAGATAATGAAGGTAATACTCCTCCGGACCTGGCAGTTTAGTGATTAGAACGTACGCGATTCTGTGAATGCTGTGGCTGGCACAGCATGTCCTGCAGCAGCTCTGTCAACTTACTGATGCAGTGGGCTTCCTGGGAACGTGAAGCTGAAGATGTCTTTGCAGTTTGTGCACGATAATTTTGTTTTCATCTCTGTGTTCAGATGGTGGATTATAAGAAGGTAAGGGACTTTACAGATCATGCATATATGTATTTTAAATGTTTATGAATATCCCTAATCAAGGTAAAGAATTATGATTGAATAGACCTCTTTTGAACCTAAGAAATAAAACTTTATTTCTTGTTAATGACCCTTTTGACGTTTGAAGACTTATCTTATTTAGTCTTGACAAATGCCCTATATAAGTGAATTATTGAAGATGTTCTTTGAAGAGATCTGCTTTTTCTTTGATTTGCTAAACGTAGTTGGTTTCAGAGGTGTAGATACGCATAGAATATATTCATTTCTTTAACTTAAGCAATGACAGTTACATTAATCTGGATGGAACTTTTCGTCTTAAAAAATCTCAGCCACTGGCTGTAGATGATGAATTCTAATCTCCTTAGTTCTTATTTTGCCTTTAGAAGAGCATTTTCAGATGTGTGGAGCTCTGTGTTTATCCGTGGGGTGAGCTGGGTGCTACCTCCAGCTGCTGCTCTTCGTTTATCTTAGAGGGAGGCCAAGAGTCAGAGCGGAGATTTATTTTGCAATGAATTAGTGGCCCCAAACGGTATTAAATGCATTATGGGTGGTAATTTATATGTCCAATGCCAAGAAATATAATGTTGGGGTTACCATGGCAACTGCTTGCATTCTGAAAAGCTTGTGAATGGGTTCTGAACCTTCTGGCATTGGAAGTGAGCTTTTCCAGCTGAGGGCCTGCATTCGTGATTAGTGTAAATAAATTCAGCTTTCCATATGAAGCACATCCTTTCTCTTTGTTTACCAGAGTAGTCCATTGAGCTCAGTTCTTTCTCTGGTGATGTCTGCCTTGGTCTCTTGGTTCCTGGCAACAGAATATGGTTGAGACATAGTTTTCAACTTCAGGCTGAGGAACTAGCCTGTGTGTGTGTGATGACCTGCCACCTCAGTCCATGCACTGTGTAGAAGGGGCTGGCTCATCTGTACCTCCTGAGGGCTGGCAATGCATGATGTCTCCAAAAGCACAGTTGCAGCCGCATGTGCTGGTGGGCTCCTGGCACAGCTTTCTATCCATCTGAAGGGCTTGTTTCCGGTAACACTTGCTAGGGCTCTTCCTGGGAGGCAGCCCTGCCTGTTTCCAGGGTATCATGGGGATTGGTTTTGGGGAGGGAGGCCCAAGTTAGAAAGACCCATGTTTAAAATGTCAAGCTTGTGAAAATGATAAACGAGGGCCTATTGTCTTCATTGCCGAAGATCTGTTTGCTGTTTGTTAGAAATATATGTAGCATAGGCCGGGGATGGTGGCTCACACCTGTAATCCCAGCACTTTGGGAGACGAAGGCAGGAGGATCGCTTGAGCCCAGGAATCTAAGACCAGCCTGGGCAAAATAGCAAGACCTCATGTCTACAGAAAGATAAAATAAAATAAATAAATAAATAAAACTAGTTTCCCTTGTGCATTTAAAACAATGTTGACATCTTGATGGCCAGAGACTGAAATGTCTGTGTGTGATTTCAGGGGCCTGAGGTCGGAAGGTTGGAGCCTGGTGGTTGCTGCCGAGGCGGCAGCTCCTAGAGGGCCTGGCCAGACACTGGGAGAATGTTTTCATGCTCTGTAGAATTCATTCTCTTTGTTAATAAGCATTGAGATTATAGAATTTAAATGTTGAGCTTGAGGATAGACTGGCCTTGAGGCACACAGCGGGCATGCTGCTGTGGCTCACCTGTAGGCCTCAGTTAAGAATCTTTGTCTAATCCAATCCCTTTATTTTACAGATGAGGAAAATGAGGCCCAAAGAAGTGATGCCACTTGGTTAAGGTCCCAGAGCAGGTCAGAATCAGACCTAGGATCAGAAACCTGGCTCCTGGCTCCTGGCTCCCTACTCTTCTAAGGATCGCTGTCCTGACAGAAGAGGTTTGCTCTCAGTTAATTGATGTTGTTGTTGTTTTGCTTTCCTTTTGTCAGAAAGAGGCCTGTAATAACAACAGGCATCTAATTTAGACTCTGTAATTTAGAATTTTAAAAATTCTTGTCTTCCCTTCTTCTGGTTATTTATAGAATTTCTACTCAGTGTGCTGGAGTCACCCATAGGAGGGGCAAAGGGCATGACCTCTGCCCTTAACGCTGTGTGCTGTGATGAGAGATGGGTGCATAGCCGAGCCTGCAAACTGGAATGTTGGGATAAATTCTGGCTTGACATCTCCATTTCTGCCAGGCTGTGGTATTCTGTGTTCTTACAGAGAAGCTGCAGTGCCCAGCAGTTACCCAGGGGTGAATCTGAATCACCACCTGTTAAATCAAGGTCATGATACTGTATTTACTAAGGCAGGACAACATAGTAATTTAGGCTCAACTTACAAGTTGCAACTTATTACAAGTAATAAGAGGTTCGGCTTACAAGGTTTGAAATACAAATTGATTTTTTTAGCCAGATTCCATTGAACCCTGGTTTTTAATTTTCCAATCTTGAAAGAAGACTGAGATTTTACTGTATAACTCACTTAGGGTGACATTGTGTTTTCCTAAGTATTCTCAGTGATTTCTCCCATTCTCCCTATTCTTCTCACATGGGACTTTGACAGAGAGCTGCACCTGGGCTGGGTGTGTGGCCTCCCTCACCCAGCAGTATGGCCCAATGGTGCTATGTGACTGCTGAGTTAGGTCCTTAAAAGGGTGCAGTTTTTGCCTGGATGTTCTTTTTGGGGTACTTGTTTGCCATCCCTATGGTGAGGAAACCCATGTCGCCCACACAGGAGGACCACACAGTGAGCAGGGCATTGACATAACAAGGTGACTTCTGTTTTCTGAGTAACTTCCACCACAGTGGTGAAACTGTGTCCCCAAGCTCAGCAGGCGGAGGTAAAACATTTTTCAAAGAAAAGGGTAAGATAGGCTCTTGGTTTACCACATGGTGAAGAGAGGCCTCTGGCTCTTCCAAACTGTTGCAGATAGAGCGTGGAGTGCTGGGACTTCGGTCAGGCCAGGTCCTGCCGCCTCACTGTCCAGCTCTCCTGAGTGCTCCTGGTCTGCCTTGCTCTCTGCCCAGTGCTGCCTGCTGCCCGCTGCCCTTATGTGGAGTGACCTTCTGTCTCCCAGCCCCAGCCATGGGTCCCGTTGCCCAGAATACAAGAGCCTTTCTTGGCTTAGAACTTTAATTCAAAACCCTCAGTTCTTAGAGGGTTTGTTTTCCCTTTTTTTTTGGCCTGGGATTTTGAGAATATCTAATAGTGCTGGGCAGTTTTATCATTCATCATCATGGGTAGTTTGGTTTATTACAACTTGCAGCTTCATATCTTGTAAAACAAATTCATTTCTTGCTTTCAGATTTGCTTATCTAAAAGTTTTGTTCATAATAGTAACTTAGCACAAGGCTTCTAATATATGAGTTGATGAAAAGCACCTCCTGTATCACCTTTAATAAGGATAATTTTGAAGTGTAATTTAATGCCTGGAAGCCAGTTGGTACTGAGGTTTAATTTTGTACTTGGGAAAGAAGTGTGAGAAGAAAAGTATCCTTTTTTCCTTAAATTTATTTTTCTTAGTTGACATATAAAATTGTATATATATTTATCATGTACAACATGATATTTTGAAGTATATATATTATGGAATGGTTAAGTCTAGCAAATTAGCAAGTGTAAAGATAAACTCACAGTTATCTTTTTTTGTGGTGAGAACACTTTACATTTTTTCTTTCTTTTAAACATAAAATCTTTCAGAAAAGACGTCTACTTTCTCAGCATTTTTCAAGAAGAAAAGTATCTTTTTAACAAATACATTTTCTAAGCCCTGGTCTGCAACCCACTCCATTCAGTTAATATTTATCAAGCACTGGCCGGGCGTGGTGGCTCACACCTGTAATCCCAGCACTTTGGGAGGCCGAGGCAGGTGGATCACCTGAGGTCAGGAGTTCGAGACCAGCCTGGTCAACATGGTAAAACCCCGTCTCTACTAAAAATACAAATATGAGCCGGGCATGGTGGCAGGCACCTGTAATCCCAGCTACTTGGGAGGCTGAGGCAGAATTGCTTGAACCCGGGAGGTGGAGGTTGCAGTGAGCCAAGATTATGTCATTGCATTCCAGCCTGGGCAATAAGAGTGAAACTCTGTCCTCCCACCAAAAAATATATATATTTATCAAGCACTACCTACACACACACCCACTCTCTCTTATACACACACAAACACACTAATAGACATAGCAGTAATATATATTAAGCATGAATACAGCAAGAAGTTTGGTACCCTAGAATTAGAACGGGTTTTTTTTTCGTATATAATCTACAAAATGAGATGTTGAATTGATGTTTAATACTAAGCTACTTCTTAAGCATTTGATTTTTCTTACTGCATTTACCTATGTTTATAATTTTAAAATCTGAGAATTATAGAAAATACGTAATTTCTACTTATCTTTCAGATTATAGCTTAAATGTCCTCTCCTGGGGTGGGGGAGGTCCCCATATCCACATAAATGGGTGTGACCTCCATGTGCACTGTGCACTTCCCTTTGGTACTTTTCGTCTCACACACATGCACACCCTGCACAGACACACACACTCTTATTGCTGGTGTTCTGTCTTCTTGCCTGTGGACTGTCAGCTCTGTGAAGGGGAGGCTTCTGTCTTTCTTGTCCCTCTCCCTTCTGTGGCACTCAGTACATGTTGGGTGAATGAATGAATACTGGACACAGACGCTTTCCTTGAAGGTGGTTGGATGATCTACCCTTTCCTTATAGGACTTTTTCAGATGTTTTCAAATTCAACCAAGAAATCTTTTTTTTCTATTACTAAGTTACTGTTTTTCCAAATTATTGAATATTTCTATTTTCTCCTGCCTTTAAGGAGTAGGAAACAACTAAGAACAGATGATGTCTCATGTTGCGAATGGATCCTTCCTTCCTTTGCTTTTCCCTCAAGTTCTTTCTCATGCAAGCGAACACCCATATTGTGAGGGGTAGCAAATTTAAATGAGTCCTTTGCATTCGAGTATAGAGATGACTGAGGAGAATGAGGTAGTTTGGAAACACTAGAAAAATCTGCCTCAGTGCTTTTGATATTTTAATTTATAGGCAATTCTTTTAAGTTTCATTTTTCTCAAGACAAATGCCAGACTGTGGAAAGGGTGCTGTCATTTAAAAATATTCGGGCATGTGGCCGGGTGCGGTGGCTCACGCTTGTAATCCCAGCTCTTTGGGAGGTCGAGGCGGGTGGATCACGAGGTCAGGAATTCGAGACCAGCCTGGCCAACACTGTGAAACCCCATCTCTACTAAAAATACAAAAATTAGCTGGGTGTGGTGGCACCTGTAATCCCAGCTACTCAGGAGGCTGAGGCAGGAGAATGGCTTGAACCCGGGAGGCGGAGGTTGCAGTGAGCCAAGATTGCGCCACTGCACTCCAGCCTGGGCAACAAAGCTAGACTTTGTCTCGGGGGGAAAAAAAAGAATATTTGGGCGTGCATACTGCCCAAAGCGATTTACAGACTCTCTGCTATTCCTAGCAGATTACCGAGGACCTTCTTCACAGAACTAGAAAAACACTGCTTTAAAATTCATATGGAACCAAAAAAGAGCCCAAATAGACAAGGCAGTCCTAAGCAAAAGAACAAAGCTGGAGGCATTCTGTTACGCAACTTCAGACTATACTACATGGCTACAGCAACCTAACAGCATGGTACGGGTACAAAAGCAGACACGAATGGAACAAAAGAGAGAGCCCAGAAATAAGGCTGCACACCTACAACCATCTCATCTTCGACAAAGCTGACAAAAGCAGTGGGGAAAGGACTCCCTATTCAATCAGCGGTGCTGGGACGACTGGCTAGCCACATGCAGAAGATTGAAATTGGACCCCTTCCGGCTGGGCGCGGTGGCTCACGCTTGTAATCCCAGCACTTTGGGAGGCCGAGGTGGGTGGATCATGAGGTCAGGAGATCGAGACCACAGTGAAACCCCGTCTCTACTAAAAATACAAAAAAATTAGCCGGGCGTGGTGGCGGGCGCCTGTAGTCCCAGCTACTCGGAGAGGCTGAGGCAGGAGAATGGCGTGAACCCGGGAGGCGGAGCTTGCAGTGAGCCGAGACTGCGCCACTGCACTCCAGCCTGGGTGACAGAGCGAGACTCCGTCTCAAAAAAAAAAAAAAAAAAAAGAAATTGGACCCCTTCCCTACACCATGCACAAAAATCAACAAAAGATGGATTAAAGACTGAAATGTAAAACCCAAAACTATAAAAACCCTGCAAGACAACCTAGGCAATACCATTCTGGACACAGGAACTGACAAAGGTTTCATGAAGAAAACACAAAAAGCAATTGCAACAAAAGCAAAAATTGACAAATGGGATCTAATTAAACTTAAGAGCTTCTATACAGCAAAAGAAATTATCGACAGAGTAAACATACATCTTACAGCATGGGAGAAAATATTTGTAAATTATGCATCTGACAAAGGTCTAATATCCAGCATCTATAAGGAACTTAAGAAACTTAAGAACTACAAGAAAAAAAACAACCCCATTAAAAAGTGGGCAAAGGGCATGCACAGTTAGTTTTCCAAAGAAGATGCACATGCAGCCAACAGGCATATGAAAAACAGCCCAAATCACTGACCATTAGAGAAATGCAAATCAAAACCACAGTGAGATAGCATCTCACACCAGTCAGAATAACTATTATTAAAAAGTCAAAAATAAGATGCTTATTTTGAGGGTATGGAGAAAAGGGAATCCTAATACACTGTTGGTGGAGTGTAAACTAGTTCAACCATTGTGGAAAGCAATATGGTGATTCCTCAGCTAAAAATAGAACTACCATTTGACCCAGCAATCCCATTACTGGTTATATATACTCAAAGGAATATAAATTGTTCTACCATAAAGATATGTACACATGTGTGTTCACTGCAGCACTATTCACAATAGCAAAGACATGGAATCCACTGAAATGCCTGTCAGTGGCAGATTGGATAAAGAAAATTTGGTACATTTATATCATGGGGTACGATGTAACTGTAAGAAAGAATGAGATCCTCCTGTCTTTTGCAAGAACGTGGTTGGGAGCTGGAGGCCATTATCCTCAGCAAACGAATGCAGGAACATAAAACCAAGTACCGAATGTTCTCACTTATAAGTGGGAGCTAAGTGATGAGAACACATGGACACAAAGAAGGGAACAACCGACAGTAGGGCCTACTTGAGGGTGGAAGGTGGGAAGAGGGAGAGGATCAGAAAAAATAACCATTGGGTTCTAGGCTTCGTACCTGGGTTACAAAGTAATCTGTACATCAAACCCTGGTGACAGGAGTTTACCTGTATAACAAACCTGCACATGTACTTCTGAACCTAAAATAAAAGTAAAAAAAAATAATTTGGGCACGATGACTCATGCCTGGAATACTAGCATGTTGGCGGGAGGATCGCTTGAGGCCAGGAGTTTGAGGTTACACTGAGCTGTGATTGTGCCACTGCACTCCATCGTGGGTGACAGAACAAGACCCTGTCTCTAAAATATTTATCTACATGATATATACATTTGGTGGGTGCTTTGGTCCCAACTGTCTGTGACCATCTGGGGCAGAGCCAGTGCCGTGTGCAAGGTGTACTGCCTGCACACAGCACAGGAGGCTGGGGCTGGCCAGGGCCTGTGCACCTGCTCCTCTGTGCCTGGCTTGTGGATGCCCCTCACTCGCTGAGTCTTTTCTGAAGTCATTTAGCAGCACTGCCACTGCTCTAACCTACATTTAAAGATTTATTTTCATAATTTTCTGGCAGAAAATTTTATTAATGTAGCCATTTTATTTGTATAATGATTGTTGAGAATAGAATATTTTATGTTCAAGATATTGATTAATTTTTGGAGAAACTAAGAAATTTGATGTTGCATAACAAATCTCTATTTAAATTCACGGTGTAAACTGCAGTGAATCATTAGTGTATTAGGTAAAAGCCAACATTGCAGAATATAGTTTATTTGAAAGGCCGCTTAGATGAAAATTCTAGGGTGATCTGGAAATGTTTTACACTTTTGTATATGTGATCATTGGATGCTACTTAGGAGAGTTTGTACTAGTGTGTCTAGCAGTTGTAGCAAGGTGAGGTGGGTGGCCACATTTGATTATGAAGTAAATTTATTCTAGAGAGTTTATATAGCATGAAGAATATTACAATCAAAGAAGTGTTACACTACATATCTTAAACTTTTAACATGACTCTTATCTAGCTATAAAAATATGTCTGACATTTTGTGTTTTAGGAATGAAGTAAGTATGCAGTGGTAATGAATGTTTGATCATGATTTCAGGTGAGTAAGACGTCAGGGAAACCTATCACAGTTCCATAAGCAAAAATGAAAAAAACTCACTGAGGTATATTGCTACAAAATGGCTTCTTTCCCCCAAGAATAGCTGTAACTGTGACAGAGTAGCGCAGCACAGTCCTTCCATTCTCCCCTTGCTCTTTCCTCCTCCTCATCCAGATGCATTTGGATGATACTGTTCAAAAGTAAGATAAATAATTGTACTCAATTTTCATATTAGAGTAGCTAGAAATTAAGCAAGTAATTTGTGTGTGTGTGTGTGTGTGTGTGTTTTTTTTGGGGGGGGGTGAAGGTCTTGCTCTGTTGCCCAGGCTGGACTGCAGTGGTATAATGACAGCTCGCTATAGCCTCAACCTCCTGGACTTAAGCCATCCTCCCGCCTCAGCCTCCCGAGTAGCTGGGACCACAGGTGCATGCCACCACACCTGGCTAATGTTCACATTTTTTATAGACATGGGGTCTCACTATGTTGCCCAGGCTGGTCTTGAACTCCTGGCCTCAAGTGATCCTTCCACCTTGACCTTCCAAAGTCAAAGTGCTGGGATTACAGGTGTGAGCCACCGTGCCTGGCCTCCAAACAATAATTTAAATGATGTGATAAATTTTATTTTAGCCTAGCCGAGATCTTAAAATCTATTTTGAAGTCAGGCACTAGCCTTATTTGGTTCAGCTAAAGGTGCTCCCTGGTGCATCAGGTTGTGAATGTCATATATGAGTCCTAAGGGAGTAAACAAACTCTGGCTGTGTCAGTGCTGAAATTCAAAACAGTAAAAAAAAAAAAGATACTTGGTTTTAAAATGGGGTGGATGCATCTATTGGGCTTTATTGATATTTTGGAAATTTTGAGATATGTATTTTGCCTCTTGCTAAGGAATTAGATAATCGTGCAGGGTTTGAATTGACAGTTGTCAAAGTCAGCAAAAATACTATGGTCAAATTGCTGGGTCTTTGAGACCTAGGTTTTAGTCCTGTTAGCTCTGACTTTGGGCAAGTTGTTTGATGTAATTGTTTTAGTTCCTCAACAATCCAGACCCTGGCCAGCAGAGTTGGAGCATTGAATGATCTTTCTAAGATAATTTGAGCGTACAAATGGCAAATCTGATTTAACAGCATAACTGTTGATTCTTACGGCACAAGTCAGTGAGCCTGTCTTTGTTGAGGTAGTCGCGGTGTGATAACAGACATAGTAGTTAAGAACACTGACTCGAGGTAGACCGCTGTGCCGCTTAGTAACGTATCGTGTTGTGAAGCTGCTGAATCTTCGTACTCTAGTTTCCTCATCTCTATAACAGGCAAATTTGTAATTGTGACAAATAATAACTACAAGAAGTAAATTAATAACTAAGACCAAATGCATACTGTGTGGCCAGCACCATTGTAAGTGCTGAGGATACAAACCTGAACAAGACACATTGCTGTCTTCAGAAAGCTCACAGTCAGATGGGAGAGAGAGAAGGAAGCAAGGCAAGTACAGGCTTGTAAGTGTTGTGATGGGTGTCCTTACAGGACCAGGATTTCAGGAGGTAAGGTCAGTTTCCCTGGGAAGGGAGAGTTAGAGAAAAGATGCTCGCAGTTTAATTCAACAAACAAGTGGTACCTGCTGGGTGTGCCTGCCGTCCTGCTAGGCATTGAGACTACAGGATAAATTTAGCATGATCCCTGCTCTAAAGGAGCTTAAAGTTTAGTGGAAAACCATGAGTCTAGTGATAAATAGTAGTTGTCAAGATACTTGAATGGAGTCTTGCAGATGAAGTGTTTGACAGGCAGTGGAAGAACAAAAACACAGAAGGAGACAGTCGTTGCGGCTGGAGCAGAGTTTGCAAGTCCACTCCTGGTGAGGGAGGGGATGCTGAGCCAGCAGGGCAGGGTCTACTCACACCCAGAGGCTGGCTCGGAAGCAGCAGATGTAAAGGGAAGTGTGTATTGGAGGGGGTATGTTGTGAATTTGATGACGTCTGATTGTTACATTGAATTCCATGAGTTCTAGACAATTTCTTCATGATAATTACCCCCTTAAATTTCATAATCTTCATTCCCCCACTAAATTTAATACCATAACATTTTTAATTTAAAAAACACCTTTTTTGTCGGTACTTTTGAAAACATTTTCCTGCACCTGTGCCTTCTATGAAATGAACGCTGTAGAGAATCTGTGGAAATCGGCTCATGGTAGAAGCTTTCCCTGTCATATGGATGAGTCCTTTTGCTTGCCCAGTGCCCTCCTGGCATATTGATGAGGTAGGATTGGGAGTTCGGAACGCCTACAAAATGAGCAGGCTAATTTCGAACGGATGCTAATCCTGCAAAACCAAGAGAGATGCTTATTGGTTGATTTGCCTTTTTTTTTTTTTTTTTTTTTTTTTTTTGAAACAGTCTCACTCTGTCACCCAGGCTGTAGTGCAGTGGCGCGATCTTCGCTCACTGCAACCTCTGCCTCCTGGGCTCAAGCGATTCTCCTGCCTCAGCCTTCTGAGTAGCTGGGACTACAGGTGCACGCTACCACTTCTGGCTGATTTTTTGTATTTTTAGTAGAGACGGGGTTTCACCTTGTGGGCCTGACTGGTCTCAAACTCCTCACCTCAAGTGATCCGCCCATCTTGGCCTCCCAAAGTGCTGGGATTACAGGCGTGAGCCACTGTGCCCAGCCATTATTTGCTTTTAGTTGAATTTGTGTGTTTGGAGACTGAGCACTTACTTTCAACAGTGAAGAAATTGACTTGGCAGCAGTTGCTGCAGGTGGCTGTTTTCGGTCTACCTCATACTGTCAGTGTGTCGCCCAGATACTATATAATTACTCAGTTATTTTGCAGTCACAACATCTTTGTGTGTTTGTATTTATTTAGTAATTAGAAGAAAGTTTTTATGTTCTCATAGTATCTTCCTGTCTACACAGTGCATTTGTTTACTAATTTATATCCATTTGATACACATCTAATGATTGCCTCTGATGGGTATATGTGGGAACATGTACATTCCCTACTGTTAGCTGCAAATAGTGAGAAGTAGTTAGAGCATAATGTTTCACATCGAAGTAATCTCTTTTTCAAAGACATCTCTGAGAATGAAAACATTAAGTTTGGCAGTTCCGACAAACTCTTATAGTGATAAGGTATTAGTCTAATTCTACTTAGTAAGAAAGTTATTCCCGGAGACTTCCATTTCCACTATGATGGAATTAGAGGTGATTTACGCCCCCCAACCCAGGACTAGGGTAAGGCAAGTGAGGCACTTGCCTCAGTGCAGAATTTAAAGGGACACCCAAAATCTCAGTAATCGAGATTATTAATATTTTAATGCAGTGCTTTAAAAAAATCAAATTTGATGCAAAAAAAATCCATGATGAAAAACAAAATTATTTTTTACTTTTTAAGACAGGGTCTTGCTCTATTGCCCAGGCTGGAGTGCAGTGGAGCAATCATAGCTCACTACAGCTATGGTAATACAGATGGGTGGGCTCAAGTGATCCTCCAGCCTCAGCCTCCTAAGTAGCTGAGACTACAGGCACATGCCACCACGTCTGGATAATTTTTTATTTTTTTTTGTAGAGTGGTGTCTCACTGTGTTGCCCATACTGATCTCAAACTCTGAGCTCAAGCAGTCCTCCCGTCTTAGCCTCCCAAAGTGCTGAGATTATTGGAGTGAGCCACCACGCCTGGCCCAAAACCCAAATTTGAAAGACAGGATCAGTATTAATGATTTTTCTTTTTGTCTCAAGCTCCAGCATGGCTTGGCAAGACACCATTATCGATATTATATATAAAACTTTGGTATTTTGTACCTCGTGGATTTTTTCATTAATTTTGATTTTATCTCTATTACTGAGTTTTTTTGACACTCAATTAAGATTTGTGCCTAAGGCAAGTACCTCACTTGGCTTGCCCTAGTCCCAAATTGACTTCTATCTTAAACAACTTGAAAACCAGACAAAATATATGAAGTAATAGTTTTCATACATTTGACAGAAGGCTGGTTAGGACCATGTTCCTTGAAATAAGGGGAACAAACAAAACAAGCCCTGCAGTATTCCAGCTTATACCCCACAGCATGAGACTGCACTTTTTTCTATAAAGGGCTGTATAGTAACCATTGTAGGTTTTGGGGGCCGGATGCTGTTAATGTCACAACTACTCTGCTATGCTCTGTGCCTGCTTTCATCCTAAGTATGTAAGTGAATGGACGTGGACGCATTACAATAAAACCTTTCTGACACAAACAGCCTTAGTTTGTCTCGAGAGGCAGTTTCCATGTTTCAGGGCAGGAAGAGAGAAGTCAAACAGAACCCACTGGCTTCACTAAAGTGATGATACAGGAGAAATTGGGGAGGACAAGACAGCTAGAATTTGTGGAGGAAAACATAGGAGAGGAGGGAGCAGGTTAGAGAGAGAGCTCTAGAGATCTGCAGAAGGGCCCCCTTGAGGCGTTGGCTGCATCCTGGTCTGCACGTGGCCAAGAGGAAGCACCTCAAGGCTGGGAGGAGAACCACCAAAAAGGAGAAGGCCAAGCACTTCTTGGACATCAGTTGCACAGGGCTGGGAATAGTTTGTGTTCCCACCACCCAGGGTGGTCTCAGGTAGATCCTTTGAAGGGTTGCCTTTTCATCTTTGTTAGCGTGGGTTCAGAGCAGCTTTTTCATCTATGGTGTCAGGACGATTCCTCAGAAGGGCTGCCTTAGCAGTGGGGCTGAGTTATCCATAGACCAATGGGCTGCTCCCGACTTGCCCTAACTGATTACAGATAGCTTGATTACATTATCAGAACCAAAGCCCCGACTATATTTAAAAAGGATGTAATAAAACTAGCACCCAAAAATGTAAAAAGAAATTGTGTCTAGCATCTAATAAATAATTACCAGGTATGCAGAGAAGCAAGGAAATGTGATATTAACCAGGAAGAAAATCAAGAGAAACAGAACCCAGAAAGACAAGGGATGATGCAATTAGCACACAAACATTAAAATAACTTATAAATATGTTGCACACTCAACATAAAACGTAGAGAAAAACATAAGCATACTGAGTGAAATGAAAGACTCAAAAAAGATTGAAATAAAACTTCCAGAGATGAAAATAGAATATATACAATATATAAAATGCCGGGCGCAGTGGCTCACACCTATAATCCCAATTCTTTGGGAGGCTGAGGTGGGCAGATCATTTGAGGTCTGGAGTTGAAGAGTAGCCTGGCCAACATGGCGAAACCTCGTCTCTACTGAAAATACAAAAATTAGCCGGGCGTGGTGCAGGCGCCTGTAATCCCAGCTACTCGGGAGACTGAGGCAGGAGGATCACTTGAACCCGGGAGGTGGAGGTTGCAGTGAGCCGAGATCACACCACTGCACTCCAGCCTGGCGACAGAGCAAGACTCTGTCTCAAAAATAAATAAATAGATAAAAATAATATATATTTTATTTATATAATAAAATATATAATAAAATAAATTTATATATAGTAAAATAATATATACACATGTATATGTATATATAATGCAGTAGAGGGATCACAACAGGTTATTACGACAGAAGAAAAGAGTTCATGAGCCTGAAGACGTAGCAGTAGAAGCTTTCCAAAGCACAGCACAGAGAATCCAGACTGCGCGAGATCACAGAGCATCAGCAGCCTGTGGGACAAAGTCAGCTGACTTAAGATATGTATAACCTAGTTCCAGAAGGAGAAGAGGAGGGAATGGAAAAAATATTTGGAGAAATAATGGCTGGAAATTTTCCAAATTTGATGAAAAATGCAAACTATGAAGCTCAAAAACTCCAAACAGAGCAAATATAAAGAAATCCAAGGTACCTCATAATCAGATTGCCAGAAAACCAGTGATCAAGATCAAAAGCTTTCAAAGCAGCCAGAAGAAAAGACACATTACAGAGGAATACAGTTGCTAATAACAGCGATTCCTGGTCACATCTTGTGTGAACCAGAAGACAACAGAGCAACATATTCAAAGTACTGAAAGAAAAAAACCTGTTAGAGTTCTGTATCTGGCAAAAATGTCTTTCAAAAATGAAGGATAAATTTTTATTTATTTCAGAAGTAAAGAAATTTTTAGGCCAGGCATGGTAGCTCACACCTGTAATCCCAGCACTTTGGGAGGCCGAGGTGGGCGAATCACCTGAGGTCGGGAGTTTGAGACTAGCCTGGCCAACATGGTGAAACCTCGTCTCTACTAAAAAAAATTAGCTGGGTGTGGTGGCAGGTGCCTGTAATCCCAGCTACTCAGGAGGCCGAGACAGGAGAATTGCTTGAACCCGGGAGGCAGAGGTTGCAGTGAGCCGAGATCGTGCCACTGCACTCTAGCCTGGGCGACAGAGGGAGACTCCATCTCAAAAAAAAAAACCCAAAAACAAAAATAAATTTTTAGGCCAATAGACATCAGAATTTATTGCCAGCAGAATGGCACTAAAGGAGTATTAAAGGAAATTCAGATAGAAAGAAAATAATATTTGATGGGAAAAATTTTTATTTATATATATTTTGGAGACAGGATCTCACTCTAGTGTCCAGGCTGGAGTGCAGTGGGTGTGATCTCGGCTCACTGCAATCTCTGTCTCCCGGGCTCAAGCAGTCCTCCTGCCTCAGCCTCCCTAGTAGCTGGGACTATAAGCGTGTGCCACCATACCCAGCTAATTTTTGTATTTTTTGTAGAAACGGAGTCTCACTGTGTTCTCCAGGCTGGTCTCGAACTCCTGATTTCAAGCAATCCACCCATCTCAGCCTCCCAAAGTGCTGGGATTACAGGCGTGAGACACTGCACTCAGGCTTAAATAGTCAGTTTCCATCTGGGGCCAGGCATGGTGTCTCACACCTGTAATCGCAGCACTTTGGGCAGGAGGAGAGGGCAGATTGCTTGAGCTTGGGAGTTTGAGGCTACAGTGAGCTATGATCACACCACTGTACTCCAGCCTGGGTGACAGAGTGAGACCCTGTGTTTCTAAAAGGAAAAAAAAAAGTGGTAAAATTGACAAAGCTCCAGTGAAACTGATAAGGAAGAAAAAACAGATATAAATAATGAAATGAAATGAAAAAGGTGAAAACACTATGGATTCAGTAGACTGTTAAGATATCATAAAAGGATATTAGAATTAGCATCACGCTATATACATTTGAAAATTTAGATAAAATAGACAAATTTCTTTCAAAATGTAACTTAACTAAAAGTAACTGAAGAAATAGAAAACCTTAACCAGTCCTATGACTATTAAAAATGTTTAGATTTAAACAAATGTATGATTGAGGGAATGCTGGGAATGTGTGTAAACACATACATATGTTGTCATGTGTTACCTTAATTGACCTATACAGTTCTTGAGTACAAGATTAAAACCTGTTTCTGAGTATGTGATTGTATCAATGAGGGCTCTTTCTGATGTAAATTTTGAGAAATTCAACCTTAGTTGTTTTAAGTAAGTAAAAAGAAGGTTTATTGATCATCTGATTGAAAAACCTAAGGCAGGGCTAGCTATAGATGGTTCACTTGGGCCAGTTTCTTCCCCAGCATCCTCCTTCATGTGTTCAGGTTCTTTGGGAAAGAGGGAGAATCTCTATAAGTCCCATAGTGGGAAGAGGAGACCCATTAATCCTGACCTGGGTTGTGTGTTCAGAGATGAGCCAACTCTGGGCAGGAAAATAAGATGCTCTGAATGACCAGGTGCAAATCACAGGCTTTACCTGGGCCCAGGTGTTGGAGTCAGCGCCCCTGGAAGCTGTGGACTGAGCTGGGAATTTATACCTGACAAGGATCAGGGTGCAGGAACCATGGGGAAGGTGAACAAATATTTGGCTACAAAATTAAATCTCCATTGCAGTAATTGCCAGATGTAAAATTTCATGAATTCTTTATTCAAAATTATGATGAAATTCTATAATAAAGAATTCTTAGTTGGCCAGGTGTGGTGGCTCATGCCTGTAATCCCAGCACTTTGGGAGGCTGAGGCGGGAGGGTTGCTTGAGGCCAGGAGTTTGAGACCAGCCTGGGCAACATAGTGAGACTCCCACCTCTAAAAAAAAAAAAAAATGTTGTTTTTGTTTTGTTTTTTTTGAGACGGAGTCTCGCACTGTTGCCCAGACTGGAGTGCAGTGGTGCAATTTTGGCTCACTGCAAGCCCTGCCTCCTGGGTTCACACCATTCTCCTGCCTCAGCCTCCTGAGTAGCTGGGACTACAGGTGGCTGCCAGCACGCCGGCTAATTTTTTGTATTTTTAGTAGAGACAGGGTTTCACTGTGTTAACTAGGATGGACTTAATCTCCTGACCTCGTGATCCACCCACCTCGGCCTCCCAAAGTGCTGGAATTACAGGCGTGAGCCACCATGCCCGGCCCTAAAAATTTTTTGTTTTTTTTTTTGAGATGGAGTCTCACTTTGTTGCCCAGGCTGGAGTACAGTGGTGCAATCTTGGCTCACTGCAAGCTCTGCCTCCCGGGTTCAAGTGGTTCTCCTGCCTCAGCCTCCCGGTTAGTTGGGATTACAGGCGCACGCCACTAGCTCTGGCTAATTTTTTTATTTTTAGTAGAGATGGGGTTTCACCATGTTGGTCAGGCTGGTCTCGAACTCCTGACCTCAGGTGATCTGCCCACCTCAGTCTTCCAAAGTGCTGAGATTACAGGCATGAGCACCGTGCCCAGCCTAAAAATAAAAAAAAAATTTTTTTTTTTTTTCAAGACGGAGTCTCCCTCTGTCACCCAGGCTGGAGTGCAGTGGCGCCATCTCGGCTCACTGCAAGCTCTGCCTCGCAGGTTCATGCCATTCTCCTGCCTCAGCCTCCCGAGTAGCTGGGACTACAGGCACCTGCCACCATGCGTGGCTAATTTTTTTGTATTTTTAGTAGAGACAGGGTTTCACCGTGTTAGCCAGGATGGTCTTGATCTCCTGACCTCGTGATCTGCCCGCCTCGGCCTCCCAAAGTGCTGGGATTACAGGTGTGAGCCACTGCGCCCAGCCAAAAAAAGTTTTGAATTTGCTGGGTGTGGTGGCACATGCTTGTAATCCCAGCTACTGGGGAGGCTGAGGTGGGAGGATCTCTTGAGCCCAGGAGTTTCAAGGCTGTAGTAAGTCATGATCATGCCACTGCACTCTAGCCTGGGTGACAGAGGTCGACCGTGTCTCAAAAAAAAAAAAAAAAAAAAAAAAAAAAATACTATTATACCGCTGTTCAGTTAGCAGGAATTAAAAAGTTTGGCAATTGTTGTTGAAAAAGTTAAGCAACAGAAACTCTCTCATACCCTTCTGATGGGAGTGCACATTACAGCTGCTTTGGGAAATAGTTTGGCTTTAGAGTATAAGCTAGCAATCATACTTCTAGGTATGTACACCAGAGAAACACATGCCTAAAGTGATTGAGATAGCTGTACCAGAAAAATCTTAAGTCGTGTTTATATTTGCTCCAAAGCAGAGACCACCCTCGGGGATGAGAATGGATAACTAAATTATGGTATATTTACTGAGTAGAATATTACACAGCAATGAAAATAAACTACAGACACAGCAACAACAAAAAAGGCAAAGAAAAAAGCAAGACAAGAATATATGTAGTATGATTTTGTTATTTTCATCTGCTTCTGGTTTTTATATAAGTTATGTTTGGTAGGGCTGCACACCTAGGTGATAAATCTCTAAAGAAAAGTTTGGAAATGATAAACCATAAAAGTTAAAGCACAGTAGCTCATGCCTGTAATCCCAGCACTTTGGGAGGCTGAGATGGGAGGATCACTTGAGCCCAGGAGTTCCAGACCAGTCTAGGCAACACAGGGAGATCCAGCTTCTTAAAAAAAAAAAAAAAAAAAAAAAAAAAATTTTCCGGACACGGTGGCATCCTCCTGTGGTCCCAGCTACTTGGGAGGCTAAGATGGGAGAATTGCCTGAGTTTGGGAGGTCGAGGCTGCCGTGAGTTGTGGTTGCACCACTGCACTCCAGCCTGGGTGACAGAGCAAGATGCTGCGTCAACAAATCAAACAAAATCATTTTGTTAAAGCTAGTACTTACTTACGTATGTGGTGGAAGGGTTTTGGGGTCAGATAGAGGCACCCAGCCTTTCTGGAGTTCTGGCAATGCTCCATCCCTTGGTGGTAGTTGGACTGGTATTTATGTAATAACTTCATGAAACGGTATACATATGTTTTCTATGCTTTTCTATAAGTAAGTAATACCTCATAGTAAAAGCAGTTTTAAAATAATCAGATTTTATAGTGCATGTTCCATTAAAAAAATGTGGAAAATCCCCAAAGCACATGCATATACAGTAGTTAATCATGTTTTATCTTAAATTTATTCATATTATAGAAATTTACCTTTTGAAATTTCATTTTTATTTATTTGAGATGGAGTCTCGCTCTGTCGCCCAGACTGGAGTGCAGTGGTGTGCATGATCTCAGCTCACTGCAGCCTCCGCCTCCTGGGTTCAAACTATTCTCCTGCCTTAGCCTCCCAAGTAGCTGGGATTACAGGTGTGTGCCACCACGCCCAGCTAATTCTTGTATTTTTGGTAGAGATGGCGTTTTACCATATTGGCCCGGCTGGTCTCGAACTCCTGACCTCAGGCAATCCACCCTCCTCGACCTCCCAAAGTGCTGGGATTACAACATGAGCCACTGCGCCTGGCCTTGAAATTTCATTTTTAAAAGCTCTAAAAATTTTCCAGGTGAGAATTGACCAACTATTATTATTTTCTGGGTAAGGGACTCCACTACAGTAATTAAAGAAGGATAAGGTTGGCGTTGCTTTGCTCCTTTTTTTATTGAAGTCCTTCCTTCCTGATCAAGCTTCCATATATCTCCTTAAAACATATGACACACAGGTATGCCACTAAAAAACTTAATTTGTGTAGATTTCTTTCTTCAGCTGTTACTTTTTCATCTTGCATAAAAATCAAGTAATTAAATTTTAAAACATCCTGAACATATTCATTTTTGGCTTTAGCAATTTCATTCTTCAGCAGATGTATTTGACTTTCTATATACATGGCACTTTGGTTTGGTTTGTGTCTGACCTTATTTTTATTTTTCATTTTTTTTCAAACCAGTATTAAACTGAAAATAATAGACGTCATACCTCATGGCCCAGGAATGAGTGAATAAGTTGGAAAACCAAGAGTAGTGGCCTGCATCTCTTTGTCCAAGGCCTACTTTCCAAAATCTCTCGGCCCTACCCTTCCCTAGAAGGTTCCCCACTGCAAGGAAGGCACAGGCAGCCTGGGGGTGTGACCTGCCTCATGGAGTATTGCATTTTTTGATACAAGAACTATTTGCTCCTTAACATCTTTCTCTAGGAGTTTGAAAGAAAAGAAATTACTCTGTGTTTCAGTCTCTAACTTGTGATTGAGTGGCTGAGGTGGGAGGATCTCTTGAGCCCAAGAGTTCGATACCAGCCTGGGCAACACAGTGAAACTCTGTCTAAAAAAATAAAATAATTAACTGGGGGTGGTGGTGTGTGCCTGTAGTCCCAGCTACATGGGAGGCTGAGGCAGGCGGATCACTTGAGCCCAGGAGTTCCAGGCTGCAGTGAGCTAGGATCATGCCACTGCTGCCCAGGCTGGCCATAGACCAAGACCCTGTCCCTTTAAAACATAATAATAATCTTTCATATGTTAGAATGTTAAAAATAAGTATAAGAAGTTTGAAATGTTTGCATCCAAAGTGAGATTTAATACATAGCTATTTTTGATAAATTGAAAAGTGTCAAGAAAACTGCTGTTTAAATTTCATTTATAATCATGATCTCATAATAGTACCATTCAATTTTCTCCAATAGTCTCTGGTATTTTTAGTTTGTTTGAAGCAGCGTCCAAATAATTGCAGTTAACTGATAGGTCTGTTAAGTCTCTTAATCAATAGAATACTTTTCCCCATCCCTTTTTTCCTTGCATTTTATTTGTTGGAAAATCCAGGCTGATTGTTCAGTAGTCAGAAGTTCCCTCATTCTGGCCTTTGCTGTTTCCACTGGACATGTTCTTCTGCCTGTGGGTGGATATAGAGGCTCGATCGCTTTCTGGCTCAGCCTTTCAGCACAGGTACTTCAGAGGTGCGTGATGCCCTCACCAGGAGGCACACATCTGCACTGATGTGAGATCCAGTGTTGTTGTTGTTGTTTTTTCCTTTTGTCTTTTTTATTTAAAAATCATGGGGTCTTGCTATGTTGCCCAGGCTGGTTTTGAACTCCTGGCCTCAAGCAGTCCTCCCACCTCCGCCTCCCAAAGTATGCTGCAAGCTTAAGCCATGGCGCCTGGCAGATCTAGTGTTTTTTGAAATCTCATGTTTTATTCTAACAATTGATCGAAACATTATAATCTGCTTCTCAATATGGCCATGTTTTATGCTTTTCACGTCTTCAAATACAGTTGACACTCCAGGAAGATGAACCTTATCACATTTGCAACTTCTGCCCCTTATACAGCCCCGGGGCTCCAGCCCCATGTGGCAGGCGTGACCTAGGGGAAGCCTCCATCTGGAGAAGTGCTGCCTGCACTTGGTTGCATATCGAGTGGACTGAGCCCTTGGCTCCTCTCGCTGCTTCCTGTCCAGATGGCAGGACTCTGGTCGTGGGCCAAAAGAGGCACAGTGTCTTTGCATATAATAAGGATTGAATGAATACTTTTTAAAAATCCTAACTCTTATGAACCAAGGGATACTGACAATGCTGGGCCCCAAATAACTATTGTTTTCTCAAAGGCTTTAAGACCATGTGTTATACTGTGATTTAATCAGGTTCTTTCCTAGGAGTCTGCCTGAGTCACTTGGTCTGTGTGTCTCTCCCTCCCTGTCCTAAGGGGGCTTTTCATGTGTGACTGTGTTCTGCCTGCCTGTCTGGTAAGAATCCAGCCTCCTGTTACTTGCCCAGGATGCTGACTGTGGGCCCTCTCCCGCAGTGGAACATTTGGCATCAGGTACCAGGAACAGAGTCAGTATGCTGAAATGTTTGCATGAATGTGGATTTTCAGAAAGCTTTCTTATCAGCAGGGCACACCTGTCTGTTCGTGATCTTTGCCCTTCTCCCTTTATTGGCATCACTTGGACGATACCTTTAATTGCCCTGCTGGGCTTGATGTTGAGCTGCTTTTCTCCATGTGTGTCGTGTTTTGTGCTTTCTTGCGGCAGGAGCCTTTTGCTTTGTTTATCTGATGCTTCCCTTTTTTGGTTTTCCCCGGGCTTTCCAGCTCTTGGAGCACCCTTTTGTCAGCAGATGTACTTTTGTTTCCAGTTTTTAAATTCTAATTACAGTGTAACTCAACTAAAATCATGGAACTGGGGAACATAAAACAAATCATTAGGGTAATGGAGGCATAGAAGAAAGTGAAAGGAATCCAGTCCACCTCTTTGCTGTACTAGGTATGGATATGCCTCAGCTGTGAGTGAGGGCCTTCCTGAGTAGCTGACTACAAACTAAACTTTTATGAAAGAATTTTCTTAAATAATTAGAGATGCCTTTCATTTAGCTAAAAACAAGACCTCAAAATACAGTAAATTCATGTCTAAGACTGTAGCAAACAGTAAGTAAAGTAATAGAGTAAAAATTCTGCTTAAAGAAGACTGCAGAATAAGAATTGCAGGCCGAGCGTGCTGGCTCACACCTGTAATCCCAGCACTTTGGGAGGCCGAGATGGGTGAATCACTTGAGGTCAGGAGTTCAATACCAGCCTGGCCAACATGGTGAAACCCTGTCTCTACTAAAAATACAAATAGTTGGGCATGGTGGCACACACCTGTAATCCCAGCTACTCAGGAGGCTGAGGCAGGAGAATCGTTTGAACCTGGGAGGCGTAGGATTGAACCAAGATTGCGCCACTGCACTCCAGCCTGGGCGATAGAGTGAGACTCCGTCTAAAAAAAAAAAAAAAAAAAAAAAAGTTACAGCGCTCAGAGTGCCAGATGCTGCGCTCCTGGTAGTTTCTGGTCTTGGCCCTTCCTTAGCTCAAAGTGCACTGGCATAGGTGCCATTTTTTAGTCACACAATTCCCTTCATTGTAATTTTCTTAGCACTGTCTTTGCTTAGTGGATCTGTTGTTGCCATTCAGCAGTACATTTCTCTCTGTGTGGAAGCAAACATCTTCTCAAACCTGATGCTCAGTGAGGATAGGCAGTGGGCTATTAAATAGGCAGTGGCCTCAGATTCCCAGCATGTGTATGATTGCCGTGCTAACCAGAGGCGCATGTGTCCAGCATCTGGGCATTGGAACCTGCAAGCTGCTCCCCCAAATCAGGATGCCAAACATTAATTGGCAAGTTACTAAAAGTTGCCTCAAATACCATCTTTAATGCATTTAACTGAATTTGCATAATTTTTCTTTATCAGCACAATAATTATTATAAATATTGTAGAATTGCCATTAACTTATAATTGTCATATCTAAATTTTAGGATAAAAATAGAACTTAACTATTTTTATACCCATATATAAGCAAGTGAAGTAAAGGTATTTATGTTTAAATCAAGAAATCTAATCAAAGGTTTTTACAATCCTTCCAAATATGCAATCTCACTTATTTCTTGCCACTTCTGGTGATAGGTCTGTGTGTGGAAGACACGGGATTCCTGCCTGTCCACAGCTCAGTGTGAACGGACCAGATATGGTCACAGATTAGAATTTACCATCACAGGGCCGGGCGCAGTGGCTCAGGCCTGTAATCCCAGCACTTTGGGAGGCCGAGGTGGGCGGATCACGAGGTCAGGAGATTGAGACCATCCTGGCCAAGATGGTGAAAGCCCGTCTCTACTAAAAATACAGAAAATTAGCCAGGCCTGGTGGCGGGCACCTGTAGTCCCAGCTACTCAGGAGGCTGAGGCAGGAGAATGGTGTGAACCCTGGAGGCGGAGCTTGCAGTGAGCCGAGATGGCGCCACTGCACTCCAGCCTGGGCGACAGAGCAAGACTCTGCCTCAAAAAAAAAGAAATTATCATCACAGGCCTCGTGGGTGGTTCGTGTAAGAGGCTGAGGCAGGAGGATTGCTTGAGCCCAGGAGTTCGAGACCAGTCTGGGCCACATTGGCGAGACCTACCTGGGCAACATGGCGAGACCCTGTCTCTACAAAAAATAGAAAAGTTAGCGGGGTGTGGTGGTGCATGCCTGTAGTCCCAGCTGGTTGGGAGGCTGAGGCAGGAGGATCGCTTCAGCCTGGGAGTTCAAGGCTGCCGTGAGCCATGTTTGCACCACTGCACTCCAGCCTGGGTGACGGCAAGAAAAGAAAGAAAATAAAAGAAATAACCTCAAAAGAAAAAAAAGAAAAGAAATTACCTCAAAAGAAAATAAATTACCCTTACAGACATTTTATTTTTATTTTATTTTTTTTACAGACAAGGTCTCTCTCTTGCTCAGGCTAGACTCAACCTCCTGGGCTCAAGTGATCCTCCTGCCTCAGCCTTCTGAGCAGGCACTACAGGCACACGCTGCCATGCCCGACAACCACCACAGATAATTTAGAAAAAATTAGCCTTTTAGTTTTAGGAGCTTTCTTTTACAGTGATATTTAGTTTGGGGCCTTTGAACTTGGTCTTTGCTTTTGGAGCTGTACTTGTAGGTGTTGTTGTTCCAGCCTGGGAACGAGACATGACCGACTCCAGTGCGGCCTGCTTGCTGTCCTCACCATCAGTCAGTGTGGTCCGTGTGTGAGGCTGCAGTTGTCCTCTTGGCCACTTATTTCTCCTTAATTCTCTGCATGTAATTTAAAACATTATCCCCTGAAACTTAGTTTTTCATTGACTTCTAATATCTTTACTTCTCCTTTTAATTTTCCTATTGAGATACTTAGGATGACATGAAATTCTTTGGATCTACATATGGACAAACAGAATTGTGTCACATAAGGTTCAGTGTGCTAGCTGTTTAAAAAAAATTAAAAACAGTTTGTTTTTTTTAGAGACAGAATCTTGCCCTGTCACCCAGGCTGGAGTGCAGTGGCGTGATCGTAGTTCACTGTAACCTTGAGCTCCTGGGCTTAAGCAGTTCTCCCGCCTCAGCCTCTTGAGTAGCTAGGACTCACAGGCATGTGTCACCATGCCAGGCTAATTTTTATTTTATTTTTATATTTTATTTTTATTATTATTTTTTTGAGACAGAGTCTCACTCTGTCGCCCAGGCTGGAGTGCAGCGGCACAATCTCGGCTTACTGCAACCTCCACCTCCTGGGTTCAAACGATTCTCATATTCTCCTGCCTCAGCCTCCTGAGTAGCTGGGACTGCAGGCTCACACCACCACGTCCGGCTAATTTTTGTATTTTTAGTAGAGACAGGGTTTTGCCATGTTGGCCAGGCTGGTCTTGAACTCCTGACCTCAGACGATCCTCCTGCCTTGCCTCCTAAAGTGCTGGGATTACAGGTGTGAGCCATTGCACCTGGCCTTTATTTTTTTTTAGAGGCTGACTGAGTTTTGCTGTGTTGCCAAGGCTGATCTCAAACTCCTGGTACTTCAAGCAGTCCTCTTGCCTTGACCTCCCAAAGTGCTGGGATTACAGGTGTGAGCTACCACGTCCTGCCTGCTAGCCATTTTTTTATGTTCGTGGTGGTGGTAAGGAGTGGCTACCAGGCTGTGCGGGATTCAGGAATCTGGATGTTCCCCCCACCACCGTTTTTTACCCCACGAAAAAAATTGTAAACACTTTCTAATTGAGATAAAATTTACAAAACAAAATTCACCACTTAAACCACTTAAAGTGTACAACTCAGTGGCTTTGTGTATATTCAGAATGTTACGGCCGGGCGTGGTGGCTCATGCCTGTAATCCCAGCACTTTAGGAGGCCGAGGCGGGCAGATCACCTGAGGTCAAGAGTTCGAGACCAGCCTCGCCAACATGGTGAAACCCCCATCTCTACTAAAAATACAAAAAAATTAGCTGGGCATGGTGGCACACTCCTGTAACCTCAGGCAATTGGGAGGCTGAGGCAGCAGAATTGCTTGGGCCCGGGAGGCGGAGGTTGCAGTGAGCCGAGATTGCGGCACTGTACTCTAGCCTGGGCGACAGAGGCAAGACTCCGTCTAAAAAAAAAAAAAAAAGAATGTTATGCAACCATCACTACTATCTAATTTCAGAATATTTCATCACCCCAAAAAGAAACCCCATACCACTAAGCAGGCACTCTCCATTCTTCGCTTGCCCCAGCCTCTGGCAACCACTAATCTACTTTCTGTATCTATGAATTTGCCTATTCTGGACATTTCATGTAATAGGAATCATACAATATGTGGCCTTTTGTTTCTGACTTCTATAACTTACATAATGTTTTCAGGGTCCATCCATGTTGTAGCATATATAGTACCTCATTTTTTTTTATGCCTAAGTAAGAGTTCATTGTATGAATAGACCACATTTTGTTTATCCATTTACCAGTTGACCATTTGAGCTGTTTCTACTTTTTTTTTCGCTATTGTGAATAGTGCTGCTGTGAACGTTTGTGAACAAGTTTTTGCGTGAACAGACTGGTTCTCTTGGTATATACATAGAGATGGAATTGTTGGGTCATACGGTAATTCTGTGTTTAACTTTTGGAGGAACTGCCAGATTGTTTCCACAAGGGCTGCACCATTTTACATTCCTGTCAACAATATGTGAAGATTCCCATTTCTCCATATCCTTGCTAACACTTGTGATTTTCTGTTTTTAAAATTTTAGCCATCCAAGTGACTAAGTGGTTATAGTAGGTTTTGGTTTTGGTTTTGAGACAGAGTCTTACTTTTGTGTTGCCCAGGCTGCAGTGCAGTAGTGCAAACATGGCTCACTGCAGCCTCACCTCCTGGGCTCAAGTGATTCCCACCTCAGCCCCCCAGATAGCTGGGACTACAGGTGTGCACCACCACACCCAGCTATTTTTTGTATTTTTTTGTAGAGATGGGGTTTTTTACTGTGTTGCCCAGGCATGTCTTGAACTACTGGCTTCAAGTGATCTGCCCACCTCAGCCTTTCAAAGTGCTGGGATTATAGGTGTCAGCTGCCGCACCTGGCTGTTTTTTTTTTTTTTTTTTTAACAATGTTTTAAAATAAATTGTGGTGAGATACACATAACATTAGCCATTTAAAAGTGAATGATTCAGTGGCATTTTGTACATTCACAGTGTTCTGCACCATGATCTCTATCTGGTTCCAACACATTTTTTTCGTTCCCAAAAGGAAACCCCATACCCATAAGCAGTGAGTCCCCATTATGCCTCCTTTCAACCACTGGTAACTACCAGTCTGCTTTCTGTCTTGTGGATTTCCCTATTCTGTATGTTTCATGTAGATGAAATCGTAGTGTGTGCCCTTTGCTTCTGACTTACTCACTTAGCATGTTTTCAGGGTTCATCCATGTTGTAGCATGAATCAGAACTTGATTCCTTTTTAAGGCTGAATGGTATTCACTGTCTGGATAGATTACATTTTGTTTATTCATGTATTGATGGACATTTTGGTGGTTTCTACCTTTTTGGTTGTTGTGAAGAGTACTGCTGTGAACATGTGTATACATGTGTTTCTTTGAGTACCTTTTTTCAGTTATTTTGAGCATGTACCTAAGAGTGGAATTGCTGGGTCATATGGTAAAATGTTTTAACTTTTTGAGGAACTGCCAGCCTCTTTTCCTTAGTGGCTGAACCATTTTGCGTTTCCACAGCAGTATATGAGGGTTTCAGTTTTTCCACATCCTAACACTTGTTATTTTCCTTTTTTAAAAAAATTATAGGCCAGGCGCAGTGGCTCACACCTGTAATCCCAGCACTTTGGGAGGCCGAGGCAGGCAGATCACCTGAGCTCAGGAGTTTGAGACCACCCTGGGCAACATGGTGAAACCCCATCTCTACTAAAATACAAAAAATTAGCCAGGCGTGGTGGCACCAGCCTGTAGTCCCAGCTACTAGGGAGCCTGAGGCACGAGAATCACTTGAGCCTGAGGGATGGAGGTTGCAGTGAGCCAAGATCATGCCACCGCACTCCAGCTTGGGCTACAGAATGAGACTTTATCTAAAAAAAAAAAAAAAGGCCAGGTACGTTGGCTCATGCCTGTAATTCCAACATTTTGGGAGGCCAGGGTGGGAGGATCACTTGAGCCCAGGAGTTTGAGAACAACCTGGGCAATATAATGACACCCCGTCTCTACAGACAATAAAATAACTAGCTGGGCATGGTTGTGTATGCCTGTATTCCCAGGTATTCGGGAGGCTGAGTTGGGAGGATTGCCTGAGCCCAGGAGTTCAAGGCTGCAGCAAGTCACGTTCACACCACTGCACTCCATCCAGCCTGGGCAACAGAGTAAAACCCTGTCTCACAAAAAAAAAAAAAAAAAAAAAAAATTACAGCCATCCCAGTGGGTGTGAAGTGGGAACTCACTGTGGTTTTGATTTGTATTTTCTTTTTTAAGTGAAAGCAAGTTTATTAAGAAAGCAAAGGAATAAAGAATGGCTATTCCATAGGCAGAGCCCATTGCCACTCAGCTGCTTATACTTATTGTTACTTCTTGATTGTATGCTAAACAAGGGGTGGATTATTCATGAGTTTTATGGGAAAGGGGTGGGCAGTATCTGGAACTGAGGGTTTCTCCCCTTTGTAGACCATACAGGGCAACTTCCTGACGTTGCCATGGTATCTGGAAACTGTCATGGTGCTGGTGGAAGTGTCTTTTAGCATGCTGATGCATTATAATTAGAGTATAATGAATAGTAAGGACAACCAGAGGTCACTTTCATCGCCATCTTGGTTTTGGTCAGCTTCTTTACTGCAGCCTGTTTCATCATTAAGGTCTTTATTACCTGTATCTTGTGCCGACCTCCTGTCTCATCCTGTGACTTAGAATGCCTAACCTCCTGGGAATGTAGCCCAGTGGGTCTCAGCCTTATTTTACTCACCCCCTATTCAAGATGGAGTTTCTCTGGTTCAGACACCCCTGACATGTTTCCCCCCTCCCTTTTACAGCAGAACCCTTAATCCTAACAGTCGTAGAGGGACAAAGATCCATCTTCTGTAACTTCTTCAGGCTGAATGGGGCGATGATATTCCTGCCTAACTATGAGGGTCTCTTGTATTCAGGGTAGAGAAGAGCTCAGTCAGAAAGCATCAATATGGTGAGGGCCATTCATAGCTCTGAGTTCCAACAAAAGGTGGTATCTGGAAGATTAATAAGTGTTCAGTTTAAGAAAACATTCAGTAAACTTATCCTGCATTCCTACACAAAGAGTACAACAGCAATATATTCCACAACAGTAAAGTAGAATAACTAAAATTATCCTGAGTAAACTAAACAAGAAGGCTTTCCATGAACTGGGCAGTTGTTGAAACCAAACTGATACATCGGGTTGCTAGCCGACTCCAGTATGTGCCCAGAATTAGAATATTGATCCAGATTTTTACATTACCCATCTCTCTTGTTTCTTGTGAGCAGCAGCCAGAGATCACTGATTGGTTCACAGGAGTAAGCAGGGTTAGCCTAAGTTGCAGAAAAAAAACTTAAAAACAACTGATGAGACTAGAATCTAGTAACAGGTGTACCAAGTTCCTGAAACATAATTTATTTTCTCTCTCCGGTCTCCCATTTTTACTGAAGACAAATCATGGTACAACTGATTTGCTTTATTATACTTGGCCTGATTATTTGTATAAAGTGCAGCAAGAACAGTTATTTTTCACATAGGTTTTTAAAATTGGCTTTGATGAAACTTCATTCCATAAAAGGAAGCTTAGATAAGACTTTTTGTTAAAGCCAAGCCCAGCCATGGGTTTGTACCCTCAAATAACCTGTGAGTTGGGAAATTCCTCTCCTCTTGAGGTCCCAAGATGGCGTGGGGTTCCTGGGCCTGTCGGAAAGTGACATTCTTTACTAACCACAGGTCAGGAACCCTGCACAGGAACTGTGTAGACAAGGTATGAGGCCAGTTTTCCCAAGGAACTTTTATTGGCTCCATAAGTCAAGTTTGAGTCCTTAAAGGAAAGCACACCATTCCCATCAAAGTCCTGGTAAAACAACTAGTTTCTCTAATTGTGTCCTGTTGCAAAAGAAAACAGATTCTTATTGCACTTGTGCAAATAACTATATTGCCATAAGTTAATACTCACAAATAGTTTCCAAATTCCAGAGAAAGCAGGTAGAGAAAAACAAATATGCTCCAAATTTTGTTCACAGGAGTATACTTTACTCAATTGTCAAAAGCTGTAAGTAGCTCAAAAGTTTTCTTGGCTCTGAAAAACAAAAATGATCAGCAACGTTTTAAGCAAAAAGTCAGAAAAGATTACTTGAGTCTTTTGTTCAGTCCATGCAGTTAACTCCTGTTCTACTTGATATTCATAATCATTTCAGCTCTCCATGAGAGTCCTGAAAGAACCTCTGTTCTTCTTTTTTTTTTTTTTCTTGAGACAGTCTCACTCTGTCGCCCAGGCTGGCATGCAATGGCGTGATCTTGGCTCACTGCAACCTCTGCCTCCTAGGTTTAAGCGATTCTCCTGCCTCAGCCTCCTGAGTAGCTGGGCTTACAGGTACGCACCACCACGCCCAGCTAATTTTTGTATTTCTTAGTAGAGACGGGGTTTCACCACATTGGTCATGCTGGTCTCGAACTCCCAACCTCAGGTGATCCACCCACCTCGGCCTCCCAAAGTGCTGGGATTACAGGCGTTAGCCACTGCACCCGGCCTAAGAACCTCTATTCTAATGTCACAATCTCCAAAGTTATTAGAAACCTGCATCCAAGAGCACCTGTTGAAGTCCTATAATAGCTGACTATAAACCACCTTTTGAAGAGGATCAACACAGCAGTTGTCTGTGGTTGACAGAAAGTCTTAAGGCAGCCACTATTAAAGGCACAATTGACTAGGAATTTTGATTACTTTTGTGGCATACGATTTTACATAATAATTGTAATTATTAGTAACATATGCTAAGTCATATCACAATTCTAGGAGTTTCCCATTACTTTGGAACACATACCAATAACATATTTATATAAATACAGGTCAAAGAAAGCCAAACACCATTTCATATTTGACAGTGCTTCCTGTATGATTTTTATACCAAATAAGCCAAATTTCACCATTGCATTAGTGTACTATTAATGTTAAACCCAATTCTTAATAAAACATTATAGACAAATCTACCCAATTTTAATGTCAGACCAGAAGGTAAGATTCTTATAAACCTTTTATAACCCTTTACAAATTTTTGTTAAAGAGCAGATCAGTGCTCTAAGAAAACCTTGTTACGCTTTTATTCCAGTGTTCAATTTACGGAACTGTATCATACCCCTTTAACTTCAGCCAGTATGTTCACACACAGAATTTCTTTTAAAAGATTAATTTTTCACAAAATTTCCACAACTTTTGCAAACCTTCAGCTTTATCCTAACTTAAAACAATCCCTTAACCCTTTAATTTAGGCCAAAAAAAAAAAAAATCCACATTCACATGTCTCCTTCTCTTTTACCAAAAACACATTTCACTTTCCCTACACACCTTGCATGTAAAACTGTTTTTCCAGTAGTCTCAAGTAGATGTTACACTGTTAACTCTTAGCAGTGTTTATTTTTAGTGAAAAACTTGGTAAGCAATTTTAATTATGTACTAGGTATGGAGCCTAGGACACCAGGCAGAAGTGCAGATAAGGTCTGACACTTACTAGCATAGCTAGGAGGCATGGCTAACTCCACATGTCCCTAGGCCTTACCTAGAATCTAATGGCTGTAGGTAAGTTTAACAATTTTCAAAAGTCAAAGAGGCAGTTTATAAAGTTAAAGCGTTTAGCAAACCTAAAATTTGACCTGCCTGATTTAGACCGAATGTCTTTATTTTACCAATAATCTTTAAAATTTTCTTTACTTCCCACAGCTTAAGTCACACGAATTAAAAGGCATTACGCTTTTTATTTTTCTGACAAAATATTTGATTTAAACACTTATTTTTAAGCCAATTAATCAAAGCCTTTTATATCACACACACAACACATATAAATACACAGACAGAAGAAAATGTAGTAGTTGTAAGGTTTTTCCTTTGCCAGTTTCTTAATTGGATTAGTGGCTTTATGGTGGAGCCCTGGAGGAACAGGGCAAGGAAAGCATGCAGTTTCTATGGCCTAATAAGCAGGCACAATTGGAAGGCAAGACAGAGCCCCAAAACTTGAGGGTCCCATTTTTATATTGATCCTGGATCCCCCAAAGAGAAACGCTACAGAACACAACAGTGCAATGATTTTACCACATATTTCATTGCCAGGCAACCCAGAGCCAATCAGCCCTTTCTGAGATCAGCCCATCCCCCATGGGAGTCTTATCTCTCAGTGGGGAAGGGTGAGGACATCTCCATACCTTCCAGGTGGCCAAGAGCATGCTCTTAATCCAGACACACAAAGATCCAAGTATCCCCCACAGTGCCATTTAGCCATCCCCAAAAGTATTAAATGTATTTCCTACCTAGTTATATTACACACCAAAGTTCTCTCATAATGTGAAGTAATTTCTGATACCCCCAAAGTAAAAAACAGATAATGCAGTGCAAAACAGAACAGAGCCATAGATTTTGAGAGGGATCTATCCACTTTTAATAATTCTCGGGGTTCCATGAGGAAAATAGAGGTTTTTCCCAAAACAGGGTATGTGGTGCCTCCTCTGTTTTTCCTAAGAAGTCCCAGGCTGTTAGAGCTTGAATATCGACTTTTAATTAAGCTGACTTTTAACCATAGCACTCTTTAAAAAGTCGTTTTAAATATCTTATTACCCAACTTTAGCCACGCCAAACTGCCAATATTCCTGGCTTTTTAACTTTTCCAAATGTAACCTCCCAGGTGCTGAGAGAAAGGAAAATTTAAGACAGTTTATGAAAGGGAGGAGAATCAACAAATGGCACAGGTCACCCAAATGCCAACCAGAAAGTGCTCATTTTCTAGGCTAAAAATTGAACCTGAACTCAGGCCACCATTGTGAAAAGACAAAGCCTTAACTGCTAAGCTACAGCATTGGGCAGTTTCCACTGCTTTTCCCAGAAGGAGCCCAGAGCAGTAAATTTTGAGCTTGCAAAGGCTTTTAACTGCTCAAGATAATTTGTAGAGCTAACTACTACCCCAAAATCCCTGTTGCCTGGAAGGCAGAGACAAAGAGAAAGTACTGCCATATGATTACAAGGTCAAGCTCTCAGGGACATTTCTCAACATGTGGTCTTTGGGCAAGATGGTGGCCCTGAATAACAGAAAAGATAGGAAAGGGAAAGGAAAGAAAGGGAGAAAAGCATTGCCTGCAGCAGGCTGGGGAATGCAAGAAGCTCAGGGAGGCCAGAGAAAGACCCGCCCATTGCAGCTGACACTGAATCAGAAGTTCAGGTGGCTGCTTTTTGGGAGCGTAGGGATCTTTCCCAGCATTCCCATCAGCTCTAGTTTCCCCTTTTGGGGAGGAAAAAGCTCCCCATGTCCCATAATCTTGGACATGTCTAGTTCTGTCACCCACAGCCATCAGCAAAGAGTGCAAGGCAGATTAATCCAAAGAGAATAGCAGTTAACATCCCATAGTGCCAAACTGGTTCTTAGTCGAGAGGGACTCTACTGAGAGGGGCCTCCAACCCCCTAAATTTTAGGAAGGACTCTAACCTTCCTAAGTTGGGCATCAAACCCAAGTTCAGTCAAGCGTGCTTGCCTTTTATTAACAGGCACCTTTATCCCTCTCTTAGGAGAGACTCTAACTCTCCTAAGTTGGGCCTCTAACCCAATCCCATCCTTTACCCAGGTAACTGCATCCCACTTACCCAAGGTCGGCCAATCAGTGCTGCAGTCTATTTCCTTTGGGTTGGGAGTCTCCTCAGTATCATCCCTTTGGGGCTTGCCAGGAAGATGTTACCGGAAAGGGGTCCCAATCCAGACCCCAAGAGAGGGTTATTGAATCTCATGCAAGAAAGAATTCAGGGTGAGTCTATAAAGTGAAAGCAAGTTTATTATAGAAGTAAATAAAAAAGTGGCTACTCAATAGGCAGAGCAGCCGATTTGTATTTTCTTAATGATATTGATATTGGACATCTTTTTATGCGCTTGTTGAATATTTCAGTATCTTCCTTGGAGAAACGTTTATACAGATCCTTTGCTCATTTTAAAATTGGGTTGTCTTTTTGTGGTTGAGTTATAAGAGTGCTTTATATATATCCTGGATGCTAAACCCTTATTAGATATGTGATTTGCAAGTATTTCCTCCCATTCTGTTAATTGTCTTTTCACTTTATTGATAATCTCATTTGGTGCTCAAAAGTTTTTCATTTTGATGAATGAAGTTCAGTTTATCTAGTTTTTTATTTTGTTGCTTATACTTTTGTTGTTGTATCTAAGAATCCATTGCCAAATTCAGGGTCATTAAAGATTTACCTCCTGTGTTTTCTTCTAAGAGCTTTCTAATATATTTTTTGGGGATCTCATTCATTTTTGAAAGATAGTTTTACTGGATATAGAATTCTTGGTTGAAAAATAGCCAGACATGATGGCACTGGCCTGTAGTCCCAGCTCCCAGAGAGACTGAGGCAGGAGGATTGCTTGATCCCAGGAGTTGGAGACTGCCGTGAGCTATGATTGCACCACACTGCACTCCAGCCTGGGTGACAGAGTAAGATCCCTTCTCCAAAAAAAAAAAAAAAAAAAATTATTGGTTGACAGATTTTTTTCTTTCAGCCCTTTAATTTGTCACCTTTCGGCCTCCATGGCTTTAGATGAGAAATCAGTTGTTAATCTTACTGAGAAATCCTTGTACTTGAAGAGTCACTTCTCTCTTGCTGCTTTCTACAGTTTGGCTACAGTGTGTCTGGGTGTGGCTCTTTGAATTTATCCTACTTGGAGTTTGTCGAGCTTCCTGGTTATGCAGATTAATGTTTCTCATTAAATACAGGACTTTTCTACCATTATTTCTTCAAACTTTTTTTTGTCTTTTTTTCTCTCTGTCTTTCTAAGACCCTATAATATGTATGTTGGTACAATTGATGGTGTCCCACAAGTCTCTGAGGCTGTTTATTTTCTTCATTATTTTTTCTTCTGTTCCTTACACTTTATAATCTCAATTATCCTATCTTTAAGTTCTCTGATTCTTACTGCTGTTTATTTCTGCTGTTGAGCCCCTGCAGTGAATTTTTCATTTCAGTTTTTGTGCTTTTCAACTCCAGAATTTTTGTTTGGTTCTTTTTTTAAACTATTTTTTTCTTTATCAATATTTTCTATTCAGTGAGACATTGTTCTGATGGATCTTGTAGATTTTTGAACATGGTTTTCTTTAGTTCTTTGAACATATTTAAAATAGCATATTTAAAGTCTTCATCCATACGTCTAATGCCTGGGCTTCCTCTTAAACAATTTCTGTTAGTTGCCTTTTTTCTGCATGTGAACCATACTTTCTTGTTTCTTTGCATGCCTTGTGATATTTTGTTGAAAACTGGAACTTTTGAATTTTTACCGTGGCAACTCTGGAAATGAGATTCTTCCTTCTCCCCCAGGGTTTATTGACTGCTTGTTACAGTCATTGTTTGTATAGTTACTTTTCTGAGCTAATTTTATATAGTATATATTCTTTATCATGTGTGGCCTCTGAGTTCTCTGTTCCATTAATATAGTGGTCAGCTTGTGATTAGACAGAGATTTAAGCGCCTAGAACAAAAAATGTCTCCCAGTCTTTTGAGATGAGGTCTGTGTGTATGTTGGAGCACACCTTCAACACTCAGCCAGGCATTTGACGGTGATCCCTGAGCATTCGCTGCCTGCTTGCACAGATCCTGAAGGTCAGCCAGAGGTGAAAGCCTAGGGCCTTTTCAGGTCTTTCCTGAACATGTACACAGCCCTGGGCATTTGTGGAGCCTTCTGGATTTCCAAGAATGTGTCAGAGCTTTTCAAACCTTTATTTTCCAAAACATCTTACTCCTCAGCTTTTCTTCCCAAGCTTTTGGTTAAATCTATTGTTTGCCTCAACTGTTATTCAGTGCTTCAGGCAGCAGCAAATATGTTTGTCTGTAAATGTTTCCAATAACCTTTTCCCATCTTTCCCTAGTAGATGCCTCAGCACTGGGAGGTAAAGTCAAGCCCTTTGAGCCAGTCTTCCAGGGACTCAGTAGACAGGTCGAAACAAACAACTGCAGTTCTTTGCCGATGAGGCCCATTCTGCTCCCTCTGGGACCAGTGCATGCACCGGAGTGGCAGCCTCTTGTCTTCTAGGCCACTGCGGCAGCCAGGATGGGACCAGAGAAAGTTAAAATGCCATGGAACTCGCGGTTCTTGCTGAGATTCACCTGGTTTTTCTTGATTAAGCATTCTTCTGATTGCTGCAAGTTTTTAATTAGTTTTCCAAAGTTTTAAAATAGTAGATTCTAACGGTTTTTGCCTTTTTCTTTTTTTTTTTTTTTTTTGGAGACGGATTCTTGCGCTCTCACCCGGGCTGGAGTGCAGTGGCGCCATCACGGCTCACTGCAAGCTCCGCCTCCCAGGTTCACGCCATTCTCCTGCCTCAGCCTCTCTAGTAGCTGGGACTACAGGCACCCGCCACCACGCCCGGCTAATTTTTTGTATTTTTAGTAGAGATGGGGTTTCACCGTGTTAGCCGGGATGGTCTCGATCTCCTGACCTCGTGATCTGCCCACCTCGGCCTCCCAAAGTGCTGGGATTACAGGTGTGAGCCACCGCGCCCGGCCTAGTTTTTGCCAGTTTTTAAAATGTGTATATTGAAGGATGGACTTTGAGTTCCTTACTCAGCCATTTTTGTGGACATGATTTACTAGTCATAATTTAAATTGAATATTTTAGGACATATTAAATTATGATCAGTTTCGAGGTTGCCAAATTTACGTACACCTTACTTGGTTACACAAGAGATTTAAGATGGCTTACAAGGATAAATAGCATAAGAGATGCAATAAATTATCATTGTCAGTATTTGTTGGGTTGAGGGCATGTTAGTAAAAACTGCCCTCCCTGCTGTTAAGAACTTGATCCTACAGACAGAAATGTTTCCTTGGCAGCCTTGAGATTCTTGCCCTCTCTCTGTTACGTCAGTGGTGGGGAACCTGGGGCAGATTCGCCTCCGTGGCTTCTCCTGCATGACTGCGTTGGGCTGAGGGAGATATGCCAGGTTAGTGCCCAGCAGTAGGGATGGTTGTTACTGTCTGCCTCTGAGTTGATTGTGAGAAATGTGTCTCCAGTGTTGGTTTTCCTAAATCTAAAACTCTCCTTTGCTCAGGACAGGACAGGTAAGTGTTTATATCCTATTTGAGGACTTAAGACATCATGTCTATTGTCCTATTTGCTTCAGGAGGTGATCAGGGGATTCTTACACTTCAGATCAGAAGTGACTGCTCTTGGTGGCTGTTGATCACTGGGAGAGTCAAGAGTCATCAGTAAACCTGAGACTTGTCCATCCCCTGGTTCTGGTGCCTGTTGAGGTGTCTGTCTCCTGCTTTCCCAGGAGCCAGTTCAGTCCTGTGGCCACCTCATTGATATAGAAGGTCACGGGGCTGCCGGCTGGGCTCTGCTCAGGGTTCGTGTCATTTCTTTCTTCAGCTTTTGTTTAGAAAGCATATTTTCCTTGAGCAATGTCTGTCAATTTGACATAGTGGCTCATTTACTAGTCTTACTTGAGAACACCTCCTTTTGACATTGCTTCTGTGATAGAATTAGAGCTGCTTTCTGTTTTTATATATTGGATTGTCCCTTTTTCATCAGCATCACTCATAAGTTAATCTGAATTTTTTTTTTTTTTTTTTTTGAGATGGAGTCTCATTCTGTCACCGAGGCTGGAGTGCAGTGGCACGATCTCGGGTCACTGAAACCTCTGCCTCCCAGGTTCAAGCAATTCTCCTGCCTCAGCCTCCCAAGTAGCTGGGACTACAGGCATGTGCCACCATGCCCAACTAATTTTTGTATTTTAGTAGAGACGGGGTTTCACCATGTTGGCCAGGGCTGGTCTTGAACTCCTGACCTCAAGTGATTTAGCCGCCTCAGCCTCCCAAAGTGCTGGGATTACAGGCGTGAGCCACTGTGACTGGCCTAATAAAATTAAGATTTCTCTTCATTAAAAGACACTATAAATAAAGTCAAGCCATAGTGCTGGCTTTGGCAGCACATATACTAAAATTGGAATGATACAGAGAAGATTAGCATGGCCCCTGCACAAGGATGACATGCAAATTCATGAAGCAGTTCCGTATTTTTAAAACACATGCACACATATGTTTATTGCAGCACTATTTACAATAGCAAAGACTTGGAACCAACCCAAATGCCCATCAGTGATAGACTGGATAAAGAAAATGTGGCACATATACACCGTGGAATACTATGCAGCCATAAAAAAGAATGAGTTCATGACCTTTGCAGGGACATGGATGAAGCTGGAAACCATCATTCTCAGCAAACTAACAGAGGAATAGAAAACCAAACACCACATGTTCTCACTCGTAAGTGGGAGTTGAACAGTGAGAACACATGGACACAGGGAGGGGAACATCACACACTGGGGCCTGTCGGAGGGTGGGGATAGCATTAGGAGAAATACCTAATGTAGATGACGGGTTGATGGGTGCAGCAAACCACAACGGCACGTGTATACCCATATAACAAGTCTGCATGTACTGCACATGTATCCTAGAACTTAAAGTATAATAATTTAAAAAAAAGTCAAGCTATAAATAGGGAAAAGACATCTGTAATACATAAAACTAACAAAGGATTAGCTGTTAACATATTAAATAGATGGGGAATCTCCCCAAATCAATATTACGAGACAGGAACCCAATTAAAAAAATGACACCACCAGGCGCAGTGGTTCATGCCTGTAATCCCAGCACTTTGGGAGGCTGATGTGGAAGGATCATTTGAGGCCAGGAGTTTGAGAGCAGACTGGGGAACATAGCGAGACCCCCAGCTCCTGAAAAAATAAAAAAATTAGCTGGGCATGGTGGCATGTGCCTATAATCCTAGCTACTCTGGAGGCTGAGGTGGGAGGATTGCTTGAGCCCAGGGGGTCGAGGCTGCAGTGAGCCATGATGGCACCACTATACTCCAGCCTGGGCAACAGAACGAGACTCCATCTCTTGAAAACACACACACACACACACACACACACACACACACACACACACAAAACAATGACAAGAAGGCACAATTTGGCATTTCACGGAAGAGAAAACAAGTGGCCTCTCAGCATATGAAAAGATGCCAAACCTTTCTAATCAGGATAAGGGGCATAAAGACCATAGTCCTTGGTTGGTAGAAATTAAGATGACTGATAACTGTAAGTGTTGGTGAGAGTGTGGTTTCATAGAAATTCTTGTGCTGCTAGTGGAAGTATTTGTTGTTACCTCTGCTTTGGAGAGCAGTTTGGCACTCATTTACAAAACTGGCCTTTCGTACAACCTACACACCAGCGACTCCTCTCTGCTCTTTAGATGTAGAGTCCAGAGCAAGGACTGGTAAACTCTTTCTGTTACGGGCAAGAGAGTAAATATCCTAGGCTTTGTGGACTACATACACACTTAGTCTTTGTTTTTATAACACTTAAAAAATCTAAAAAGCATTCTTAGTTCAAAGACCTTACAAAAATAGGCTGCTGGCTGGATTTGATTTGCAGGCTGTAGTTTGCCAATTCCTGGTTCTCTGATCTAGGGGACGCATCCTGGAGAAACTTAGTTACATGCAGTCTTAGTGGCAGGAGGGCCAGGGGAAAAGCACAGAGCGGTATGGGGGAGTTGAGAGAGACTGGGAGGGTGGCCTCCTGGAGAAGGTCGGGGGCTGGACTGCATGTGTCTGGGTAGGCTCAGCCATGGCCTGGCTGGGTGGGCCTAGGGGAACGTAGAGCTTCTGAGGCACAATAGGCCAGTGTGGAGAGCAGAGTGGCAGGCAGGGCTGGGGGCTGCAGGTCGAGGCTGGTCAACCCTTTTACCTGGCGGGCAAGGCTAGTACCAGGTGCCCTTGCTACTTAGCTTGGAAAGATTAGTGAGCATCATAATGGACCGGCAAGTTTGTAAGCAAATGACATCTATAATACATATACTTTAACATTAATGTTTTGAAAACTTTGTTTTCACAAATAAGTAATTTCCCACATTTTGCCACAGTTATGTTCTATGAAGCTAACCCAAGTGTGGCTAGAACGCCAGTTCATCCATCTCTCAAATTGTCTGCTGCCGGCGTTCATTCCTGTTTGCTTCTAGCTGTAAAGTCAGGCTAGGAGTCTGTCAGCTCATGTGCCTGTCAGCTTCATGCAGGCAGCAAGAACGGGGCTCGGAAGCAAGGGCTCCGCCCGCCCACCCAGCAACTACCTCCCCAGGATGCCCAGGAGCTCAGGGGTGGAAGGAATTTGGCTCTTATTTTTCTAAGTAGCAAAAATAGATGAATTGGGTACAGGAACGCAGTGTATTTTTGAGGGAGCTGGTGAGTTGTGAAAGAAACTTCCTCTGTTCACCTGAGGCTTACCGTATCGTGAGAAAGGATGGAGGAGGCATGGAGGTGGGAAACTCTACACAAGAAAAATCCTATAGTGCAGCAGCTACTGATGTGAGGCGGCTGGTCTAGGCAGCGGTGTTCCCTGAGGCTCCTGAGTCTGGTTCTCACTGGGTCCCTCACCTCCCTTCACAGCCACTCCCTTCCTTACCAAGGTACATGGGAGTACAGGGCTGGCCAGGGGCTGTTGACAGTGGGGGAGTGGTGCAGGCTGAGCCTTAGAGACAGGAAGGGCATCTGTGCTGGAGCTGCCCTGCAGAAGCCTCGTAAAGGTCGTAAGGCACTGGGCAAAAACTTTTCCAAGAAAGTTCATGGTGCACACGCTGACCTAAACACTGGCCGACATTCCCAAGGTTTTTTTCATTATGGAAGTGCATGGCCATTGCATGGTATCCAGAAAACAAAGACCAGAGAAGCCAGACTTTATACCACCATCTGGAAACATTTAATTTGTGCTTTAGGTAAGTGTTAGCAAATATTTAGGATGATTGATCAAATCATTAGTGTGTTTATGAGTGCATGGTGTAATTTTTACTAAAGCTCACATTTCTTCAGGAACTCGATTCAACTCCTTTACATTCCTGGTTATTTTCATTTACTTGATCTTGAGGTCTCATCTGGCAGAGCTGTGCAAGCTGGGACCTTTGTGGCTTATTTTGAGGAGCTGTTTACTTTACCTGTTGATGGGAACTTGCAGGTGGGAGGCAGCCAGTCTTAAAGAGTACCTTGTTAGCAAGTGTGGAAGAGAGTCCGCGCAGACAGACTTGCCCTATGTGGTGTCCCCTCTGCCAGCCCAGCCCTTGGGCACATTGGCACCTACCTGAACCCGAGCCCCCTCATGCACACAGGGAGCCGCACCTCCCTCACACGCTCCTCACCAGTGTGACATGGTGTGACGTGCTCTGTGGGTCCACAACGGGCCCACTCCACAGCTCTGTGCACAGCATGCTGGGTCAGGGTGGTGCTAGATTAATAAGATGAGGGTGAATGTCAAAACTGAGCACTTTGAGTACTGTGGGCACACTGTCACAGGGTTTACCCAGGAAGGAACAACCCCTGGGCTCCAGAAGCAGGTTGACCAGGCCAGTCTGAGTTGTAGCATTGAGACTCATCTAGCGGAAGTCAATGAGGAAGGAAAACTGGCTGAGAACAGCTGTTGTTTCAGTTAAAATCTCAGAATGATGCATTGAATTCAAAGTTACAACACAGCAAAATAGTATATGTATTTTTTTAAACCTCAAAAATACTGTATTATTAACTTTAAAACATTTTTGGCTGGTGTGGTGGCTCACACCTGTAATCCCAGCACTTTGGGAGGCTGAGGCAGGCAGATCACGAGGTCAGGAGATTGAGATCATCCCGGCTAATGTGGTAAAACCCCGTCTCTACTAAAAATACAAAAAATTAGCCAGGTGTGGTGGTGGCCGCCTGTAGTCTCAGCTACTCGGGAGGCTGAGGCAGGAGAATGGCATGAACCTGGGAGGCGGAGCTTGCAGTGAGCCAAGATGGCGCCACTGCACTCCAGCCTGGGCAACAGAGCGAGACTCCGTCTAAAAAAAAAAAAAAAAAATTTTTGGAGACAGGGCCTCGCTCTGTTGCTCAGCCTAGAGTGCAGTGGTGCCATCATAGCTTGGTGCAACCTTCAACTCCTGGGCTCAGCAATCTTTCCACCTCATCCCAATTTATTAAGTATACTTTTTAGGAAGTTTTTTGAATAATAATATCAATAGTTACTATGTGTTTGGGTAAAATAGAAAGGATGGAAGCATATTTGATCATGTTTTGTTCCCAACACATATTAAAGTTGGGAAGGATTCTTGTGTTGCCTAAAACTGAAAGACAGCAGGTCTCAGGCACTTTTGCTTTCCCAAAGCTGTGTTTGTTTCCTTGCATGAGAGGATATGATGGCACTCTACTGTTTTTTCCCGACAGAACTCCTCTTTCCTAAAATGGAGTCGAGTAAAAAGATGGACTCTCCTGGCGCGCTGCAGACTAACCCGCCGCTAAAGCTGCACACTGACCGCAGTGCTGGGACGCCAGTTTTTGTCCCTGAACAAGGAGGTTACAAGGAAAAGTTTGTGAAGACCGTGGAGGACAAGTACAAGTGTGAGAAGTGCCACCTGGTGCTGTGCAGCCCGAAGCAGACCGAGTGTGGGCACCGCTTCTGCGAGAGCTGCATGGCGGCCCTGCTGAGGTAGGCGCCCTCGCCCGGCCCGTCGCCCGGCCCCTTCTCAGCCCTCGGCCTCACCCTCTCCTTCATTCGTTTCTCTAAAAATAAACCTCTAGAGGTTTAAAGCCCTAAAGAAGTCCATAAAAGCCTCCGGGCCCAGCTTGTGAATCCTTTAGGGAGGTGCAGTGGGATCCCACGTGTGGGTTTACTGAGGCCTCTGCGTGTCTCTGACCTGCCCCGCCCGTGTCTTCCCACTCCGTCTGTAGAGCCTTGGTGCCCCTCATATGTGTTGCTGTATTTTATTGAGGAACCTCACAGTTCCATGGAGGAGATACACCAGGAAATGACAAGCCAGTCATTTAAGGGCACGTGTGCTGGTGTGCAAGGATGCCGCAGAGAGGAGGGAGGATGGGGTCAGCTTAAAGGACTGGACAGGTCCCTACCCGAGCAGAAACCTAGGCCGCATGCTTACTCAGCAGGCGTGTGTGGAACATGCACCGAGCCCATGGCAGCCCTTTGCTGCTGAGTGCCAGTGCTGGTACCGCTGGTGGATCATGAAGGCAGGCTGGAGCTTTACTGCAGAATAGCATCGGCCAGAAGAGCACCTTGATTCACCCTGCAGGCCTCATGTTTTCTGGCATTGTGCTGGGTGCTGGGGTCGCTGCGGGATGCCCTGGTCTTGGCCACTGCCGTCAGGGCATGTCGGCCTGGGAAGGTTGCCAGCTCCTCCTCCCACAGCACTCAAGCCTGGGCTGCACCCGAGCCCCAGCCTGGGCACAGCAGCCAGCCCCCTGCCCTGTCACCTGCCTTCACCCTCCCCCTTCTCCATGCTTCCCTCTGTGGTCTTACCCACTCATCCCAAATAGTCAGCTAACCTTTGCCCACTTGGGGGCAAAATGACACTTGAGCTTAGTGACAGCACAGGAGACACAGAACACCGTGTCTCCTAACACAAGAGCCTGGACTACACCTCTGGGCCCAGGAGAAGCTTCCCGGTGGAGGAGGGGCTGGAGCCCCCATATATGGTGGGCCACAGGGGAGGGAGGCTGGTCCCCCTGTGCAGGTGCCATTGGCCTTCCAATAGACAGTGAAGCCAAATGGCCTGTGGAGAAGGGCTGGCTGCTTTTACAACGCAGGAGCAAGGCTCTCCAAGTAAACAGGTACTCACACTGAAGAGCTGCTCTGCAGACAGCTAGCTTTGGTTTCTGAAATAAAATTTCACTTTTACATTAAGTGGAAGGGGCTTTCCAAGTGGGACTGAACTAAACTGTTCTACTTGGTAACTTCCTTTTGAAAAATCAGCATTTTAAAAAATGTAGCCCTTTTCTCCCATGGCTTCCTATGTAAAGTGAATCACCAGGGCGTCCTGAAGCTCTGCTGGTTGCTGTGAGCCACTGTGCAGACCTGACCATAAAGTGAATGCTCCCAGAATCTCCTGAGTCCTCTCAAGAAAGGGACTTCCACTCTAATGCAGTCACTTGTGTTTCCCTGCAGCTCTTCAAGTCCAAAATGTACAGCGTGTCAAGAGAGCATCGTTAAAGATAAGGTATTCTGGGGTTTTTTTTAATCATTTTGTCACATGTTTTCAGCTGGGTAATACTTTTCACATAGTTTGCATTCGGCACTCTGGCACAACACATTCTCTCAGTTTTGGCAGCTGATGCGGCAGGCTCCCAGGCAGGACACTGTGCCATGTGATCACCTGGGCAGACAGTGGATTCAGATCCACTTGGCCACTTCCCTACTGTGTGAACTCTGTGAGCTACTTCACCCCCTCACCTGTAATAATCATATCACCTGCTAAGACCGCAGGGAGCTGGTGTGAGGAGTAAGGGGTTGATGTGAGCAAAGTGCTGAGATGCCTGTCTGTGGCAGGGCTGTCTGTGGTTGGGTCACTTCCGTCATTGCAGGTCTTTATCCCAGACAGCTTCTACTCAACTCTTACACTAGGTTTTACCTTCAGACTCGCTAGGCTGAGGGGTTCATTTGAGTTTGTGCTCCCTGCCCCCCAGGCCCCCTGTGATATCTTTAAGTCATTAGACATGAGTGAGATTAGCCCCTTCTCGCCCCCTGTGGCTGTCCTCAGCTAGAGCCCGTGGGCGTCTCTGCACATTCAGAGGATGGGGCTGCCCAGCCTGCCACCAGCTTCTCTCCTGGGGCCTGGTCCTTCTCATGGAGACTGACAGTCATCCATGTGCTGCTGTACCCTGCCAGGTATACTTGGAGTTTGAAACAATTCTTTTCTTTTCTTTCTCTCTCCTTTCTTTCTTCTTTTTCTTTTTTTTTTGCGACAGAGTTCACTCTTGTTGCACAGGCTGGAGCACAATGGCACGATCTTGGCTCGCTGCAGCCTCCACCTCCCAGGTTCAAGCAATTCTCATGCCGCAGCCTCCCGAGTAGCTGGGATTACAGGCACGAGCCACCACGCCCAGCTAATTTTTGTATTTTTAGTAGAGACGGGGTTTCACCGTGTTGGTTAGGCCAGTCTCGAACTCCTGACCTCAGGTGATCCACCTGCCTCGGCCTCCCAAAGTGCTGGGATTACAGGCATGAGCCACCGCACCCAGCAATTCATTCTTAAAGTGCTTAAAATATCAATAAAAATGTGTGTTTCCCTACTTTGAGTAATATACCTAACCATTTTTTAAATGCAGGTCACTAAGTTGTACAATAAAATTCTTACTCTGGGGTTTTCCTGTCTAAAGCACCTTGCAGATTGGGTTTGTTGGTCAGAGCAGCCCAGGTGAGTGCAGTGATTTGAGGATTGCTGGTAGTCAGTGTCCCTGGGCTGCCAGGCACACAGGCATCCAGTATAGCCGCTCTGGAAGGGGGAGAGATGGAATTGGCCACCTGGCCCTGTACCTTTTCTTTCTCTGCATTTACCTGCTGCTGCTGCAGGCTTGGTTAGTTCCTTGAGTGAAAACAGCCCCTCCCCTCCACTCTGTGCCTTGGCCTAGCATGGTACTCGGCCGCCTTGTTAACATGTGCCTAACGTGTGAGTGAGAGAGAAGCTCGCGACGATGGCTGAGATGTTTTTTTAGTATCTCTGTTTTGTTATGCAGAATCATTATCCCTATTTTTTAATGACATAAGTAGCTGAAGAAAAATGGCTAGTTTTATCAAAGAATCATGAACGAGATGCACTCAAGTTGTGGACCCTCATGGAGAGAATGGAGCTGTCTGGGCCCCGGGTGACCCGGATCCTCACCCGTCAGCAGGTCATCCAGGGGTGGGCGGGCCTCTGGTCTTCATCTGTAAACAGAGACATTTTGAGTAAATAGTCTCAGATCCTTTCCATTCCAAAGTTCTGTTGACTTTAGTATCTCAAGTCATGACCTTCTTTTTTTTTTAGTCATGTTTATGAAAGATAAGCTTTGGCTCCAAATTAGTTTATTTTTAACTCTTAACAGCTGTTGATTTTATTTCTCTCAGCAGTCCAAAAAGGCACATTAAGCTCCTGTTATTCCACTTTCATAGAGCAACAGGCAGGAGTTTCTTAGAAATAACCTTTGGACTAAGATGTTGTAGATCGTGTTGTTAGAAAGAGTGAGAGGGAGCTGGGCATGGTGCCTTATGCCTGGGATCCCAGGACTTTGGGAGGCTGAGGCAGGTGGATCACTTGGGCTCAGGAGTTCGAGACCAGAGTGGGCAGCATATGGAGACCCCATCTCTACAAAAATGAAAATTAAAAAGTTACCTGGGCTTGGAGGCATGCGCCTGTAGTTCAAGCCACTCAGGAGGCTGAGGTGAGAGGATCGCTTGAGCCCAGGAGTTTAAGGGTGTAGTGAAGCCATGATTGCACCAGTGCGCTCCAGCCTGGGTGACAGAGTGAAACCCACCCTGTCTCTTTTTGAGACAGAGTCTCACTCTCTTGCCCAGGCTGGAGTACAATGGCGTGATCTCAGCTCACTGCAACCTCCTCCTCCCGGGTTCAAGCGATTCCCCTGCCTCAGCCTCCCGAGTAGCTGGGACTACAGGCATGTGCCACCACACCCGGTTAATTTTTTTGTATTTCTAGTAGAGATGGGGTTTCACCGTGTTGGCCAGGCTGGTCTCAAACTCCTGACCTCAGGTGATCCACCCACCTCGGCCTCCCAAAGTGCTGGGATTACAGAGGTGAGTCACTGTTCCCAGTCAACCCTGTCTCTTAAAAAAAGAGTGAGAATGAGAATACTTGTGTTTTCTAAGGGAAAAATAAAATTAAAAGTTGAAAGGTTTTTTCTTCTTCTTTTTTTTTTTTTTAAAGAAATGGGGGTCTCCCACTGTCGCCCAGTCTGGAGTGCAGCAGTGCGATCATGGCTCACTGCATCCTCTACCTGCCAGGCTAAAGCAGTCCTCTTGCCTCAGCCTCCTGAGTAGCTGAGACTGCAGGCGCATATGCTGCCTTGCCCAGCTAATTTTTTAAAAAAATTTTTGTAGAGATAGGGTCTCATTGTGTTGCCTAGGCTGGTCTCAAACTCCTGGACTCAAGCAATCCTCCTGCCTCGGTTTCCCAAAGTGCTGGGATTTTAGGCTTCAGCTACCACGCCCAGCCTCGTTTTCATTTTCAAAGGGAAATCTTTTCATTATTAGACTAACTTCAGACTGCAATATATGTTTAAAGAGAGTGTTTTTCAACCACAGGCTAATGCTGCTTTTTTTGGTGAAAAATGAGTTTTAACAGCATGACCTTTAGAAGGAACCAACAGTTTTACAAATCATTCCCCAAATATGGTCTCTTATGTGGTCTCTCCATTTCTCCAGCAAGCGATCTATACAATGTATTCAGTTGTGTCCAGTTCTGCTCTTGTCCTCTGGTGACAGCTGCACCATAATGGCCACCTGCTCCGTGCTGGCTCCCGGAAGGCCCCAGAGTCTGAATGTGAACCTGGTCCTCCTCTGCCCTCATCCTGAAATTATGTCAAAGTTAATAGAAGATGTTTAGATGCTCCAGAGTGATCGTTAATTATCAAGTCTAATTCATTTTCTTTTGGCTTAACTAATAAAAGATAACAGTTAATGTTATTTAAATTGTGTCTCTTAGTGGGGGCAGCTTCTTCATTCTACTTCTAGAAATCAAGATGGTCCTTAATGCTTTCTGAAGTTCACTTAAGAGTTCCTCTCTTGTTTTTTTTTTTTAAGTGGTTTTGCCTTGTCCAAAGTAGCAGCATGTGGAGATTAAGAAATATTAATCCTCCAAAATAATGATCTTTCATTTTCAGGTGTTTAAGGATAATTGCTGCAAGAGAGAAATTCTGGCTCTTCAGATCTATTGTCGGAATGAAAGCAGAGGTTGTGCAGAGCAGTTAATGCTGGGACATCTGCTGGTGAGTAGCAAAGGGACACTGGAACCTTTTACATGAAGGAATTCGAGTCCCTTACATCCAGCTGATGAAGTGGTCAGTAGGATGTGGCACTTTAAGACCATGTTGACATTAGTTTTTCAAAACACAGCCAAATAGGAAAGCAGTCAGAACCACTTGAGTATAAGTTGTTATTTTTATGACATCATTGGCAGAATTGTCAACTGGTTTTTAAACACTCCCCCCCCTACTTAGAATAGAGAAAATCTGAATTGGATTTTAATTTTGGAAGGCCCATTAAAACCTTTTTTCACCATGAAATTCTACATAACTTCTTATTTTTTTAGTTAGTACCATATTTTAGCTTAGAAAATTATTTGAACTGGAATAAAACAAAGTTCTTAGCAGATATTCATTTATCCTGGAAGCAGAGTTGACTTAATTCTTCAACAACAATATGGTTTGAGTAATCATGAAATAGAATATGAAATTCAGTGTCTCTTGGCATACTTGTTACTCTTTGCTGTGGAAAACTGGTCTAACAGCAGATGAGAAACATTTCTTTAGGGTTTCATTGCATAGAGATTAGAATCTGGTATTTCAGATTTAGGGTTTTTTTCCCAATTAAGAACATTGAATGGTCTGTCTTACAGGTGCATTTAAAAAATGATTGCCATTTTGAAGAACTTCCATGTGTGCGTCCTGACTGCAAAGAAAAGGTCTTGAGGAAAGACCTGCGAGACCACGTGGAGAAGGCGTGTAAATACCGGGAAGCCACATGCAGCCACTGCAAGAGTCAGGTTCCGATGATCGCGCTGCAGGTGCGGGTCCTCCCATTCCACAGGCCTTCCACTCAATTCCTATATGATACATTCCACAGGCCTTCCGCTCAATTCGTAGATAATCCGTTCCACAGGCCTTCCCTCAACTCATAGATAATCCGTTCCACAGGCCTTCCACTCAGTTCATAGATATTCCGTTCCACAGGCCTTCCGCTCAATTCATAGATAATCCGTTCCACAGGCCTTCCCTCAACTCATAGATAATCCGTTCCACAGGCCTTCCGCTCAGCTCACAGATAATCCGTTCCACAAGCCTTCCGCTCAATTCGTAGATAATCCATTCCACAGGCCTTCCGCTCAGTTCATAGATAATCCGTTCCACAGGACTTCTGCTCAGTTCGTAGATAATCCGTTCCACAGGCCTTCCCTCAACTCATAGATAATCTGTTCCACAGTCCTTCCGCTCAATTCATAGATAATCCGTTCCACAGGCCTTCCCTCAACTCATAGATAATCCATTCCACAGGCCTTCCACTCAATTCATAGATAATCCGTTCCACAGGCCTTAGGCTCAATTCATAGATAATCCGTTCCACAGACCTTGTGCTCGATTCATAGATAATCTGTTCCACAGGCCTTCCCTCAACTCATAGATAATCCGTTCCACAGGCCTTCCGCTCATCTCGTAGATAATCCGTTCCACAGGCCTTCCGCTCAGCTCATAGATAATCCGTTCCACAGGCCCTCCCCCAACTCATAGATAATCCATTCCACAGGCCTTCCGCTCAGCTCATAGATAATCCATTCCACAGGCCTTCCGCTCAGCTCATAGATAATCTGTTCCACAGGCCTTCTGCTCAGTTTGTAGATAATCCATTCCACAGGCCTTCCGCTCAATTCATAGATAATCCGTTCCACAGGCCTTCCGCTCAGCTCATAGATAATCCATTCCACAGGACTTCTGCTTAGCTCATAGATAATCCATTCCACAGGCCTTCCGCTCAACTCATAGATAATCCGTTCCACAGGCCTTCCGCTCAGCTCATAGATAATCCATTCCACAGGACTTCTGCTCAGCTCATAGATAATCCATTCCACAGGCCTTCCGCTCAGCTCATAATCTGTTCCACAGGCCTTCCGCTCAGCTCATAGATAATCCGTTCCACAGGCCTTCCGCTCAGCTCATAGATAATCTGTTCCACAGGCCTTCTGCTCAGCTCATAGGTAATCCCTTCCACAGGCCCTCCCTCAACTCATAGATAATCCATTCCACAGGCCTTCCGCTCAGCTCATAGATAATCCATTCCACAGGCCTTCCGCTCAGCTCATAGGTAATCCCTTCCGCAGGCCCTCCCTCAACTCATAGATAATCCGTTCCACAGGCCTTCCGCTGAGTTCATAAATAATCCATTCCACAGGCCTTCTGCTCAATTAATATATACTTCTTCCACTGTACAGCTTCTTAAAGACTATTCTAATAGGACTAAAGAGAAAAGATAGGAATAAATAGCACTTTTTATCTGACTTTATTTCAGAATTAAGCTTTGTTTTGCCTATTTTGATTTATGTAGTTAACATTTTCCATTGCCTTGATTGACTATCATTTAGTATGTCAAAAAATGAATAGTTATTCAAAAAAGGTAAAATTTTTATCTTGTCCTAGGGAATTGCCTCAAAATGTTGATAGATTGCCTGGTCTTATTACAGCTCTGTGACATAACCATCACTTACAACAGGCTAATTTGTCCTACAGCATTGAAATGCAGCTGTTTATCTTGGAGAGAGACAGCTTCTCATACTTCGGTTACTTTGGCACAGTTTTGCATTGTGTGTTTCTGTGGGGGTGAGTGTGTGAATGTGGGTGAGTGTGTGGGGGTAAGTGTGTGTGGGGGTGAGTGTGAATGTGGGTGAGTGTGTGGGGGTGTGTGAATGTGGGTGTGTGTGTATGGGTGAGTGGGTGAATTAAAGAGGAAAGCAGAGATGTTGGGGGTGGAGGACACACTTAGAAAACAATGCATTTGTTGAACAAACACCTATTGGGTACCTACTGTGCGCCGGGCAGTATTCCAGGAGCTGGGGACTCAGTGGTGAGGCTCCTCTAGTGGGAAAAAATACTAACAAATGTGTAACATCGGGTAGTGATCAGTTCCATGAATAAAAATCAGGTGGCATCAAGGGAAGAGAGGTGATCAGCACTGGCTTGTCTGAGGCAGCCAAGGGACAGTGGGGGAGCATGTGGACCCTAAGCTGGAACTGGCAGGGCTGTGGGGTTCAGGAGCTGTGTGGAACACAGGTCAGATGTGAGGGCAGTGGGGCAGCCAGAGGGTGAGGGGAAAGGCACTGGGCAGCCCAGAACTGGGAGGGTGAGAGGGGCCCCGGGGCAAGGCCTGGTGTTGCTGGGGTGGGGGAAGGTTGTACTGGGGTGTGCCTGAGGGTGGAGCGGTAGGATTGGCCAGCAGGTGGGGTATGAGGTAAAGGTGACTCCCAGTGCTTGTGGAGAACCTAGGTGTCCTGCCGAGGGGGTGCCCAGTGAGTGGAGGGTGATGGGCTTGGGGGAGAATGGGGAGTGGAGCCATGCAGGCTGCAGATGGGGGTGAGTTTGGTGGCTCGCAGGATCATGGGGCTGGAGCGAGTGGAGAGGAGGACAGAGCTCGTGGGGGCCTGGGCACACCCTCAGAGGCTGCCTAGAGGCTGGGGTGGGCTTGGCCATGAAGTGACTGAAGGGAGGCACCAGGGCAGCTCAGCCAGGGCGTGGGCCATCATCCAGTTCCTGGTAGATATTGTGGAATGGTTTGTTTTGTTTGAGAGAGAGTCTCACTCTGTCATCCAGGCCTGGAATGCGGTGACACAATCTCAGCTCACTGCAGCCTCTTTCTCCCAGGTTCAAGTGATCCTCCCACCTCAGGAACCATAGGTGCATGCTACCATGCCTGGCTAATTTTTGTATTTTTTGTAGAGACAGGGTCTTGCCATGTTGCCCAGTCTGGTCTCAAAACTCCTGGGCTTAAGCCATCTGCCCACCTCAGCCTCCCAAAGTGGTGGGATTATAGGCGTGAGCCATCGCACCCAGCCGTGGAGCTCTAATGACCAAAATTTAGGGAGAGTTTCTTTTGCTTTTTTCTCTATGAAATGAGTTGTAGTCCTCTTAGGTTGGTGCAAAAGTAATTGCGTTTTTTGCCATTAAAAGTAATGGCAAAAACGGCAATTACTTTTGCACCAACTAAATACTTTATAATCTCTGAATTTGCCTTGCTTTCTGTAATTTTCCTGTGTCCATGTCTTTCTTCCATTGTGAAATCTTTTTCTTGTGTGGTACTTCAGATGTTTCCAGTTATTAAGAACTCTTGAGGCTGGGTGTGGTAGCTCACACCTGTGTGCCCAGCACTTTGGGAGGCTGAAACAGGAGGATCACTTGAGCTTTGGAATTGGAGACCAGCATGGGCAACATAGCAAGACTCTGCCTCTACGAAAAATAAAAATTTAGCCGGGTGTGCTGAAGCATACCTGTAGTTCTAGCTACTAGGGAGGCCAAGGTAGGAAGATTACTTGAGCCAGGGAGTTTGAGACTGGTAGTGAGCCATAATTGCACCACTGCACTCAGCCTGGGTGACAGAGTGAGACCCTGTCTCAAAAAAAAGAACTTTTAAGAACTGTGCCCTCCCCTTTGGAAAATAGCAGTAGTGTTTTTTTGGAGTCAAGTAATTCCTCCAGGCTGTGCATAATGGCTCATGCCTATAATCCCAGAACTCTGGAAGGCCAAAGCAGGAGGATTGCTTGAGGCCAGGAGTTCAAAACCAGCCTGGGCAACAAAGTGAGACCCCATCTCTAGAACGAAAATAATAATTTCTCCAGTTGTTAAATTTCAGTGAATGAGACACATGCCTAATTAACAAGACTTCAGGCTTTACATATGTTAATATGTTGCCATCTCATGCCAGTCAGAATGGCGATTATTAAAAAGTCAAAAAACAACAGATGCTGGCAAGGTTGCAGAGAAAAAGGAATGCTTTTACACTGTTGGTGGGAGTGTAAATTAGTTCAACCATTGTGGAAGACAGTGTGACGATTCCTCAAAGATCTAGAGGCAGAAATAACATTTGACCAAGCAGTCCTATTACTGGGTATATACCCAAAGGAATATAAATCATTCTATTATAAGGATACATGCACATGTATGTTCATTGAAGCAGTATTGACAATAGCAAAGACATGGAATCAACCTAAATGCCCATCAGTGATAGACTGGATAAAGAAAATGTGGTACATCTATACCATGGAATACTGTGTATCCATAAAAAGGAAGGAGATTGGCTGGGCGCCGTGGCTTACGCCTATAATCGCAGCACTTTGGGAGGCCGAGGTGGGCAGATCACCTGAGGTTGGAAGTTCGAGACCAGCCTGACGAAAATGGAGAAACCCCATCTCTATTAAAAAAACAAAATGAGCCGGGTGTGGTGGCAGGTGCCTGTAATCGCAGGTGCCTGTAATCCCAGCTACCTGGGAGGCTGAGGCAGGAGAATCGCTTGAACTCAGGAGGCGTAGGTTGCAGTGACCCAAGATCATGCACTCCAGCCTGGTCAACAAGAGCGAAACTCCGTCTCAAAAAAAAAGATCTGCCGGTCACGGTGACTCACACCTCTAATCCCAGCACTTTTGGGAGGCCAAAGCGGGTGGATCACCTGAGGTCAGGAGTTCAAGACCAGCCTGGCCAACATGGTAAAACCCCATCTCTACTTAAAATACAAAAATTAGCTGGGCATGGTAACACATGCCTGTAATCCCAGCTACTCGGGAGACTGAGACAGGAGAATCACTTGGACCCGGGAAGTGGAGGTTGCAGTGAGCCAAGATTGTGCCACTGCACTTCAGCCTGGGCGACAGAGCAAGACTCCGTCTCAACAACAAAAACAAAAAAAAAAAAAAAGAAAAAAAGGAAGGAGATCATCTACTTTGCAGGGACGTGGATGGAGCTGGAAGTCATTGTCCTTAGCAAACTAACACAGGAACAGAAAAACACCACATGTTCTCACTTATAAGAGAGAGCTGAACAATGAGAACACATAGACACATTTAGGGGATCAACACACGCAGGGGCCTGTGGGGTTAGGAGAGGGAGAGCATCAGGAAGAATAGCTAATGGATGCGGGGCTTAATAATACCTAGGTGGTGGGTTGATCTGTGCAGCAAACCACCATGGCACACATTTACCTGTGTAACAAACCCACGCATCTTGCACATGTACCCTGGAACTTAAAATAAATAAATATATAGCTATCAAAGTTATATTTTGCTTCTTGCCAAAATCAGTTACCTTTATTTGCAGAATAGAATCCAACAACTGATTTTTGTTTAAGAAGGAATCGTAGCGTATGTCTGTTAAACACCATATAAGTAACTGACTCTGAACACCAGATGAGGCTGTAACAGGTCAGGTTTAAGCACAAGCATATAGATTCACGAAATGGCGTCAGACCCTGCCCTGGTTGCTTAGGATGCACAGGAGAATAAATTGCACTCTCTCCTTCAGTTTGCAGTCTGATGAGAGAGACAGCCAGATGTACAGTTTAATTCATGTTAGTATGGGAAGTACTGGGACTGTAATATTAATAACATGCCAACAAGGAAGGACCAGTTACAATAGCTTAGCCGGAGTGTCAAGGAAGGCTTTAGTGAGGAGGTTGCCTTTCATTTGATCTGGGCCTTGAATTTGTCAACTAAAGACAAGGGAGAAAGAGAATAGATGGAAAGCACAGAATGATAATGAGTTTGGGGCCTGATTTGTGCAAACATTCCTTATAAATTGCACTTCATGCTTGAGATGAAACAAGTTGAAAACCGTTTGAGCAGTGTTGACAGTAGAGTGCATTTTAAGGTGTGTGTCAGCTTCTCTCAGGGCCTGCAGACATTTCAGCAAGCACGCGTGTTTGGGGTCCTGCCAGTGCATCTGCCCCTGCCTCTCAGCCTGACCAGGGGAGAGCAGTTGCTGGTTGGCTGCCTTTGCTCCAGGCCTGGTTCTGTGACTTGCCCTTGCCCTAGGCCACCTCTCTTTTCAGTGATGTGATTTAATTCCCATGTATTTTGTTTTTTTTTTTTTTCAATTTGAACACCCTTATTCTCATCCCCTGAGGCCTTCGTTGAGTTTATTTCTAGGAAGAACAGTCCTGATGTAGGGAGACCTAAAGCCCAGGTCATTCTAATTCTCCTACACTCCCTGTGTTCTGTGGTGTGTCACAACATCAAGTGTTGATAAAATGTGCTGAGGATGCATGGAAACCCTGGACCATTGCAGTTCATATAAGGATTTCTTTTCTACGTTTAAACTGTGGTGTAGACAGTATGCCAGCTATTTTCAGGTTTTATTATTACTTTTTAAATTTATAGGTTAGCATAATTTAAAGTGTCAGGAAACAAACCTTTTAGATTTAATCTAGAAATTCTGGACCATCATTCTTTAAACAGCTCTGTTAACTTGTGAAGGTCAGGATGATAAAGATCTCACCCTATGGGAAAGCATACGTGGTACAAGTCTGTAGGTATGACCGCTTTGGAAATCAACTGTCAGTATCCTACTAGGTTGGACATTCAGGCACTCAGTTAACCAGCAGTTCTTCTCCTGGATGTGTAGGAGAAACACACACGCCAGGAAATGTGGCCAGGTGTGACCAGAGCCGCAGAAATCTGGAAACAGCCGGAGCACCCATCAGCAGGTGGAAATTATATTACAGTGTTGTTATACGACAAGGAGATGTGTCATACAGTAGTGAAAGTTAGAGGCCTGCAGTTATTTGCAATAGGCAGATGAGTCTAAGAAGTGTAATACTGAGCGAAGTCCAGAAGACTCCTATGGTAGAATTCTGTATTAACAAAATTCAAAAACAATCAGAATGAAACAGTGTTTCATTTGGCACACATATGTATAGTGAAACCTTTTTAGAGGCAGAATTACAAAACTCAGGGTTGTGGTTTTAATGGGTACTCCTTGTGGGAGAATGAGGGTGAGATGGGAGAGGTAGGTGCAGAAGATGGATGTTATCAGTCATGCTCTTGGACCTGGGTGTTGGCTTCATGGGTGTTCACTATGTAGTTATGCTTTTTTTTTCTTTCTTTCTTTTTTTTCGAGGCAGTGTCTCACTCTGCCGCCCAGGCTGGAGTGCAATGGCACGATCTTGGCTCACTGTAACCTTCGCCTCCCAGGTTCAAGCAATTTTCCTGCCTCAGCCTCACGAGTAGCTGGGATTACGGGTGCCCGCCACCGCACCTGGCTGATTTTTATATTTTCAGTAGCGACGGGGTTTCACCATGTTGGCCAGGCTGGTTTCAAACTCCTGCCCCCAGGTAATCCGCCTGTCTCGGCCTCCCAAAGTGCTGGGCTTCCGCACCCGGCCTGTGCTTTTCAACTCACACATGTGTGCACATATATGTTTGTGTGATCAGAATTACATTTAATTTCATAGATAGGACTGATTTCATTAATAGACAAATGAAAAAAAATCAGCAGCAGATTCAGGGTTTTTTAAAAAATGAATGTGTTATTTTCCTTTGGCTTCTGTAACAAAGTAACCCAAAGTTGGTGGCTTGCAAAAAACAAATTTATCCTGTCATAGTTCTGGGTCTGGAAATGCAAAACCAAGGCCCTGCTGTCTCTTGACAACTGTAGGGAAGGCTTCCCTGCCCCTCTCAGTTTCTGGAGCCACCAGCAGTCCTTGGCCTTCCTTGGCTCATGGCTGCACCACTCCAACCTCTGCCCTCCATGTTCACGTGGCCGTCTTCCTAGTGCATGTCCTCACCTCTTCTAAGGGTGGCAGTCTTTAGATTTAGGGTCTGCCCGACGCCAGGGTGTCTTCGTCTTAACTGACGCCATCTTCAGAAATCTTATTTCCAAATAAGGTCACATTCTGAGGTTCCAGATAGACATGAATTTTGGAGGACATTATTGAACTCACTGTAGTAGTCAAAAGCTGTGAAAATGCCTTTTCACAGGAAAAGAAATAGAAATGATTAATAGAGAAATAGAAATGATTAATATCAAAAATATGCTTAAGACTGGGTGCAGTGGCTCACACCTGTAATCCCAGCACTTTGGGAGGCCGAGGCAGGTGGATCATTTGAGGTCAGGAGTTCGAGACCAGCCTGGCCAACATGGTGAAACCCCTCCTCTACTAAAAATACAAAAAATTAGCTGGGCACGGTGATGTGTTGCCTGTAGTCCCAGCTCCTCCGGAGGCTGAGGCAGGAGAATTGCTTGAACCCAGGAGGCGGAGGTTGCTGTGAGCCAAGATTGCACCACTGCACTTCAACTTGGGCGACAGAGTGAGACTCCGTCTCAAAAAAAAAAAAAGAAAAAGCACATATATATGTGCTTAACCACACATTACTAAAGAATTGCAGGTCCCACTCACCCCATTTTTTTACCTATCAGATTGCCAAAGATTGTGCGATAGAATTGGTGAGGATGTGGAAACGTGCATCCCCTGATACTGGGAGTGGAGACTGGTGTGGGCTTGTTGAAAGTCGAACACAGAAAGTTACTGAGTGGCCTTCTCTTCCCTGGCCACAGTGCTGCCCTCCACTCCCTTCTTTCTCAGCCTCCCTGCCCTGAGCCCCATCCCTATTCTGCCGCAAAACCACTGTGGGTGCCTGCAGAGTTGGGCCTTAGAAACATGCCGAGGAAAGCAAGCTCCTGGGGGAGAGGAGCAACCACGTTCCGAGGACGAGCTTCCCTCGGGTGGGCCGCTGCCCTCCTCAGCCCTCAGACCCGCCAGTCAGACTCTGGCTCTCAGCAAATCCCTCCCCAGTTCCTTCAGCAGAACAGCAACATAACTGGAGGCCAAAAGAGGACCTGAAAAGATGGATGGGGGAGGATTGAGGCATCCTGTGGCCACTGGGAAACCGCTGCCACAGTCTTCTGCTCAGCAGGGACTGTTCAGCGTGGCTCCATCTCTGGCTCTTCCTCATCAGTCTCTCCCCAGGGGCCCTGCAGTTGATGTCCTTGTGGGGAGTCCTTGCCCTTGCTCTGCTCATGGACAGGCACCCAGCAGGTGCCCATGGGATAGGGCTTAATAGTCGCCATCATCCAGCCTTAGCAAAGGTGAAGTTTGTGCTATTAGGGAAGGCCTAACCCAAAACCTATCCCAATTTTCTATGGACTAAAGATAATGTAGATTAAGGTTCTAGGTTAGTAATGTAAATACTCAGTAGGTTATGCTGCTCTGACATACTTGGGAAGCATCATTTCCAGACTCCAAACTAAGAGGCCAAGGGAAACCCTCCGTCTCTCAACCAGCAGAGGCAGACACCAGCTGGGTCCCCAGCTCCACTGTCCACCTGTGCTGTGAGTGCTGTGTGAGTGGCCATGCCTGCCTGAGCATTGCACGATAGGGGCTGTGTGAACCAGGAGCAGCTCTGGCACAGAGGAGGCGTGCTAAGGGGAAACCCTTGTGGCGAGGCCCCCACCAGCAGACTGTTCTGAGGCAAGCCGCCCTCACTGGTCAGATCTGACCAGATCTTTGGAGATACCTGTGGCATCCTGAGACACTCACACTCCGTGACAATAATGACTCAGCCATACGTAATGTGAGTGCCATAACTTAGAGGACAGCGATGGTGAGCAGAGCCATTCCTGGGGGCCCCATGGGGATCTCAGCGGGACTGAAGGAAGACAGGTTGTGTGTTTAAAGTTGATAGTACTTTCTCTCTCTGTAGAAACACGAAGACACCGACTGTCCCTGCGTGGTGGTGTCCTGCCCTCACAAGTGCAGCGTCCAGACTCTCCTGAGGAGCGAGGTAGGGGCGGCCGGGCCCGGCCGGGAGTCTGTGGAGTCCTCAGGGCTGCGTGCCTGGCTCCCCTTCCCTGCATAGCCGAAGCCTCACGTTTTCCCAGTTCGTGAGAGTCATGTGTATGGCAGACAAACAAAAACCACAGCAAAAAGCCTTATGCCATTTTTTGGAAGTCAGAAGCAAGCATTAGGGTTAAAAGCTACAGTGTATGGCCGGGCACAGTGGCTCACACCTGTAATCCCAGCACTTTTGGAGGCCTAGGCAGATGGATCACCTGAGGTCAGGAGTTCAGAACCAGACTGGCCAATGTGCTGAAACCCCGTCTCTACTAAAAGTACAAAAACTAGCCAGGTGTGGTGGCGCGCACCTGTAATCCCAGCTATTCAGGAGGCCGAGGCAGGAGAATCATTTGAACCGGGGAGGCGGAGGTTGAACAGAGCCGAGATCACACCACTGCACTCCAGCCTGGGCAACAAGAGTTAAACTCCGTCTCAAAAACAAAACAAAACAAAACTACACTGTGGTAAATTCAGAGCAAAGATTGTGAAGCATTAAGAAAATGGGAATATTTTACATACAGTACAAGCAAAGGTGACGAGGGGTTTTTAAAGCAATTTTAACTCTATAGAATAGTAATTGCTGTAAGATTATCTCAAGAACATGAATTAACTTAGAGACACTTCAGAACCATTTTGCTCACACATGCCGGGTGGAGGACAGCTCCCACATTTTAGGGCTGCCAGAAGGGCCCCTGTGTGGCCTCTCCCAAAGGTTGCACGTCTCACATTGCGCTTGGCACTCTTTCTTTGAGACAGGTAGATTTTGCATTGACTTCACTTGATCAGGATATGTCCAGTTGGGAAAATTTCAAGGATTCTTAATGTTTCTGCATCTGTCCTGACGGGGAGCTCCTTTAGTTAGTATTCTGGGAGTCATCTGGGGCTACCCTGGGCTCCCTGGATGTGTGGTACGCTGATCTAAGGAGCCGGCTCACCTTTTCACCTCAGCATTTTTCAACAGCCTGAAATTTTACCACTGGATACTGGGTAACAGGGAGAACCAGCCTCGCATGCCCCTGACTGAGCAAGAGGGCCCATGTGGGGCTAGGGCCAGGGACTCAGGGTAGAGGAGGGCCCAGAGAGCCACTCTCCCCCAGGGTGTGCCCTCCCAGCACCTTGAAGCTGATGGGTGAGGGCAAAGTCTTGCCTGATGACAGTGGCCTCTGGGCCCTGAATCTGCCCCTGGGAGGAGCTAGGGAAAAATAAATGTAAATTATTGCCACAACTGGACAATCCTCTGTTAATGTATAAAGAGTCTGTGCTGTTGAAATAATTTCTTTTTTTTTTTTTGAGACGGAGTCTCGCTCTGTCACTCAGGCTGGAGTGCAGTGGCGTGATCTCGGCTCAGTGCATGCTCTGCCTCCTGGGTTCACACCATTCTCCTGCCTCAGCCTCCCGAGTAGCTGGGACTACAGGCGCCTGCCACCACGCCCGGCTAATTTCTTGTATTTTTTAGTAGAGACGGGGTTTCACCTTGTTAGCCAGCATGGTCTCCGTCTCCTGACCTCGTGATTTGCCCGCCTCGGCCTCCTAAGGTGCTAGGATTACAGGTGTGAGCCACCGCGCCCGGCCAATAATTTCTTATTTAAAACATTGTTAAACCTGCATTTCTGTTGGGTTTCTGATGAAAGGTGCTTTTGAGCTATAGATTATTCTTGCCCCTATTCCAGAGATCCTGTAGATTCCCCGAGACTCAGAATACTGATAATAAAACCAATTTAGAAAAAGACCCAACACCGAATTTACTCTAGTACACTGAAAATAACATACATCAAACCCAGTGTGTCAGTGTGTCCCTGGCTTAACATGTAATAGCGTTGACACTCAGGTTTGTTATTGCAGTAATGACACTGGAAGAATACATTCCAAGTTTTTAAATGAACCTGGTTCTGCGCAGTCTTCACACTGCGTTTCCTTGCCAGTCACCTGTCACGTGCCTTGTGGGCGCTTCCTGCAGGGGCAGCCGGTCTGGGTTCTGAGGAGCAGCAAGGGCGTCAGGCTGCCAGGTTCCTACCACCTTGACTCTGCCCTGGCTCTGAGACCTTCCTTGAAGGTTGACCCTAGCAGTGGCCGCATGGGCCCCTCAGTCCCTTCCCGCAGTGTCCCTCCTCCTTAGTTTCGCAGCAGGGATCCATTTTCCCCTCTGTTGTAAATATCCACCTAGAGGGAAGGACCGCCTTTGTCCTGGTAGACTGAGAAGTTGTAGAACTTAGCTGCGCCCTCCAGGAGGATGTGCTCTATGAGCCTTGGGAACACATGCATGCTGGCACACAGAAGAACACATTCCCGGCTGCTGCACCCACACACCCATCCTCCCAAAAAGAGTCTGTTTTCTGTGAAGAAGATCTATCCCTAGAGTTTCCTGATGGGAATTTCTTCAATAAAAGACAAAACTTCTGCTCAGTCTTGGGGCATGATAAAGAAAAAGACCAAACTATACCTCATTTGTATTAGCCTAACACATGACTCTAAGTCCTTAAAATGTAATCCTTTCCATTCCCTTTTCTCTTGTTAGGGCATCATAAGTAATTTTTATTTGATAACTCACCAGCATTTGAGCTGAGCAAGGGACTTTTTTCTTGCAAAACGAGTTACCTGCTCCCAGCCCCACCTAATTTTCCTGCCATCAATTAGAGTTGACAGTAGTAAGAGTGTATGGTTAGACTGATCTTAGAGGTCTTTGAAAAGCTACCTGAGTTTCTGGCCCTTACAGAGGGAAAAAGTCTTTTCAGATGAAGGAAAAACTCATCTGCACTTATCTCAAGTATTATGAGTAATGGTACATTGTGTAAGCTTGCTTTGAAAATATATTTATTTTTGTGTACCGTATATTAGGTGTGTGACCCAGTTGCATTCTGAATGCTTTCTATTTTTTTGTGTTTTCATGCAATTTTTGTTTATGGTCTTTAAATGTGCATTTCAGTTTATGTTTTTTCTTTCTTTTTTAAATTCTGGCACTACAGATGGCATGTCACATTGAACAATTTGTTCTAAAGAAACTGGAAGTTTAAGAAATGTTATAGTAAATGTATTCTTGTATATTGGCGTATATGTGTATACACGTGACTAGACCGTATATTTACTGCATAGAAGTCTAGGCAGCAGATGATATATACACACCTGTAGCGATAAACACCATTCTTAATAGTACAGCTCAGATGCTATCTGTGCCCTAATATGTTTGAACATTTTCATGCAAACGTTTGTGCCACAACTCACGTCTCTTTCCCGTTGCAGTTGAGTGCACACTTGTCAGAGTGTGTCAATGCCCCCAGCACCTGTAGTTTTAAGCGCTATGGCTGCGTTTTTCAGGTCAGTATCCGACATTTGTCCTTCCCAGTCACTGACATTCTGCCATGAGAGAAAGTTATTATATTAACATTTTAACATGCAAGCTCTGGACTCCTTATTCTTTGTCATGAAACTGAAACACCCTGTTGCATGGGTGACGAAAGCCACATGCAGCAGGTGGGATGCTCGCTTTCCAGTTGGTGGTGCTTTGAGACTTCAGGGAGACACTGTGCTGAGGTGGAAGTTAATACATTAAGAGAAGTACTACATCCAAAACCAGCTAGTAATGCAACAGGTAGACTTGACATTTGGTGGGGTTTTCAGATAGATTGTTACGGAAATTTTAGCAGTTACCTGAATATAAGCGAATATCAAACTGAGCATAGTTTCAACAGCGTGTGTGTCAGTACACAGCCATAACGATCACACACGTGTGTATCCATAAATGCATTTGATGTACATGTCTGTGCTGACTCTGACCCCAACGGGGGACAGACGCAAAATGGAGCACAGCTCATAGAGAGCACACCTCCCCGAGAACAGTGTGGGGAGGGCATCTCTGTTGCTGCCGCACATGTAGTGTGAGAAATCTGCATCTGGTGTTTTGTTGTTGTTTATTTTTTAACACATCTGAGATTGCTAGTGAATTGGAACTGAGTTTTCATTTAAATATATGTATCTTAAAACTATCAAGAGGCAGTATATGTTACAATTAAAGTATTTTATATTTTATGTAGCACCAATACATTATTATGAAGTCAGTACAGAGAGATTGGCATCTTAGTATTTTCTGAGGAAGAGAACAGCCAAAGAGTAAGAATGACTGTGCCTTCCTTTGCTTTAGTCTCTAACAAGACTGAGCCTCCCCTGTTCTGTCGTACGTAGTATCATTCATTCTCTCTGTGTATGTGTATATATATGTTTATATATTGCAACACTTATATCAACATATATATATGAATATTCTATGTACAGAGTATATGTTTTGGAGATCATTAAAATGCTTTCTGTGGCTTCTTAATTTTCTAATAGCAAAACAAATTATATTTCAGACAAATTATTTTCTTAAATATATGAAGTACAATTTCATGTGCTTATTCCTGACTCTAAAATGGTCTACATCTTATGTACTCTGTAGATTGTATTTGTTTTGTATGTAACTTTTCTAAGAATACTGGAATGGTGAAGAGCAATACATCTTTGGATACAGTGTATTTGAACTAATACATTAATACTTTAGTAAATTCTTTTGAATCCTGCTTTGCTTACGTGTTTACTAGACTGTTGTGGCAGTATCTCGCTACAACTACAGGTATCTAAACATTTTCCACTTATGCTATATTTTAATGGGAAAAATAGCTTATAATAGGTCAAGAATGAGTTTAAAATTTAATTTCTTGATATTACAAGTGTCAACCCTTGATAAGAAGCCACTTGAGATGAGCTGAAGGGATGCGGAGATAACCCTGAGATGCTCACTGTGGCACTGCAGGGTGCTGGCTCTGCTGCTCCTGGCGGCCTCCTCACCTGCACGCAGTAGCCAGGTGGCCCTGAGCACAGCCCTCCTTAGGCGCAGAGATTCCCTGTTCACTTGACGCAAATAGGTCTCCCCTCTTTGTGTTTAGTGCTGCTTTTAGGGTCGTATGTTAGCCGTTCTGCCCTTTGAAATGCAGCGAGGTTCGCTGAATGCCTCACATGTTTGCTCTCGCAGGGGACAAACCAGCAGATCAAGGCCCACGAGGCCAGCTCCGCCGTGCAGCACGTCAACCTGCTGAAGGAGTGGAGCAACTCGCTCGAAAAGAAGGTGGGCTGCACACTTTCCTGCTGCTATGGGATTTGTATCATCTCTTCAGATTATTTAAAGACAAAACCTTTTTGTAGTTATTAATGGGTTTTGGATAAAAGAAACTATCAAGAGAATGTCAAAAAAAACTCTGTGTGATCTTGAGCTTATAAATGAAGGTGTTTTATTTTTGTTATTTGTTTTTTAATTGCCAAGCAAGTGTGAAGTGCTTTTTTAAAGTCAATCACATTGTGATTATTTTAGCATCCATCCAGCACAGAGATGATCAGATGCCCAGTCCCCACCCTGCTGTTTTTTTTTTGTAAACAAAGTTTTATTGGAAGACAGCCATCCTTACTCACTCTGTGTTGTCTGTGGCTTCTTTTGCTCGAAAGCAGCAGAGTTAAGAGACATGTGGACTGTACCGCTTGAGATACTGACTACTTGGCTCTTTACAGAATAAGTTTGCCAGCCCGGACCTGGGTGGTTACCCCTCTAAATGCGTTAAACTTCTGTGTTTTTTACAAGAGACAAACAGGAAAAAATATTTGATATGATTACAATTGATTTTGTCATTTGACACCTTGTGAAACTTGGTGCGCTCTCCACATAGACAGGGCCACTTCCCAAAGAGACTCTCCCATGCTGTTCTTTTTTTTTTTTTTTTTTTTTCCCCAAGACGGAGTTTTGCTCTTGTAGCCCAGGCTGGAATGCAGTGGTGCGATCTTGGCTCACTGCAACACCTCTGCCTCCCTGGTTCAAGCAATTCTCCTGCCTCAGCCTCCCGAGTAGCTGGTATTACAGGTGCGCACCACCACACCCAGCTAATTTTTGTATTTTTAGTAGAGATGGGGTTTCTCCATGTTGGTCAGGCTGGTCTCAAACTCCCGACCTCAGGTGATCTGCCCACCTCGGCCTCCCAAAGTGCTGGGATGACAGGCGTGAGCCACCACGCCCAGCCTCCATGCTGTTCTTAAGAGGCCTTCATTGCAGGCCTATAGGCGCAGGAGCAAGCACCTTCCTCCAGTAATGCTGGTTCTCAGTGGAGTTTGTTCTGTGATGTTCAGCTCAGTGGGGCCTTCTTTTCATGAGAAGATGAAAACCTCTAAGAATGGATAGAGAAGAAGTTGTTATAGGATCTACCATTGTGGCTTAATTACAAAAATATAAACTTAATTCAATATTCAACAAACGTCTATTGAGAACTTGTAGTAGGAGGATACTATGGTGAATTAGAACAGCCAGTGGAGTTGACATTTGAGTTTCGTAAAGATTTGAATGTCTTGTTTCCAGTGTTAAATCCCAGCAATTTAAAATGTAAATATACTGCAAGGAGTCTAAAATTTTAAATAGAAAGATTTCCCTTTAATCTGCCATAAGAGAGTGTTTCATGTAAATGCGTGAGCTGAGCTTGAGAAGCAGCAGGAGGATCGGCATCCTGTGCACACACACGGAGCAGAACAGCGCTGATGAGCAGCAGTGCCGGACTCATATTCGCAGAATCCTAGCCATCTTCCCGTGAGCATAGAGCATCTGCTCTGAGTTCAACAATGGTTTACCTAGGAATCTTTTTTTTCCCTCTTTTTGAAGCTGGCATTTTATTTCTGTCTTTTTAAAATTATAGGCATAGATCACAGGCTTTTTATCTTTCATAGATGCTGTGTTTCTCATTTAGAAGGTTCTTCCTTTCATTTTAAGGATAGGCTTTGTGGCCGGGCATGGTGGCTCATGCCTGTAATCCCAGCACTTTGGGAGGCCGAGGCTGAGGCTGAGGTCGGGAGTTCAAGACCAAGCTGGCCAACATGGTGAAACCCCGTCTCTACCAAAAAAAAAAAATACAAAAATTACGCCAGCATAGTGGCAGGCGCCTATAGTCCCAGCTACTTGGGAGGCTGAGGCAGGAGAGTTGCTTGAACCCGAGAGGTGGAGTTTGCAGTGAGCCAAGATCGCGCCACTGCACTCCAGCCTGGGCGACAGAATGAGACTGTCTCAAAAAAAAAAAAAAAAAGGAATGGGCTTTGTTACTGCTGTGTTAGATACACAGTAGTTGAACAGGTCTGCAGCACATGGTTATCCAGCAGGATGGTTGTGGACCGTGGTGTCATCTGGCAGCCTTTCGGGGCCTAATCCCTGTGGGGATTTGGCTCCTTCCTTCCTGTTCTGTGCTCTTTTCCCCACTGAAAGTGAATGGTTTGCATCATTGGAAACCCCAGGACATACCAGAGCAGCCTGCCCACACACAGTGCAGCAGTTTCTCACTCTGTCAATGCCTCATGTGTTTAAACTATCTCCAGCCAAGTCACGATGGAAGCCCCGAGAGTGCAGGATGCATAACTGTGCACTTCCCTCTTGGACGTTGCCAAAGGACTGATCTCTCCCGGACTCTGTCCATCAGAGCAGAGTCCTCGCCCTGTTGTCAGGCCAGCCAGCTCGGCTCTGCACGTTCTCATTGTGCTCACGAGAAGGTGTATGGTGCCCTTTGCTAGGTCCAAAAGCAAAGGCTGGACAAACAGCAGAGATATTTATGTTTACTTAAAATGGGAATTTATTTCTTATTATAGAATTATTTAGTTGGAATTTCTTAGGTTATTTTGTTCATCTGTCTTAGAAAATAGAATGTTTGAGCGGGTTCACAAAGACTGATCCTCAGCTGGGCGCGGTGGCTCATGCCTGTAATCCTAGCACTTTGGGAGGCCGAGGCGGGCAGATTGCCTGAGCTCGGGAGTTCGAGACCAGCCTGGGCAACACGGTGAAACCCCGTCTCTACTAAAATACAAAAAATTAGCTAGGAGTGGTGGTGTGCGCCTGTGATCCCAGCTACTCGGGAGGCTGAGGCAAGAGAATGGCGTGAACCCGGGAGGCAGAGGTTGCAGTGAGCCAAGATCATGCCACTGCATTCCAGCCTGGGTGACAGAGTGAGACTCGTCTCCAAAAAAAAAGACTGATCCTCACATTCATAGTCAAACTAAAGAAAAACTGCAAAATCTGGACTTAAAAACACCCATTTTATATTTTAAGAGAGCTTAAATGGAGGGGAAATGTAAAGCCCACCAAAGTGGGCTGGAGTAAAGGATGTTCTCATTGCAGAGAACCTCGGACCTCCTGGGCCGGTGTTTTGCCGGCTCCTTGGAACACACCTGCCAGGTGGACTTTCCTGTGCCTATGGCATCTCCCTGCTAGAAGAGTGGAAGCAGTGATCTGCAGGACCTGGGAGTTGGATTCTTCGATTAAATAAATAAATAAGTAGTTTAAATAAGGGAAGTCCTAAAGTGAAAGAAGTTGAGTTTAGTGTGGCATGATGTGTGTTCATTGCTGTAAGCTGCTTCTGCTCATACTCAACTGCTTGATTTGTTGGAGAGCAGTGGCGCAATTATGGCTCACTGCAGCCTCGACCTCCTGGGCTCAAGTGATCCCATCCAGCCTCCCCAGTAGCTGGGACTGTAGGCGTTTGCACCACACCTGGCTAATTTTTGTGTTTTTTTGTAGAGATGGAGTTTCGCCATGTTGTTATCCAGGCTGGTCTTCAATTCCTTGGGCTCAAGTGGTCCGTCTGCCTCAGCCTTCCAAAGTGCTGAGACTACACGTATGAGCCATCACAGCTGGCCTATTGACAATGTTTTGGAGACATTACTGAGATTTTTTCAAAAGAGTTGGCATACATGTCATCTTTTTGCAGGGATATGAGAATAAAGAGTCTGAGAATTCTGTCCCGTCTTTGACAGATGGAAATGAATGAATTGTTACTTTCAGAGGGACACAACTACCACGCGATGCTGCATATGGCCCGCTCCACATTCGTGCAGGTTGATCACTTGTAGGAGTTCATGGACGTATGAGGCAAGGAAGGAAGGAAAGCCTTTGCGGAGTAAAATCCTAGGAAAGTGAAGTTATATTTTGCCCATGAGACATTGCAAGTTTTGTATTCCTTAGTAAATACATACTTGTTTTAAAATAAGACGGTGATTGCTTCAAAAGATGTCTCTTGACTTGGCCAACTGTGCCGAATATGAAAAGGACACCCATCTTTAGGCTGGCTACCCTTTAGATGGACAGCATCGGGAGTCAGCTCTTTATCACATCTGGTTTTGTGCCGAGATGCCCTCGGGCCATCACCTTTGTGACCATTGGTCCCCACGCATTGGTGGTTTTAGAGCGTACATCGTTGGAGAGGCACACATCGGATCTGGCACAGAGCTTAGGGTCTTCTGGGGTGGAGACCACCACCCCAATGGATAGACAGAGACACTCGTTAATAGATGGGGGATCAAGATGCCCTTTGTAAAAATCTTGTGAGAAAGAAACCCTCGTTGGAGTTACCCTTGAACTTTTCATCTTTGAGACCAGGTGTTAATTTGTCTTTGGGAGCTAATTATCTTTCAGAAAGATTTTGGAAAGGTCAAATGTGGGGTTGGAAATGCTCACTCAGCAAGCCCTCCCTTTGGCTGATGTGGGTTGCAGGGGCTCTTCTGCGCTTCCGTGGAAGGGTATCCTCAGGCATCAGCTCTGCCTCTCCGTGTTGAGGGTGAGCAGGCTGGCCCCAAGGGTGTAGCACCCATGTAATTTTTTGTATTCTCGTCACGCTCTCATTATGTTGGCAGAGCTGTTCAAACTGCAGGGTGTGGCCCCTGGGTGGATGTGAAATAATTTAGTAGGTTGTGACCAGCATTGTTTATATTTATGGGGTACAGTGTAATGTTTTGGTATATACACACACACATTGCGGAATAATTAAATCGAGCTAATTAACATATCCATCACATCACTTTGTTTAAAATCTGCTCCCCCAGCAGTCTTGAAACACACGTTAGTATGAATCACAGTCACCATGCTGTTCAGTGGGCTCAAAAACGTCCGCCCCTCTGTCTAACTGAGGCTCTGTGCCCTTTGCCCAGCAGCTCCACAAGCCTACCCCCACTACCCACCTCCACCAGCCCGGGTAACCACCATTCCCTGCTTCTGTGAGCTTGACTTTTTTAGATCCCACGTCTAAATGAGAGTGCATCGTGTTTGCCTTTCTGTGCCTGGCTTATTTCAGTTAGCATAACATCCTCCAGGGACTAGTATTTTCTTAAATGAAATGGAATAAAAAAAATCAGGGTGCATTGTAAATTATTAGGGCAAGTACAGCTTTATGACATCTGTTTTCAGGGATACACACACACGTTGGTATAAGTGGGGTGATACATAAGCATCTGTTTCTTACTATGTTACCTGGTCAACAATTGAAAAATACTCTGATAAAAGATTTGCTAGTTTTTAGCAAAAACTTGAAAAAGCATCTGATTTATTCTGAAATTCAATCAGCCGCTGCACTTTGCCTCACCCTAATTACTGGAAGAGATTCTGAGAAACACTGTTTATAGCATTCCCTATTAAATTAGGACTGGCTGGGTATGGTGACTCACACCTCTAATCCCAACTCTTTGAGAGGCTGAGGTAGTAGGATCACTTTAGGCCAGGAGTTTGAGACCAGCCTGGGCAACATAGCAAGACCCTATCTCTAAAAAAATTATTTTTTTAAAGCCTAACCAGACATGGTGGTGGCATGTACCTGTAGGCCTAGCTTACTCAAGAGGCTGAAGTGGGAGGATCACTTGAGCCCAGGAGGTCAAGGCTGCAGTGAGCTATGATTGCACCACTGCACTCCAGCCTGGGGACAGAGCAAGACCCTGTCTCTAGAGGGGAAAAAAAAGAAAGAAAGAAAAGTACCAGGACTGTCATTTTCTGTGTGAAGGGATTTTTTTCTTCTGAAACTCTGTCAATAAGCTAACAGAAGGCCTATATTGTGAAAATTTAATTGATATTGTTGTTAATTAATATGAAAACCACTTTTGGTTACATTAATTAAAGAATTTCTTTTTTAGGTTTCCTTGTTGCAGAATGAAAGTGTAGAAAAAAACAAGAGCATACAAAGTTTGCACAATCAGATATGTAGCTTTGAAATTGAAATTGAGAGACAAAAGGAAATGCTTCGAAATAATGAATCCAAAATCCTTCATTTACAGGTAAGAATCTTAGGACTACGGCCAGATCAAAGGGTGGAGGAGCTTGCCTGTGTTCCCCTTAAGGGTTTCTTAGCAAACTCTTTGAGCTGAGTCCTTGACCTTTGCAAGCAGAAAGGCAACTGATTTCTCTGGCCTAAGTGAAGGCTTAGAAAAGGCAGCTGGACTAGCACAGGCCCGGCCTGGGAAGCCGCAGGTCAGCGTTTTCAAACTGCCTTTTCTCTGGAGAGCAAGCCTCCACCCCTCTTCCATGCCTTTGATCTACCGTTGGAGAAATAAGATGCGAAGCTTGTATTTGTTAAATTAGCTGTTTTTATTATTTAAGATTTCATATTGTTCATGAGTAGTTGCTGTGTGCAAAGTCTCACTTCCTGCAGTGAGGTGCTGTGCAGCCCAGCTACTCTGTGTGAGCTTTCCAGTGACACGCGCTCACCCGCTGGGTTTCACTGTGGAAATCCACACGCACCTCCAGAAGAACAAACCAGTGAACCTTTGCTCCCCTGAATAGAGGCGATGATGTAAAGGGGACTGATGAAATGTCGCTTCTCCTGTCTTCTGTCGTCACAGGTGTCTGTGGGGTGCTTGTTAATAGATGATCATTGTAGATGCTCTCTGCACATTCACTTACTCGTGTGCATTTGTGATAGCACTTCCCATGGGTGTGTCACACACCGTGGAAGAATCACTCATGTCACTGAAGGGCCTGAACTTAGACGGTGTGTCCCTAGATTATCTGGAAGAGAAACTACTTCTAATAGCACAGAGTCATGGCATCTTTGAGAATGCCTTTTCTCCAATTTTTGACATTGGAGATGAGTCATAGTGACTTGAATTGCGTAGGGATTTATTAAATTAATTTCATTTTTATTATATTTTGTAGTTATCCAGAGAGAGAAGGAGAAAACACAATGAAACATTAGATTGTATTAGAAAAGGCACAAGTCATTAGCATTAAATCAAGCCAAATAAAGTACAATGTTTCTTAAAACACCAAGCCTCCCGCTGGAAGCCCCTAGCATTTTGCTGAGGGCCCAGTGATGTGTCAGTCATCAGACTGGCCAAGGCGACTGGTCAGGCCACTGCTGCGGGGCCCTGGCCATCCTGTGGCCCGCCTGCACCTGCGCTCCCTGGCAAGCAGCTCTGGCTGTTCATGAGATTATTGCTGTGTTTTGACCTGGGGCTCAGAGAGGCACTGGAAAGGCCGGGGAAATCACCTCTTAAAATAGCCACAACAGAAGGAAGAATGCACAAGTACTGGATTCATTTACAACAAAAAGTTAGAATATACACAGTGATGTACCAACGCCCCATCCCAAACCTCACATTTCCTCTGCATTCATCTTCAGTTTCTCCCCTTCCAGTCAGGTGTTGTCATTTACTTTCCTTTTTAGTCGAGTTTAATCACTCTATGGTATGTGATTTCTACTTGAAAACTTTTGTGATTGGATGAACCAATGAAGCATAAGTCAGAAAGAAAGGGGGAAGCCAAGTTGCCAAGGGCAGAGAAGTGAGGATGGAGTGGTGACGGCAGCGGTCAGTGTCCCTTGACCTGTGACGAGTAGAAGGTGATGGCGCACCTGCCTCTTCCCCACAGGAGGCTGGGCGTGGCGGAGAGCAGGTTGTGTTTAGGGAAGGGACTCAGAGCAGGCTGCCCGCGCCTGATTCCCCTGAGTGCAGGGACACGGCTCTGCCTGAAACATGTGAAAACTCTTCTCCATGTGACCTGTTGAGCAGGCGTGGTCTACACAGAAGGTCCTTCCAACCGTGTGGTTTTTTGAAAGGGGAAATTCAGTGTTACCTTTGGGACCACTGTGGGGTTGGTGGTCTTTGGCCAGGAGGATTCTGCACTGTCCATCCTCAGGAAATGCTGATTGAAAGCCTTCTGATGCCCAGAGGTGCTGGCTGTGTGGGAGCTGCACGGGGCCAGGCCATCCCTCTGCTGCTGCAGGCCCCGCCTACCCTCTTGAGCAGCAGCCCAGCTCAGCCGTGTTCCCCACTGTTTCATCCTCAGAGCCCTTCCTGTTGCCCCAGGAAGGGTTTATCGTAAAATCTTACTGTGGCCCAGAAAACCTCTGTGCCTGGCCACCGGTCACCTTCCCAGCTTCGCCCCACTCCCTGCGCTAAAGTGGACCCGCTCATTGTTCCTTGACAAGCTCCATGCTGCTGCACAGATGTCTTTTTCTCCTGCTTCCCTTCCTGGCCAGCTCCAGGCACTCCTCCAGCCATGTTTGTGGACCAGCTAGGTGATGAGGGCACACGTCACTTGGGGTCTTCTTCTTTCTTCCTTGTCTGATTCTCCAGTAGACCCTAAAGCCCTGGTGATGGCGGGAGTCGAAGCACAGAGGGCCCGATGGCCTGGCTGTGGCAGTGGGGGTGCAGGCAGGGGGTCAAGGAGTGGAATTCAAGAGTGTCTTTGCTTTTTTGCCTGTCCGGGGAACGATGAGTTCTTAATATTTTACTTCTTAAATATCCTGTTTTTCTTTATTAAGAAGACAGCCAGGCCGGATGCAGTGGCTCACATCTGTAATCCCAGCACTTTGGGAGGCCGAGGCGGGCGGATCATGAGGTCAGGAGATCGAGACCATCCTGGCTAACACGGTGAAACCCCGTCTCTACTAAAAATACAAAAAATTAGCCAGGTGCGGTGGTGGGCGCCTGTAGTCCCAGCTACTCGGGAGGCTGAGGCAGGAGAATGGTGTGAACCCGGGAGGCGGAACTTGCAGTGAGCCGAGATAGCGCCGCTGCAGTCAGGCGTGGGAGAAAGAGCAAGACTCCGTCTCGGAAAAAAAAAAAAAAAAAAAAAAAGACAGCCTAGGCCGGTAGGCCGGACACGGTGGCTCACACCCATATTCCCAGCACTTTGGAAGGCCGAGGCGGGTGGATCACGAGGTCAGGAGTTCAAGACCAGCCTGGCCAAGATGGCGAAACCCCGTCTCTACTAAAAATAGAAAAATTAGCTGGGCGCAGTGGCAGGCATCTGTAATCCCAGCTACTCGGGAGGCTGAGGCAGAAGAATCACTTGAACCCAGGCGGCAGAGGTTGCAGTGAGCAAAGATTGCGCCATTGCACTCGAGACTGGGTGACAGAGCAAGACTGTCTCAAAGAAAAAAAAGAAGATAGCATAGGTGCGAGCATGACCCAGGCTTCTGGTGTCAGTGGACTAGATGAACTGGTGGTTCTTACAGTCAGGGGGTCCACAGGGCACACGTAGAGGAGCACGCACTGGGACAGAAGGCAGGGACGTCCATCCACGCGGCCTTCACTCAGGCTGCCGGCACCACCGGGCTTCTCACAGCGCCGGGCTTGTGTGCCAGGGTCGCAGTGGCCTGAGAGTGAGGCATCACAGCAGGTGACACGGTTGCAGCCCTGGCATGCAAGTGTATAAGGCTCACGGGCTGATGCTCCCTGAAGGCAAACCTTCTGATTTGGATTGTTGATGTGGAGTGCAGTCTGTCTCTTCAGCTCTGTGTCGGAGTCTTTTTTCTGTACAATTCCATACCTGCACTTGAGATTTATTTTTTATAGAAACTGCAGTGACTGAGTGTAGACCGTTCTTCAAGGATGAAATCACGTTTGCTGCGTTTTAGAGAACACTTGATGTGACTCTGCGTTCTGCTTTGAAATGGTGCCATTGATACAGATGAAGTGCCTGTTTTAAAAATAGCCCGAGTTCCCTTGCTGCTCATGGAGACGCCTTTTATTTAGTCGTGCTGGTCTGTGCATGCGGTGCACGCATGTTGTGTGTTCCTGACTCGGGGGCCCCTGCTGTGTGGGGGAGTCCTTGCTGGAGACTCCCCGTTCTGTGCTTGAGGTCAGGCGTGCCCTTGCGTAGCACAATCGCGGGGAGGGGTGGCTCGGTGCCATCCCCCTCTTAACCTCGGGGGCCTGAGGCTCAGCGTGAGGCGCAGCTTGTCTTGGGCCACCCTGCCTGGGACTCATGCTTCATTTCGGGGTTTGCTAAGTTACAAAGGGCGTCTCTCAGACCTCTGTTGATCAGGTTTTCATTAACTTTCCCCTGCCACTCGCGAGCACCCCTGCCAGCTCAGTGTGCGTGTTAGAAGGTGGAGATGCGAGAGGCTTCCGGTGCTCACTAGAGGAGCCGTGTATTTGGATGTTCAGTGTCGTCAGTGGTATTGTCCCCCAGCAAATAGACTTGGTGAGCTAATTAAATATCCTTCTGAACATGTATGATTGTGTAAAATAAAGGGACAGTGACAGTGTCAGTTTAAAGGGACAGTGACAGTGGAAAGAGGTGTTCTTTAGAGAAATTATCCTTACTTTTTAGAGGTTAACTAATATCATGTTTCTTGGAAAGAACAGGAAGAATAACACTGCTTTTACGCCCAAAAAGCCACCCAGACCTGTCATGTTTGTGTCTTTGTGGTTAATAACAGCCAGCAAAGGTGCTGAAACCTAGATGTTTAAAAATAGACTTCCAAAAGGAGAAGTGAATTCAGGGGGCCCTGGGGCCCGCCCCTCGAGCACCCGGTGTGGCCCTCAGCTTGTGAGGTGGCTCAGTCATTCCACAGCTGCATTGAGCACTGAACTCTCCAGCCATCACAAGCTGCTTGAAAATGCACATCATTTTTTGAAGTGAAAACCCTTTAAGTCCCTGGCTTCATCTCACAGGTGGACACTCCAGCCCCTTAACACAGACTGGGCCACCAGGGCGGAGTACAGCTCCCACCCCTCCAGGTAGTGACAAATATGAGCAGCCTGTGTGTTTTGGGAAAGGGCTTTCTGAATTAGTTAAATGAAGTAGCATAAAGTCAGGCCTGGTTACTGGCAGCCTCGTGTGTTCGTGGCAGGGTTTCTGCGTTCCTGCCTCCCTCGCTGGGGCCTGGCAGCCTGAGTGTGGAGCTGGAGGGGGAAGACCCCTGCGTCTGCAGCATCGGCCCACTGGGTTTCACCTAGGGCCTGAGGACATGCCTTGGGGCCCTTTCCTGCCACCATCCAGGTGGGAGGGGTCTGAGGAGTGGGAGTCTTCTCCTGGGACCCTGGGGTCGTTCTGGGGAACCCCCTGCAGCCACAGAGACAGGACTGTGCTTCTGCCCCAGACCCAGCAGCAGGGTAGGAGGCCTTTAGACGTTCCAAGGGAAGATGAGGCCACATGGGCATGATTCTGGCATCCTAAACCTGAGACCCTGTGGCAGCCATGCAGGGCCACCTGTCCCGTGGGACCTGCACTTACAGGGGTGAGGCCTCTCTGGGAAGCAGGGACCCTCTGTATTATGGCCCCCGAGGTATACGAGGGCTGCAGAGGAGATGTCCATGGGAGCCTTGTGGCCCCGCACAGGTGCTGTGGCCTGGGAGAAGAGCTGGGAGGGACACATGGGAGTGTGAGGGTGAGGTCGGATCCTGGTATCTGAACAGGAGAGCTGGTGGGGTTGGCTGATGCCAGGGTGTGGGTGTGTGAGAAACAGGCGGGCAGGCGGCACCAGTGCCACTGTGAAACAGGGAAGCCTGCTGTGGGCAGCAGAAGCATGAGCTGCTGCCTGCCCCAGAGACAGTGGAGACCTCTCCCCTGGTCTTCTGAACACTTGCCACCTGTCACTTTGCTTTCCTGATGGCTCTCTGTTGACAAAGCAAGCTGACTTAGTGGAGCCTCCTGTTGTTTTCTTCCATGTGGCTTCATGTCACCTCGAGTGCTCCCTGCCGGCACAAGCACTTGATCCCAGGGAGCTCCCAGGAGGCCTGATGCAGAGCCCCACTCCTGGAGTCAGAGCCGCGGGTGGCAGGCCTCATACAGGGGCCTCTGACTGTTCTGCTCCTAGCCTGTCTGTATTTGATGGAAGGTGGTGCAGCATTTTCCGAGTCCTAACTGTGTTTTGCTTTTTAACACCTTTGGTTTGGAAGCGAGTGATAGACAGCCAAGCAGAGAAACTGAAGGAGCTTGACAAGGAGATCCGGCCCTTCCGGCAGAACTGGGAGGAAGCAGACAGCATGAAGAGCAGCGTGGAGTCCCTCCAGAACCGCGTGACCGAGCTGGAGAGCGTGGACAAGAGCGCGGGGCAAGTGGCTCGGAACACAGGTGAGGCAGGGGCCGGGGCCGGGCCAGCAGTGTGCATCTGGGCCCCGGGCGAGTGCTGGGGCGGGGTCCGTGGGATGAGGGCTATGTTAGGTACATGTGCCTTAGGACAGTTTTTTCTAATTATGGGTAACACGCAGAGGTGTGATGACTTTCCTACTGAAAGTCCCCCAGCAAAGACAAACGTTTCCCGCGCAGGCTTGTCCCCTCCGTGTGAGGCCCTACATGGTGTAGAAAGTAGGGGCAGCTGCAGCCACGGGAAGCTGCAAAGCCCTCCTGGGAGAGACTGGCCGCAGGGTGACCCACAGGACAGGCCCAAGCGCAGATGGCAGAGGCCAGGACCTGCTGGTCGGGGCGCCCCAGACCCCACTCCTAAGGGCCAGGGGGCAGCAGTCCCACCGCGCTCTGCCAGCATGTTTCTGATCCACAAGCAGATGTGGGCCTATGGCTTTGGGGACTGAAAGAGTATTGGGAATATTTACATGAGGAGGATTAATGGCAGAAAGGAACACAGATTACCGGTGTGTGTGTGGGGCCGGATGAAGCAGGCAGAGAATGAGGTTGGAGGAGAGGGGAGCAGCTTCGCCTCCAAGAGAGCAGAGGCCACCTGTGGGTGCTGAGGCCGGAGGGAGGAGTGGGGAGAGCACAGCTGTCTCCTGCTCCCAGGAGCTCCCACCAGCGGGCTTCCCAGGAAGCCACAGTGGAGCACTCTGTCTTGGACCCTGCAGTGAGGTGTCCTTTGACACACAGGCAGGTCAACCGCCCAGGACATCCCCTGTCAGCAGTCTGTGCCTAGTAATGTGTCCAGACAGACAGGGCTGTGGGCATGAGAGCTGTGGTAGAACTGGGGCAGGGACCTGGGCTCTTCCCTGGGAGGCGGTGGCCTCAGGACATCTTCTACACAGTTTTGCTGGTGTTACCCCCAGAAACCACAGTGATTTTTATATTGTTGCTTCAGATGCTGGTATGACTGGGCATGGTGGTGTGGCCTATAGTCCCAGTGCTTTGGGAGGCTGAGGCAGGAGGATTACTTAAGCTCAGGAGTTTGATGCCAGCCTGAGCAACAGAGCAAGACCTTGCCTCTTTAAAAATTAAAAAATGAGGCCGGGTGCAGTGGCTCACGCCTGTAATCCCAGCACTTTGGGAGGCTGAGGTGGGCAGATCACGAGGTCAGGAGATTGAGATCATCCTGGCTAACACGGTGAAACCCCATCTCTAGTAAAAATACAAAAAGTTAGCCGGGCATGGTGGCGGGCGCCTGTAGTCCCAGCTACTCGGGAGGCTGAGGCAGGAGAATGGTGTGAACCCGGGAGGCGGAGCTTGCAGTGAGCCGAGATTGTGCCACTGCACTCCAGCCTGGGCGACAGAGCGAGACTCCATCTCAAAAAAAAAAAAAAAAAAAGAGCCAGGCACGGTGGCTCACGCCTGTAATCCCAGCACTTTGGGAGATCGAGGCAGGTGGATCACCTGAGGTCAGAAGTTCGAGACCAGCCTGGCCAACATGGCGAAACCCTGTCCCTACTAAAAATACAAAAATTAGCCAGGCGTGGTGGCAGGCACCTCTAATCCCAGCTGCTCAGGAGGCTGAGACAGGAGAATCGCTTGAACCTGGGAGGCAGAGGTTGCAGTCAGCTGAGATGGTGCCACTGCACTCCAGTCTGGGCAACAGAGCGAGACTCCGTCTCAAAAAAATGAAATAAAATAACGAGTGCTGGTGCAGCTTTGCTTTCCTAACCTCTCTGACGTTCACCTGTCTCATTCACCAAACCCTCCTCACCTGTGGCAGGCCTGCTGGAGTCCCAGCTGAGCCGGCATGACCAGATGCTGAGTGTGCACGACATCCGCCTAGCCGACATGGACCTGCGCTTCCAGGTCCTGGAGACCGCCAGCTACAATGGAGTGCTCATCTGGAAGATTCGCGACTACAAGCGGCGGAAGCAGGAGGCCGTCATGGGGAAGACCCTGTCCCTTTACAGCCAGCCTTTCTACACTGGTTACTTTGGCTATAAGATGTGTGCCAGGGTCTACCTGAACGGGGACGGGATGGGGAAGGGGACGCACTTGTCGCTGTTTTTTGTCATCATGCGTGGAGAATATGATGCCCTGCTTCCTTGGCCGTTTAAGCAGAAAGTGACACTCATGCTGATGGATCAGGGGTCCTCTCGACGTCATTTGGGAGATGCATTCAAGCCCGACCCCAACAGCAGCAGCTTCAAGAAGCCCACTGGAGAGATGAATATCGCCTCTGGCTGCCCAGTCTTTGTGGCCCAAACTGTTCTAGAAAATGGGACATATATTAAAGATGATACAATTTTTATTAAAGTCATAGTGGATACTTCGGATCTGCCCGATCCCTGATAAGTAGCTGGGGAGGTGGATTTAGCAGAAGGCAACTCCTCTGGGGGATTTGAACCGGTCTGTCTTCACTGAGGTCCTCGCGCTCAGAAAAGGACCTTGTGAGACGGAGGAAGCGGCAGAAGGCGGACGCGTGCCGGCGGGAGGAGCCACGCGTGAGCACACCTGACACGTTTTATAATAGACTAGCCACACTTCACTCTGAAGAATTATTTATCCTTCAACAAGATAAATATTGCTGTCAGAGAAGGTTTTCATTTTCATTTTTAAAGATCTAGTTAATTAAGGTGGAAAACATATATGCTAAACAAAAGAAACATGATTTTTCTTCCTTAAACTTGAACACCAAAAAAACACACACACACACACACGTGGGGATAGCTGGACATGTCAGCATGTTAAGTAAAAGGAGAATTTATGAAATAGTAATGCAATTCTGATATCTTCTTTCTAAAATTCAAGAGTGCAATTTTGTTTCAAATACAGTATATTGTCTATTTTTAAGGCCTCATCTGGTCTCTGTTTTAATAATTTGTTTGTCAGAAGACCCTGAAGTATATACCTAGGTCTTTTTTTTGAAAGTCTCTAAATTCAGAATCATTTTTTAATTTAAAGTTCTACAAATAATTGTTACTGCAAACATTTTATTTTAAAACGTTGATAGACTGATATTTCTTGGAAGAAAATATAAAATATCAAACACTGGTTATCACTTGTGATAGGAAAGAGAATATTCAACCTGTTGTTATTTCTCGTTAGAAATGTAAACCTTCAAATATCTGTCGTAGTTAATGACACGACTTCACAATTCTGAACGGAGCCTCGCTCATGGATGCTGTGCATCATTTTCAGATTTATAATTGTTTTCACCCTAAAATAGGGCATCCGTTGAACTTTGGAGTTCTAAACAAAATCCTGTAGGTGTTTGGATTCTGCCCCATGTGTTCGGACGAGCTCTCTGTTGCTGACAGCACCGGCCTTCGGTCTCCATGTCAGGGGTGGGCGGGTGACTGCTGAGGGAGGCCCGCAGGTGTGTTTCTCCATCCCGTCATCTTGCTGCATGCCGTCAACGGTCTCCGAAAGCAACGTTGTGCGTAGAGCTGGTGGCATACGGCCCACGTGCCTTAGATGGGACATGCTGCTTCTCCACCCTGGGTTTGCATTGAGCATCATTCTAGAAAGTGCTAGTTTAACCAGACTTTTCTCTCCACCACTAGATCTTTGTCTCTACAAGGGCCCTCAGACACCTCTGCACCTGCTGAGGGGAAGCCAGGCTCCACCGTCGGCTTCTGGAGCCTCCGCTGCTTAATTACCACAGATTCCAAATCTCTAGGCCCCACGAGTGAGCCGCCTGGTCCAAGTACGGCCTGGTCCCACCCTGAGGGAGGCAGGTGTGGAACAGAAGCCGAGCCTCTCCGTGTCCCCACCGGGGCCGTGGGCACCCCCACAGCCCGAAGCAGAACCCTCTGAGCATTCCAGAGACCGCTGCTCGGGGGCCTGCCCAGGCTGACCAACGGGCGCTCCTGACCACCACCCTGGCGGGAAGGGTGGCCACGGGGCCCGTCGTCCCAGCCTGTGCCTGCCCAGATGGCATTTTCTCAACTCACTGTTTACTGTCTCTCAGTGTCCAACTGTGATTAGAAGCCTGGAGCCTGCCCCCTGCACCCCTTTTGCTATGCACCACGCTTCATGGTGCTCTTACCACTGATGGGTGCTACACGCGACGGGTGCTTCTTAGGCAAAACCAATGTGTGCGAACTGTCACACCTGTGCCACTCGCCCACAAGCCGCGCCCACAATTGGCCAGCTGGGCCGTGCACGTCAGACTGCCTGCCTCGGCTCTCCCCGTGGCCGCGCGGGGACAGCTTGGTGGGTGCCCGGTGGCCCACCTGTCTCTGGTGCTGCCATCTGTCCTGGGTGTGCCTTCGCCCCAGTGCCTGCTGGAAGTGCCCTCCGTCGCACCCCTGTGCCCTGAGCTCCCGTGAGGGGCCCGCCGCGCCCTTTCGCGGTCGAAGCGTTCCGTTGTTCTTATCTGCCTTTCCTTTCCCCGCTCTCCTGGGATTACTTTGGGGGAATGAGTATCCTTGGTTCTGCCCTGTGAGGGAGTCGTGTGTCCCTGCTCATAAAGGAAGGACTTCCTGCAGAAGCTGCGGAAAACTACTGTTCCCTCGAAGGTGTCCCCCACCTGAGGCCTGTCCCCTACCTGCCCTCAGGTAGTTTTCCTGAGGCCAGGGGTTAACAACAGGGACATCCCTGCAACTTCCCCTTCACAAAATGTATAATATTAGATGAAGGATATGCAACATCTTGGTCTAGTAAGAACCGTTTCCTCCCCTCTGGGTTGAAGTCCTGGTGTGGCCCCCAGAAGCAGCAGTGCGTGTCACTGGGACGTCTCCAGTAGCCCTTCCCAGGCAGACGCTCCTGGCGGGACGCCATGGGGCCCACCTGAGGGTCCCACAGACGTAACCTGAGTGACAGGAGTCCTTGAGGATGGGATGGCCTATGTCACACACTTTGTCCTTGAACCTGAGTGATGGGGGTCCTTGAGGATGGGATGGCCTGTGTCACGCGCTTTGTCTTTGTGTTTGGTTGTATCGGGGTCTCTGTTCTGAGTGTGTCTTCCTCTCATGTACTCAACACAGTGGGCAGCAGCCTGGGACGGCGTCCCCTCTCCCGGCGGCGGGCAAGCCTTGCGCTGCTCCACCCTCGGCCTGGGCACCCTCACTTGGCGCTGGCCACCTGGGCCAGCCTGGGGCCATGGTCTCTCTGCAGCTGAGGCCCAGTGGCCCCTTGGGCAGTGATCGGCCCTCCCCGCATCACAGGGCCCTGGCAGCAAGCGGGAAATGGGGGCGCACACTGTGTGCTTGGGGGTGCTGCTTGTTTACCACACATGACCAGACTCCCAGCAGGACAGAGCTGCTCAGTACTTTACAGAAACCAACTGAGTCGTTTGTGCATGAATTAAGCCGGTCTGCTTCCCCGTCACCTTCGTAACAAAACAACGTCCCCTCTCCCCTCGCCTCGAGCAGTTTCTTCAGGACACCGTGGCTCGGGCTGCTCCCTGCTGCCAGGCACGCTGGTTGGCTGGCCTGGGCCCGGCTCACGTGAAGGGCACTGGCTCTTGTGACCACACTGAGCCACGTGCAAGCCGCAGCCGGGCCTGGAAGCCTGACCCTCTGGTTCTAGGGCTTGTCCCGCGGAGCCTGCAGAGCTAGACGTTGGGGTGTGTCCGTGATGATATGGGGGCCAGGCTGGGAGTAGGGCCTTTCTAGCAGGGTTGGGTGGCTCAGTGAGGGTGTGGAAGTGGGGGACCCACGGGGCCTGGCTTTGGGACTAGACATGCCAGCCCCAGCTGGGCTGGAGGGAGCCTGAGTGAGCCCCGACATACGCTGGGCCTTTCAGCTCGCCGTGCTCTGGTGACACACAGGCGGCCAGGTTGGGATTTGTGTCAATTCTAGGAGCCATCAAGCATGAATGTGGTTCTGTCTCCTGAGCGCAAGCCTCGCCGGACCCCTGGGCGAAGGCCTGGACTTGCAGATGTGTGTTCCCTGTGCGGGTGGACAGAGGGGGCCCTTATGACCCACATTGCAGCCCCATTCCACCACCCCTTCCTCCCCAGAGCAGTCTCTGCCGAGGGACAGCACCTGTGTCCCTTCGATGCCACAACAGCCAGTTGAACAGGGGAGCCCTTTGCTCAGGCAGCTTCTCCTGCCTCTCCCTCCTTTCTCCTTCCCTGCCCCATCCCCGTGCCCTTCTTGGCCTGTGGCGCTGGGGAGCCATGGTGTGGCATACTGGGGCTCCTGCTCCTTGGGCCACTTCCTCAGCCCGGGCCCCACAGGCCCACCACCTGCCAGGGCTCCCACTGCACTGGCTGTGGCAGGAGGCTTCCCCATGACCCCGTGTGGCCCAGCTCGGTGAGGATGCAGTTCTAGGCACAGCCCCTGGGACAGCCAGCTGCCTCCCAGACCACGTCAGCCTGCTCCAGGGTCCTCAGTCACCCTGGGCCAGGGGCCACGTGTCCCATGGATGTCGACCATGCCAACGTCACATTCCAGCACCCCTTTTGCTTGATGGCGTCTGGTGGTAGTCAGCATGGTGGACCCACATCCTACAGCCAGAGGTGATGTTGGACAAAGGAAGGGGAGTCTGGATGGGTCCTTAAACGACCATTCTGTCCGCAGCGGGGTCATTCCTTGTCAGCCCAAGGGAGGGCCGGGGAGTACACTGATCCCAACAGCTGGGCTGACACCTCCTTTCTCCCCTGCACGGGGAGGATTGGCCTGAGGACCGTCACCCTGTGCACAGCCCCAGTAGGGTGGCAGTGCCACTGTCTCCTTGGGCCGTTGCAGGATTGGGCGGGTGCAGACTCCCCTTGCGGGCCCCTTGCTCAATCCCCGGCCCTCCCAGACTCCTCCCTCTACTGGGGGTAATTTGTGTGTCAGAAGGGCTCTGGCAGAGCTGTAAAATACTGTTTTTTAAAAATTTTAGTCCAGATCTTTACTTATTAGACTGCAGAAGGAGAGCTAGGGAGAGTGGGGGAAGCCCCCTTGCTTTTGTATCTGTGAGGTGAATGAGGGTCTGTCACCCAAATCTACTTCTCAGCCCATGACCATAGTTCTGTTTTCCGTTTGCAAATCTCAGTAGCTCTGTTTTCTCCAAAGTAGAATGTGCGCACCGGGGTCCTAGCCAGGCGAGGTCAGTGTCGGCAGGCTACCTGGTCATTATTGCTGCCTCGTCCAGGCTGATGCTGATGGTCACAGGCACGGTGGCATCAGGGAGCCGGGCCAGCAGGCGGCGTGAGGCGGGGCCAGCAGCTCACTGCAAGGGCATTTTCCACCTGATCCTGGTGTGCCCCACATGCGGTGGCAGGGCAGACGTGTGAAGCCTCGGCCGTCTCGGGGCTGGCAGGTGTGCGGGTGAGGAGGCCCCGGTGGCCAAGCAGAGCCTGCGTTTCATTTCTCCTGCTGCACTGTGTCTAGTCTGTCTTGTGAACTCTCACCGTGAAAAGAGGCTAGAAGTCCAGGATCGCTGTACCGCTCCTGTAATTAGGTGATGACTGGATTTGACAACTTAGTCCCCTCAGACAAGTAAGATACCCTCCAACAGCAAATTCAATGACTTAATTGGAAAACACACAAGCTGGCATGATGTCCGGTGATTTCTGTAAGAAATGCCTGTAGGAGAAGGTCTGTGAAGTGTGGAGGGCAGTGTCGACGCTGCACAGCATCTGCAGATTCGCAGCCTCTTCTCTGCCGGTGCCTCTGTTCGGTTCTGTTACCCAAAAACAAAGACCAAAGAAGGCCAATCTCTCATTTGACCCTGTCTTTTTAATCTGCCTGTTTTAAAAGTTGCGTCTGTAGTAGCCGCTTGCTGTGAAGACACATCTTGACAGTCCAAGTGATTTTGTGACCAGTGATTTGGGTCCTGTTTTCCGCTCTTCTAAGAAAAAACAAAAAGACCGTGAGTTATTGCCCAGCAATAATCATGTTGTTACTGTGAGTTAGCAACATGCCTGACTTCCTGATAGCATTACTGTTTTCTAGTTTTGTTTATTGTATATTATGTGTGGTTTTATTTGGTATTTATTTGTGTTTTGAGGTCTTGCAATGTTTTTGTGTTTCTGATGCTAATAACTAAAGTTTGTAAGACTGTAGAATGCAAAACTCGGAGATGCTAAACTGTCTTATTAGAGGAAAATAAATCTGATTATGGAGTCTCAGTCTCTGATCACACCGTCTCTTGCAGGCTGGGCCCCAGGTGAGTGGCTTCCCTCCTGCCGGACTCCCCGGGCTGTCCTCTCAGTGGCTGGGCCCAGTATGGCCGCCTGGCCAAGACCTGTGTGGCCAGAGGCCCGTGCTTGGTTTGCTGCCCTCTGTCACCGTCTTGAAATACTTTGCAATTCTCAGCGAGGGGCCTGCCGTCGCCTTTTCCACTTTGCTTACAGTTTTGCCTGCGGCCTTTAACCTGAAGGGAATCCCAGGGGCCAGGCTCGCAAATCTGTGTCTTGGTCCAGAGCAGATAAGGCGGAGCTCTGACCTCCTGCCCGGACACGTGCCCGCCATCTGGCATGGTGGAAAGGGCGTGCTGGACCCACAGGCCTGGGGTCAGTCTCAGCTCCACGACTTCGTGGGACTTTGGAATCTTCGAGCCTCAGTTTCCTCCTCTGTCCGTTGGAAGGACAGCACCTCCTTCCACGCCGAAACAAGGTGGTTAATGAGGAGTGACACCAGTGCTGATGTGCAGGCGGCTGCAGGGTCTGGGCAGTGTCCTTCTGGCAGCTGCTCGTGGCAGTTAAGGGCTCCTGGGCTGTCACCGCCACCATGGCCTGCCTTCCATTTCTCCAGGAAGTTGTTTGGGTCAGGCCTGGTAGCAGGAAGCCCTGCATCTCCCCCAAAATTATCAGATGGGGAGAACCGCTCAGCCCTCCCCCACTGTCCTGCCACTCCCAGGGTCCCCTGCAGCCACCACAGCGCCCTGCTCAGTCCCTCCCCATCCTTCAAGGCACTGCATGGGGCCACATCCAGAACAGATGCCATCGGTCCCCACGTGTGGCCCACTGAGCAGGGAGGAGTGGACCTAGGAGCAGCACCCCAGGGTCCTCCCTCAGGGTCTCAGGGCCTCTCCTGAGGGTCCCTTGCCAGCGCAGCACCAGCCCCGCCCTCTCTGCGGGCCCACACCACCCCTGCCGTGCCCTGGCTGGTGGCAGTAGTGGGGCGCTGGAATCCTGGGACTGGCAGCCTCCACCCCACACACGATGGGGAGCCTGTGGTACCTTGGCTCCCGGGAGCTGCCCCAGGACACAGCCTTGCTGGTCCTTCCGTCTGGGGGATCCCAAATCCTCACACCCCTGTGGTGGGGGCCTGCGCTCCATCCATCTCCCTGGGCGCTCAAGCCCAGGGTCCTGCCGCAGCCTTGAGGACACCGGGACACCTATGGAGACCAGGCAGTGTGCAGTTGTCACCGCTGACCGCAAGTGTGAGCTGGGCCGGGGGTGGGATGGCGAGGACAGCCAGCGCGATGTGCCGATGAATGGGGAATGTCAGCTGGAGGCTTGAGGGATTGCAGAAACTGGATTCCTTTTTTTTTTTTGGAGACGGAGTTTCACTTGTCACCCAGGCTGGAGTGCAGTGGCGCAATCTTGGCTCACCACAACCTCTGCCTCCTGGGTTCAAGCAACTCTCCTGCCTCAGCCTCCCAAGTAGCTGGGATTACAGGCATGCGCCACCACGCCTGGCCAATTTTTTGTACTTTTAGTAGAGACGGGGTTTCTACCTGTTGGTCAAACTCCCGAACACAGGTGATCCGCGTGCCTTGGCCTCCCTTTTTTTTTTTTTTTTGAGCTGGGGTCTCTCTCTGTCACCCAGGTTGGAGTGCAGTGGTGTGATCTCAGCTCACTGCAGCCTCAACCTCTCAGGCTCAAGTGATCCTCCCACCTCAGTCTCCTGAGTTGCTGGGACCACAGGCGCATGCCACCATGCCAGGCTAATTTTTGTATTTTTAATAGAGACGGTTTCGCCATGTTGCCCGGGGTGGTCCGGAACTCCTGAGCTCAAGTGATCCCCCCGCCTCGGTCTCCCAAAGTGCTGGGATTACAGGCGTGAGCCACCCCCGGCCTGGATTCTTGCACCCTCCTGGGAGTCCTACAGGAGAGGAGATGGGCGGCAAACCCCAAGACCTGCTGGACTGGCCTGGGCTGAGGGTGCTGGTGGGGACATCTGCAGAGCTGGCCTCAGATCATGCAGCAAGAAACGGCGGGGGGGAGGAAGGGGAGCTTCTGAGCTGCTCCCCCCAGGGCATTGGGCAGGGACTCCCTGCCCCCAGCCTGACGTCCAGACCTCAAGGGGGTTGGAGGGACTGAGTCCAGCCCTCAGGTGCACACCGGGCCATCACCTGGCTCCGTCCTGCTGTGGGGCAGCCCAGATCTTGCAGGGAATTGGGAACCAGGGGTGTCACAGTCTAGGCCTAGGGAAGGAGGAGGCCGTGGCCCTCGCCTGCCTCCCCTCAGCTCAGGGGGCTGCTCTGTTCTGGCCCAGATGAGTGATGCCGGAAGGGGAGCGGTGCAGAGCAGGGAGGCACACGCTCAGAGCCCTCCGTGGCCCTGACTCTGCACTGCAGCAGCCCCCACGCCCAAGAGTCAACCCAGCATCCAAACCAGGGAAGAGTCTGGACTGAAAGCGCAACCGTACTTGGTGAGAGGCCGGTAATCTCGAGTTCTGGTAAGGAAAGCAAGGCCTGGGGCGGAGGCTGGGGCTCGGCTGCTGGGCTGGATCAGGCGGCACACCCGGCTCACACTGCCCTGCAGTCCTGTGGGAGACAGCGGCACTCGGACCCGCTCACAAGCCCTGCAGGACACCAGTGGAACCACATGGGTGGAAGCCTAGAAATCAGATTCTGAATTGAAGTCCAGGGGGTTTTCTGTTTTCTGAAAATGAGTAGTTGCATAATCTAACCCTAAAATCAACCATTTCTTGTTAAAAGACCAGAAGAACCAAAGTGCTGTGCAGGGGAGGTGTCCGCGCCGCCTATGCTTTTTGTCTTAGTTTTTTAATTTTCAAGGTCATCCTTAAAGCCTCTGCCTTGACCCTGCAGCCACAGGTGACTTGGAGGCTGGAGGCCAGGCCTGGGGTCTGTGTCCTTCAAATAAATGCCTCAGTGCCGCTTGGGGGACTCGGTCCTGTGCCGGAGTTACTCGATTAGAAGTTAAAGGTGGAGGGGAAAGACACCTGTGGGGCCATCCCAACCCACTTCCTCCACTCAGACCACAGCTTTGAATGGGCTCAGTCCCCAGGGACCCCCAGGCCCCAGGGTCAGCCTCGCAGGGCAGAGCTCAGAACCCCCTGCCCAGACCCCAGGGAGCCAAAGGGGCCCAGATCTGGGCACAGGGCAGGAAGAGGGCTGGCACCTGCTGGGAGGGGTCTAGGAGCCAGGGGCACAGCTCACATGAGTGCATACCCAGCACCTCTGCTTCATGTCAAAGGGAGATGATGCTGGCGTCCACCCGAGAGGCCACATGGAAAGCACTCGACATGGACAGGACATCGCCCACAGGAAAAACCCCTGCAAGGGACCTTGGACCTTGGGGAAGGCGGCTGTGCCCTCCCGGGCTGGGCCTTGCACCCTGGCCTGCAGCCATTCGGCTCGGAGGACTCCCGGCACCCACAGGCACTTGGCTCCCGCCACTTCCCTGGCCCCTGTGGCACTTGGGGCTCCACAGCTCTCCGACTCCCTGCTGAGGGTTGAGCCGTTTGCAAGCATGTGTCCCCATGTGTGCTTGAGGGCCGGGGGCACCTGTGCATATGGTCAAGGGCCTTCTGTGCACACATGGCACCTGCAGTGTGGTCCCAGCCGTTCCTCAGCACCCGTGGGCCCAGCTCCATCTCGGGCGGCCTGCTTGGCGCAGCTCTCGCTGGTCACCTCGTGCCGGGTGACTGCTCTCCATCAGCTGTGCCCGGGCTCCACATACATAGCCCGGGTCACATCCACTCACGTCCTGGTCCAGCCAGCCTTGCGGGGACTCTGCCCAAGGAGGGACAGTAAGGGTTTTTGAGTACCAAGTCAGTGACCCTGACTGCCAGCAGCGGCTCCTCTTGACCCGGAGGCCGGTGAACACCTGACAACATTTCCCTCCATACAGCGCAGGGGCAGGGGCAGATTAACCCTCCGTGCGGAAGGAGGAGTGGAGGTGGAGGCGGGACAGTGGCTGGCCCCTGGTCCAAGTCTTGCAGAGCCCTCCCCATCTGGGGTGGGGTTGAAGCAAGTCACTCAGGGGCAGCTTCCTAGCTGGTGCTCCCGAGACCCTCAGCTCCCCAACACCCTGATGTCCTCCTCCTTCCTCCCATTGTCCATGGATGGAGAAGGGACCAACGGTTCCTCCGGGGCTGAGCTCTCGTCTCCTGGTGCTCCTGCTTCCCTACCCCCCAACCCCCAGGCCAGGGCTGCAGCCTGAAGGGGCACTGGGTCCCTGCGCCCTGTGAGATGGGCGCTGCCACCCTTGCTCTGCAGGTGACGAATGGAGGCGAAGTGAATTGCAGTGTCATATGGCATTTGAGTCCTAGACAGCGCCCAGGACTGGTCCGACCACCGCTAGATGCCACCAGGGGGGCTCTGCCTGTCCCCCACCCCAGCAGACAGCAGGCCCAGCCCCATCCAAGCTAGGTGGAGACCCCTGGTCCATACCCTCCTGGGCTTCCCTCTGAGTTGTATCCAACCCACCCAGCAACAGCTGCTCTCAGCAAGCCTCCTGGCCTCACCTGCACTCTCTTCCCTCCTCTCCTGCCTCTTGCCTTCCTTTTTTTGTGAGACAGATCTTGCTCTCTCGCCCAGGCTGGAGTGCTGTGGCGCAAGCTCAGCTCCCTGCAACCTCTGCCTCCTGGGTTCCAACAAATCTCCTGCCTCAGCCTCCCAAGTAGCTGGGATTACAGGCACCCATCACCACGCCCAGCTAATTTTTATATTTTTAGTAGAGATGGGGTTTCACCATGTTGGCCACGCTGATCTCGAACTCCTGACCTCAGGTGATCTGCCTGCCTTGGCCTCCCAAAGTGCTGGGATTACAGGTGTGAGCCACTGTGCCCAGCCACCTTCCTTTAAAAACAAAAACAAAAAACCCCAAAAACCTGAGGTCTTGCTCTGAGGCCCAGGCTGGGGTAATCGCAGTTCACTGCAGCTTCAACCTCCTGGGCTCAAGCAATTCTTCCTCAGCCTCTGCGGCGCCGGGACCACAGGCATGAGCCACTGCACCGGGTGTTCTTGGCTCCCTCGAAGCATCCCTCATGTTCCCGTCTCAAGGCCTTGGCGGGCTCTTTCCCTGTCTTGCTGATGTCCCAGGCCCACCCCACCTTTTCCCTGGCCCTGCCATGTGCAGGAGGCAGGGCTGTCACTCTTGCTGCCTCCACACCTCAGGGGAGGCTGTGAGCCAGCGTGGCCAGTCAGAGCACAGCAACCTCAGGCTACAGGAACTGGTGCAGAGTTGGAGACAGGAACCAATCAGAGACCTCACTGAGACCCTCCTGCCATGGCCTGGTCAAGGAGGTGGTGAGTCTCACTCTCCCAAGACACCTTCCCTGCCACGTGGAGAAGGCCGTGCACACGGAAACCAACACAGGAGGGCCGCCAGCCATAGCGGAGACAGACACAGGGACCAAGAGACTGAGACAGCCTCTAGATGCTGAAGCCTGCGCTGAAGCAGTTGGGCCGTGAGAGGTTCTTCTTACTGGAGGAAACTCCGGGGCTTTGCATTTCTCCACGTCCCTGCTGAGGTTCTGAGCCATTTGCAAGTTTGTGCCCTCATGTGTGCCTGAGGGCCGGGGGCACCTGTGCATATGCTCAAGGGCTTTCTGTGCACACATGGCACCTGCAGTGCGGTCGCAGCCATTCCTCAGCTCACATCTTTGCATGTGAGTGGTTCTGGTACCGCTTGTCTGCCCAGCGCCCTGGTGCCTATCTGCTGCCTCATGTGAGCTCGCTGGGCCACCCTCTGACTGCTGGACCCACCTCCAGAGGCCACTCAGGGCAAGAGAGATGGATCCCAATACCCCACCCAGCCAGCCCCAGCCCCCTATGGTCTGCCACCTTCAATTCAACCTCCTCACTGTGGCTGCAGCTGTGATCTCATCCTTCCTGTCTCATTTTAATGCCACCTTTTTCAGGAAGCCTCCCCTGACCAGGAAGCCAAGTGGCCTCACTACCCTCTCCACACAGCACAATCTAGGAATGGCCTGCCCAGGTGGAGCAGCAGTAGTCAAAGAGGCTCCATTGCTGCCCCAAGTCCTGGCCGTCCAGCACTCTGGACTCCCCTGAGGCCCCACCATCAGGAGAGGGAGCCCCAGCCTCTGGGCCCTTTCAGTCCTGGCTGTGGCCCTGAGCACCAGGGGTGAAGTTTGCTGAGCCTCACCTGGCCCTCTGCATTTATGGTGGCGGTGGGGATGGGGGGCAGAGCCAGACACTCAGGGGTGAAGCCCAACGCAGCCCTGTCAGTCAAACTGCCTCCTTCCCACTGAGAAGCAAGACAAGGGGCAAAACAGTTGTGACCCCCAAGTATCCTGTTTGTTCCTGGTTGAGGACATGTGAGTCCAGCAAGGGGCAGCCAAACTCCAGGACCGTGAGGACCCACCCTCCCCGTCCTAGGCTGGGCCAGCACCACAGAGCCACTGAGCGCAGGGACCTCTGCTCAAGGCGATCCCTCCAAGGTAAGGGGCAATGCTGGTGGCATCAGAGATGTCGAGGCAAGGCGCCCACCCGGGACACAAAAAGAGGCAGAGCTCCCCCCAGTGGCGGCTCCTTCCTCCCCGGATGCAGCATATCACTCATGAAAGAAGCAAATACCAGGCCAAGCAAAGGGGTGCTCATGGCAGAGTCTGCAGATGAGGGGTGGGGGTGCAGGAAACAGCAGGATGGCCTGGAGGGTGGAAGGCCCTGGAAGTCTCCAAGACTGAGTAGTTTCCCTTTCACCTTCAGTCCTCTGCCTACATACCCACCTCCACCATCCTTCCTGCACCCTTCCCTAGTCACTCATCCACCATCCTGCCATTGGAACCCAGTGTAACCATCCACCATTCTCCCCCTTCCATCAGCTACAACCAGTGTCTCCCCAATCCACAAGGCACACCATCCATCTCTCCACCAGTAATCCCCTAATGACCAATTCACCACCCTCCCAGAAACTCATCTCCCCATCATCAAATCATCCAAACATCATGCACAATCCATTTGCTGTTCATCTTTCTACCTCTCTGCTTCCCAACACCCACAAATCCATCCTCCATTCACTCACCACCCAGCCATTCCAACGTGCATGATGCAGATCCAAGCATGCACTGCAGACCCATTCCCCCAACCCCCATCAATCATCCATCCATCACCTAGCGCACATTCATTCACAATTTATCCACCATGCTCTGTCCACCCACCCATTGATTTATATCCAGTAACTCCTGTACTCTTATCCATCTACCTACTGTCTCTCTACTTACTACTATCCATTCACACATCATCTAAAATTCATTCACCATTATTCATCCACCATCAATCCATCCCTCCACCATTTGGTCTTGTCCACCATCCATCTACATCCAAAATCCACAACTTTTTCTCACCCACCGTGCATTGCAACAACTATCCATACATACACATCTGTTCAACAGCTACGATTTCTCTTTCACCCATCAACCATCCACTATGCAACCATGATTCATTTTGCCACCGTCCGCCCTTTCCCTCGTTCTCCTTTATTCAACTACCATCTACCATCCATCAACCATCCTTCCATAATCACTCTTCTATCCATCCATCCACCAATAACATTCACCATCTGTGAGCTGCCATCCATACACTTACCCATTCACCATCCACAATCAACTATCTACTCTTTTTTTTTTTTTTTTTTTTTTTTTTTTTAATAGAGTCTCACTCTGTCGCCCAGGCTGGAGTGGAGTGGCACAATCTCGGCTCACTGCAACCTCTGCCTCCCAGGTTGAAGCAATTCGGCCCCAGCCTCCCAAGTAGTTGGGATTACAAATGTGCACCATCACATTTGGCTCATTTTTGTATTTTTAGTAGAGACAAGGTTTCACCATGTTGTCCATGCTGGTCTTGAACTCCTGACCTCAAGTGATACTCCATCCTCAGCCTCCCAAAATGCTGGGGTTACAGGCGTGAGCCACCGCGCCCAGCCAACTATCTGCTTTCATCTACCATCCGTCATCTGTCTGTTGATCAACTGTCCTTCTACAAAATACTATATCAACCCACCACCCATCATCCACCATTCATAACGCACCACCCATCTATCCCCATTCACCATCCACCATCACCTTCCATCTACCTACCATCCACCATCCACCATTCATAACACACCACCCATCATCCCCATTCACCATCCACCATCACCTTCCATCCATCTACCATCCATCATCCACCACCCATCTATCCCCATTCACCATCCACCATCACCTTCCATCCATCCACCATCCATCATCCACCATCCATCTATCCCCATTCACCATCCACCATCACCTTCCATCCATCCACCATCCATCATCCAACATCCATCTATCCCCATTCACCATCCACCATCACCTTCCATCCATCCACCATCCATCATCCAACATCCATCTATCCCCATTCACCATCCACCATCACCTTCCATCCATCTCCCATCCATCATCCACCATCCATCTATCCCCATTCACCATCCACCATCACCTTCCATCCATCTACCATCCATCATCCACCATCCATCCCCATTCACCATCCACCATCACCTTCCATCCATCCACCATCCATCATCCAACATCCATCTATCCCCATTCACCATCCACCATCACCTTCCATCCATCCACCATCCATCATCCACCATTCATAACGCACCACCCATCTATCCCAATTCACCATCCACCATCACCTTCCATCCATCTACCACTCATTCATTCACCATTCATTTATCCACCGTCCATTCATGCATACATCCACCATCCATCTATCCACCATTCATCCATCCACCATCCACTCCCACTATCCATCCATCCACCATCTATCCATCCACACATTCACCATCCACCCATCCACAACCTACCATCCATTCATCCACCATTCACTCATCCACCATCCATTCTCCACCATCCATCTACCCATCCATCCCTCTACCCATTCACATATCCACCATCCACTCATCCATCATCCACAATTCACTCATCCAGCGTCCATTCATCCATCCACCCATTCACACATCCACCCATCTACCATCCACCATCCCTTCATCCACCATCCACCCATCATTCACTCACCCACCATCCACCATCCATCCATCCACCCATCTATATGTCCATTCACCCATTCGCCATCCACTCATCCACCACCCACCATTCATCTATCATCCCTCATCCACTGTCTACCATCCACCATTCATCCATCCACCCATTCACCCATCCACCATCCATCCATCCACCATCCACTTATCCACAATCTGCCATCCACCATTCGCCATTCATCCATCCATTCATCCACCACCCATCACCATTCACATCCACCATCGGCCATTCACCATCCACCATCCACCATCCACCTATTCACCATCCACCATTCACTCATTCACCACCCATCCTTCCATCCACCCACCATCCACCACCCACCATCCACCAACCACTATTCATCTTACCATCCACCATCCACCATCTATCATCCACTATCTACCATCTGCCGCCCATCCATCCACTTAATATTCACCATCTACTCATCACCATTCACTTGTCCATTATCCACCACCCACCAACCATCATCCACCTACCATCCATCATCCACCATTTATCCATTATCTACTTATCTACCATCCATTACCCATCCATTTATCATCCTATCCACCATCTACTATCCACCCATTATCCACTATCCACTGTCTATTCACTATCCACCATCTATTCACTATCCACCGTCCATCTCCATCCACAATTCACCATTTATGCAACCATCATCCACCATCTATCCATTTACCATCTATCTATTCACCATCCACCATCCATCCATTCAGCATTCATCACTCACCAAACATCCACCATTTAACACCCACTTTTTTTTTTTTGAGATGGGGTTTCACTCTTGTTGCCCAGGCTGGAGCACAGTGGCGTGATCTCCGATCACCACAACCTCCGCCTTCCAGGTTCAAACGATTCTCCTGCCTTAGCCTCCCAAGTAGCTGGGATTACAGGCATGTGCCACCATGCCTATCTAATTTTGTATTTTTAGTAGAGATGGGGTTTCTCCATGTTGGTCAGGCTGGTCTCGAACTCCCGACCTCAGGTGATCTGCCCGCCTTGGCCTCCCAAAGTGCTGCGGTTACAGGCGTGAGCCACCGTGCCCCGCCAACACCCACTCTTTATGATCTACCTGTCGGCCATGTATCCATTTATGCCATTATCCATCCACCACTCCCTGATTACCATCCATTCCTTTTCCTTTTTTTTTTTTTTTTTTTGAGACGGAGTCTCGCTCTGTCGCTCAGGCTGGAGTGCAGCGCACGATCGTGGCTCACTGCAAGCTCCACCTCCTGGGTTCACGCCGTTCTGCCTCAGCCCCCCAAGTAGCTGGGACTACAGGCGCCTTCTACCATGCCCGGTTAATTTTTTTGTATATTTTTAGTATAGACGGGGTTTCACCGCGTTAGCCAGGATGGTCTTGATCTCCTGACCTCGCGATCCGCCTGCCTCACCCTCCCAAAGTGCTGGGATTACAGGCATGAGCCACCACGCCCGGCCATTCATTCATTTTTCACTCACCATCCTCATCCATCCATTCATCACCCATCCACCCTCTATCACTCACCATCCACCCCGTCAACCATTTACCATTCATCTGCCATGCGTCCATATGCCGTACACCATGCACCATCAATGTTGCTGTCCATCAGCTGTCCCCTACTCACCATCCACTACTCTCCACCATCATCCACAATCCACCCTCCTATACCATCCACATACCATGTTCCATCCAGGATCTTCCTTCTATCATCCAACCACCACCCACAGCCCATGGGACAGGGGCACTGCGTGGAGAAGTGGACACCCAGTTCCAATGGTGAGCAGACTAGCTCAGCCCTAGCAGCACACAGGACAGAGAAAGGGGTGAATTCAAAGGTCGTTTATTCCCCCTCCCGGCAAGACACCCATTTTACAGGGTAGGTCAGTCTCGCCAAGCCCTTCTTCTTTGCCCTTCTTCCTGAGAACCTAAGGTGTTCAGGCCCTGCAGGGGCGGGTAAGGGGAGGCTGAGAAGGTGCCTCCCAGGGGCCTGAAGAGTCGGCCCTGGGCGGGTCTGGAGGTAAATGTGTAACCGACCCTGGTGCCCCCACCCGACCTGCCTGGTCACGTGGGTCCAGTGGGGCAAAGTCTCCTGGTGGGGTGCAAGGAGCCGAGGCGAGATGGGCGTCCTGGGCCGGGTCCTGCTGTGGCTGCAGCTCTGCGGTGAGCCGGGACCACACCGGTGCGGGCCCGGACGGTAGCGGTCTGTCAGGACCCAGGGCCGAGGTCGCTCTAGGCCTGGAGGGTGAAGATCTTCCGAGGAGTGGGCAGGGAGGGCTTTGGAGGGTTGGGGGCGTGAAACTCGGCCCTGCCTCCCTCGTCTGGCGAGTGCGCAGCCCGGAAGTGCGCGGCCAGTGCATCGGGCGGTGCGGGAGAGGAGAGGAGGGGCTCCGGGAACCTCGGCCAGCCCCGGCCTCCGGCGGCTCCTGCCCTCGCGGTTTTTCCGTCTGCGAAATGGGCGCGGTCCCCAGAACCTGCCGAGAGCAGCGAGTGTGCGCCTGCGGGGCTCGGCAGACCGCCTCAGCTTCCCGGTCCCCAAGGGAGCACTGAGCCCTCCTCCGCCTTCACACCAGGCCGGCGCGTGTCCCTGGCGCCCCCTTCCCTAAACCCCTCGCGGCTCCCTCAGGACAACCCCACCCACCACATTCAGGGCCGGCCTGACCTGGTCCTGCCGCCCCCAGCCCCTTCTTACTTCTCATACCGGGTTGCGCTCTGTCGCAGCTCTTCCCGGCCCAGGTAGGACTCCTCCGGGAAGCCTTCCTGATTCCAAGGCCGAGAAGAGGTCTGTGCTGCCCCATCCTCCTCCATGCCCCAGTTGTCACTGTCCTTAACAACGCTGTCCTCTGCTCCAGCGCCAGGCAAACTGGGGGCAGTGCCGGGAGGCTATCTAGGCAGGCGTCCTGCAGGGCGCGTTTGAGCGGGCTCTGCAGGTATCAGTAGAAGTCCGTTGGAGAGCGCCCGGGCAGGGCGCCCACAGTCTGGCCGGGAGGGACCAGGGTCTGGGTCCGGGCCCCCGGGGATGGGGTTCCTATGCGTCCCGGGTGATCCGCGCGGACCTTCCGCACTTCTCTGGGTGGGTGGCCTTCCCTGAGAAGGGAGCATCCCGGAGAGCATCCCGGGCACTCAGTCGCCTCCTCCCCAGCACTGACCCAGGCGGTCTCCAAACTCTGGGTCCCCAACACGGACTTCGACGTCGCAGCCAACTGGAGCCAGAACCGGACCCCGTGCGCCGGCGGCGCCGTTGAGTTCCCGGCGGACAAGGTGCCTGGGAGCGCCGGCGGGGTCGGTGATGGGCCTGGACCCCTGAGACCGTGTGGCCCCGGTGGGGGTTGCTCCCGGCTCGGCTGAGGCAGCTTCTTCCTGCAGATGGTGTCAGTCCTGGTGCAAGAAGGTCACGCCGTCTCAGACATGGTAAGGCCGGGCTGCTACTGCCACTGGGCTGGGGGTTCACAGAGTCTCTGAAGCGCCTTCAGGGACTGCTGTGCCTTGAGGGCGGACCCCACCGGCATGGAGGCACTGCAGGACTGGGACTTTGGCCTCTGGAGAATATTCTAGGAGGCAGGGAGTGGGGGGGAACCTAGGGGAGCTTGGTCCCATGGTCCCAGCCAGGCTGTGTCCTGGGAGGGATGGGAGGCACCCCTGTCCCCACAGCCCTTGTGATGCCCAGCAGTGGGTGGTCTTCCCAGGAAGCGCCTGCTCCATGCCCTTCCCCCAAAGCCTTGCCTTGTCCTGGTGCCTAAAGCTCCATCTTTAGAACACTAGGGAAAGTGTCCCCAACACCCCCCCCTCTACCCACCATCCGGGTCCCTGGCCTGTTAGGAAGTGGCCGCCCAGGAAGAGGCGAGCCCACTCCTGCCTGGCTCTGCCTCCCTTCAGATCAGATCAGATTCTCCTAGGGACCCCTATTGTCACTGCGCCAGCGAGGGGCCTGGGTGGGTGTGCACTCCTTAAGTGGCTGACATCTGAGATGGGACAGCTTAATCCTGAAACCTTCCCCACTCCCATCAGTCCATGGAAGAACTGTCTTCCACAAAACTGGTCCCTGGTGCCAAAAAGGTTGGGGACTGCTGCCCTAGGGGACCTTTTTCTCAAACTGCTTCACACAACACTCCAAGAACATGATGGGAACTGGGAGGAAAGCGGGTTCCATGAGTAGGTAAGTTTGGGAAATGCTGCAGCCTGCACTTTCCTGGAGCTTCATCACGTATTAAAGGCTCTGATAAGGCCCCAGAGAAAGAAGCTAATTTCCTTGTTTAAGGTGGAGTTCCGCAAGCTACAGGCCAAATGCAGCCCCTACGGGTGGAGCAAGGAACGGTTTTTACACTTTGTAATCGTTGGGGAAAAAAAGAACAATCTTTTGTGGCACTTGAAAAATATATGACATTCACACCTCAGCGACAGTAAATACAGCTTCACTGGCACACAGCCTGCCCGCTTGGTTGAGTATCCTCGGTGGCCACTGTCCCATTGCATCGGCAGCCCACCAGCTTCCAGGGTGACTGTGGGGCCTGCAGGCCAAGCCTCTGGGCAAAAGCTTCCTTCCAGCCCCTTCACAGCCACTCCTGGGCTGCGTCCTCATCCTGTCACCTGCACACCTGCCAGCTCAGTCACTCCTGAGTGAGGGTCACTGGTGAGCTGGGTCGGGGTGTCGGCTCCAGATGTGGGGTCCAGGCCTGGGGCCCCCGCGTGTGCGGGTGGGGAGGATGGCTCAATGGGCTTGGCCTGGCCCATTCCTGCCCCATGCGGGGTCAGGGACCCTGGGCCTCATTTCCACCCCAGGGCCGCTTGGTTCCTTCCTTCAGGTTTTCCAAAGCTGCCTTAACCCAAAAGCTGCCACACACTGGGGAGGGCACCCACAGCAAGATGGCGACGCTCCCACCCGGGAAACAGGAGGAGGGCAGGGAGAGGGAGGCGGTTGCCCCTTGTGGCCCGGCCCCCAGAACCCACGCATAACCTTGGCAACCAGGCAGCCCGAGTGAGGGGGGCACTGGGAGCTGATGGGGGACCTGTGGGCAGAGGAGTCAGGCTGGGCTGGGGGTTCCAGGGCATGGATTTCCCCCTACTCCCCTCCCCTGCCGGCCTCCTTACTTTCATGATCTCCTTTGGAAGCACTTGGGCTCTGAAAGGAGGCAATACTCCATTCATTCATCTATTCAATAATTCATTCATTGATCATCCATTGGCCGGTGGGAACAGCGCAGGGGCAGGGGACAGTGGCCCCAGGGTCCCAGCCTGCAGAGGCCGAATTCACCCAGAGCCGCCCAAGCACCCCCATCCCCTGCCCGCGTCGGCTATGTTGCCCTCCACACCCCTGGCTCCCAGCTTCATCCATCTGCCTAGATGAGGCCCGAGTAACAGGCCGTGCACATCAGTGCCTTACTTTGTAATTCTGTGGTTGGGAGCGTCCCTCCCTGCGATTTTCCTTTTCCTTGCCCTTCCTCCCATTTCTACCTTTTGCCTGCTTTCTTGTTGGGGGAGTCTCCTGTCTTTCACCCATCCCCCTGCCTTGGCTGGAGGCTTTGCAAGTCTGCTCACTGTGGACTTGCCTGCAGTGTCCTGTGCTGAACAGAAACCTTCATTTTAATCGACCTAATGCAAAACGCCTTACCTTAGAACTGTGTTTTTTCTGTTTCGTTTGAGAATCGCGTCTGCTCCTCAGTCACAATGGTAATGGACTGTGTACCTATGGGGCACGTGCACCAGCGAGGGCTCCTGCTGTGTTTCTCTCCTTAGAGTGAACCCAGCTTCCAGCATCCTCCGCCTTGCCCTTTTGTTCTAGCACTGCTGGAATCCGTCGTGTGCCTGGGTGTTGTGGGTCTCTCTGAGCCTTGTCTTCAAGTCCACAGGCCGCTTTGCCGACCCTACACTATCCACACAGTGGCTCTGCAGGATGGCTTAATATCCATCCCCTTCACTCCTGCTCCAAGGTTCTTTGTGGATCTCATTGTTGCAGATAAATTGTAGAATAGGTTTGCCAGGTAACAACTACCACCACCACCACCAAAAAAACCCTGGATTTTTTTTTTTTTTTTTTTTGAGATGGAGTCTTGCTCTGCCACCCAGGCTGGAGTGCAGTGGTGTGATCTCGGCTCAGTGCAACCTCTGCCTCCCGGGCTCAAGCGATTCTCCTGCCTGAGCCTCCCAAGTAGCTGAGACTACAGGAATTTTGATTGGGATAAATAACAGCCTTATGCTGTCAAGCCATCCATTCAAGAGCATGGACGGACTCTCTCTAAATATTTCAGGTCATCCATGGCCTCTTTAGCATCTTAAAGTTTTCCCTGTAGAGGTCTTATATTGTATTGGTTAATTCATCAATACTTTGTTAAGTTTGTTTTTTTGAGACAGGGTCTCACTCTGTTGCCCAGGCTGGAGTGCAATGGCGTGATCACGGCTCACTGCAGCCTTGACCTCCCTGGGCGCAAACAATCCTCCCACCTCAGCCTCCCGAGTAGCTGGGACTACAGGCTTGTGCCACCACGCCCGGCTAATTTTTGTAGTTTTTGTAGAGATGGGGGTCTCACTATGTTGGCCAGGCTGGTCTTGAACTCCTGGGCTCGAGTGATATGCCCGCTTCGGCCTTCCAAAGTGTTGGGATTACAGGCATGAGCCACCGCTCCTGGCCTTAAGTTTGGTTTCTATTATAAATGTTGCCCTATATTTAAAAATTATATCCTCTTTTTATTTTTAAATTTTTTGTAGAGATGGAGTCTCACTATGTTTCTCACCAGGCTGATCTCAAACTCCTGGCCTTACCTACTGTGCTCGTCTGTTCAACTATTATGTTACGTTTCTATTTTTCCCCTTCGTTCTTTAAAAAACGGTGTTCTTGGTATGCTTCCTCCTGGGAACCCCTCCCTGTTCCTGAGGCGCTTTGAGCTATGACACATTCCGTCCCCACGGCTCCACCTCTGCACCTGTGGGGGGACTTGCCCTGCTGGCAGTGCCACACCCTCAGGTGTGCACGGAACTGAAGTGTGACCTCACGTCGCTGGGGGTGTTGGCCTCTTGCTCAGGTGCAGTGCTCCTGGAAGGGCCGAAGAGTGGGTCCTGCCTCGGGTGGGCGCGCCCTGCTGTGCTGAGCCCCTCACAACCTGGCAGCAAGGGTTGCCCTGGCCCAGCGCTCACCCTCAGCCCCTGAGGGAGAAGTGCAGAAGCAAGAAGGCAGGAGGCTGAGGTCCTGGCACTTGGAGGAGAGGGGGAGTGAGGGGCGGCCAGTCAGACCCCCCGTATTTCTGCTGACACCCGAGACTTGGGCTGTGGCCCCACTTCTGTGGTGCGGGAGCTGCACGGCCCAGCCCAAGCCTATAGGAAACAGCAGGGGCAACTCCACCTCCCCGCTACACTCCCTGCCTCCTCCTGCACCCCTGGCCGCCAGATGCAGCCTCTCCCTCCCTCCCTCACACACCAAGAGCGCGGCCTCAGACTCCCCAGGAGCCGGGCAACTTTCGAAACTTTAGTTCCTGGAACCTGGGAGCCCTGGGCCTGTGCACGTTCTCAAGGGGCTACGGGGGGAGGCGACAGGCCCTGGCCAGAGTCACCTCCGCCCCAGACTCCCCACGGCTCCGTCTCGCTCCCCGGCTCCGGCTCTGCCCCTGGCCTGTGAGACCTCCAGCTCAGGGACAGGACACTGGGCTGTGCCCGCTTCGGGGCCTTGCCCACGCGGCCCCATCTTTCCCAGGCCAGATCCGCTTCCTCTGCCAGCCTCAGCCAGGCCGAGGACCCCGGGCCTGAGCTCGCCCGGGCTCCTTCCGTGCACAGGGTCTCGGCTTCTCGTCCCAGGGGACTGGGGGCGGGGTGGGCGCGGAGCAGGCCCGGACCCCCGCGTGGCGCCGCCTCAGCCCGTGTCTCTTGCAGCTCCTGCCGCTGGATGGGGAACTCGTCCTGGCTTCAGGAGCCGGATTCGGCGTCTCAGACGTGGGCTCGCACCTGGACTGTGGCGCGGGTGAGGCGGTCGGGCAGGGGCGGGGCTCTGGAAAGGCATGTTCAGGGGCGGGGACTGGAGGGAAGGCGCGTCGAGGGGGGCGAGGACCGGAGGGAGGGCGCCTCCGGGGGCGTGGTTTAGGGAGTGGCGGAAGTGTCCCGAAGCGGGGCTTGGGAGGTCGTGCTCAGACGCGTGGCGTGGCGTGGCGTGGCGTGGTGTGGCGCGGCGCTTGTTCCGTGGAGCTCAGGGATGTGCTCCGGCTCAGGCGAACCTGCCGTCTTCCGCGACTCTGACCGCTTCTCCTGGCATGACCCGCACCTGTGGCGCTCTGGGGACGAGGCACCTGGCCTCTTCTTCGTGGACGCCGAGCGCGTGCCCTGCCGCCACGACGACGTCTTCTTTCCGCCTAGTGCCTCCTTCCGCGTGGGGCTCGGCCCTGGCGCTAGCCCCGTGCGTGTCCGCAGCATCTCGGCTCTGGGCCGGGTGAGCACTGAGGGGAGGGAGGCTCGGGTCCCCTCTCCCCACCTCGGCCCGACCCCGCCCCTCCTGGTCTGCACACGTTGGGTCTGAGCACTCAGGTGAAGTCTCTTCCTCGGGCTGGCTCCGGTGGGGACCCGGCTGCCCGCAGACGTTCACGCGCGACGAGGACCTGGCTGTTTTCCTGGCGTCCCGCGCGGGCCGCCTACGCTTCCACGGGCCGGGCGCGCTGAGCGTGGGCCCCGAGGACTGCGCGGACCCGTCGGGCTGCGTCTGCGGCAACGCGGAGGTGAGCGAGGCCGCAGTGGAGTCGCGGGGGCCGCGCGAGGGTCGGGACTGTGCCCGGGACAGGGCCGCTGCGCTCCCACGGTCTCTCGCCGGCTTGCTTCTCGGAGGCATCGCCCTTCTCGCTGCGGTCCGCTCTGGCCCTCCGCGCTGACCACCGCCCCTCGCACCAGGCGCAGCCGTGGATCTGCGCGGCCCTGCTCCAGCCCCTGGGCGGCCGCTGCCCCCAGGCCGCCTGCCACAGCGCCCTCCGGCCCCAGGGGCAGTGCTGTGACCTCTGTGGTAAGCGCCCCCGCCGGGCCCTGCTTGCTGGGAAGGCCTGGAGGACCAGGTTCGTCCCCCGCCTCAGTTTCCTGCCGGGCCCGGATCCACGGCGCTGACCCCTGCCCTCCCGCCGCAGGAGCCGTTGTGTTGCTGACCCACGGCCCCGCATTTGACCTGGAGCGGTACCGGGCGCGGATACTGGACACCTTCCTGGGTCTGGTAATGGGGCCGCGCGGGCAGCTGAGGGGAGTCCCGACCCCAGCCCTACCGCCTCCGCCTAGGACGCCCCTTCTGCAGGGTCCCTGCGGCTGCTCACTTGCCCACTATCTGCCTCTGCCCTTAGCGTCCCCATAGGCTCGGGGAGGGCGGGGGGCTGAGTCAAACCAACCCCGTCCCCCTCCCCAGCCTCAGTACCACGGGCTGCAGGTGGCCGTGTCCAAGGTGCCACGCTCGTCCCGGCTCCGTGAGGCCGATACGGAGATCCAGGTGGTGCTGGTGGAGAATGGGCCCGAGACAGGCGGAGCGGGGCGGCTGGCCCGGGCCCTCCTGGCGGACGTCGCCGAGAACGGTAACCGCGCCCGCCCCATCCCGCCCCGCCGCGCCTCGCCCCGCCGCGGGGAAGACTGAGCCGGCCCCTCCGTCGCAGGCGAGGCCCTCGGCGTCCTGGAGGCGACCATGCGGGAGTCGGGCGCACACGTCTGGGGCAGCTCCGCGGCTGGGCTGGCGGGCGGCGTGGCGGCTGCCGTGCTGCTGGCGCTGCTGGTCCTGCTGGTGGCGCCGCCGCTGCTGCGCCGCGCGGGGAGGCTCAGGTACGCGGGGCGGGGGCGCGGAGGTGGGGCTGGGGGTTGCTCCGAGGGGCTCACGCTGCGTCCCCGCTACGCCCTCAGGTGGAGGAGGCACGAGGCGGCGGCCCCGGCTGGAGCGCCCCTCGGCTTCCGCAACCCGGTGTTCGACGTGACGGCCTCCGAGGAGCTGGTGAGGGGGCTGGAGGGGGGACCGGGGCCTCCTCGGGGCCGGGACTCGGCGCCGACCGCCGCCTGACCCTGTCACCCCGCAGCCCCTGCCGCGGCGGCTCAGCCTGGTTCCGAAGGCGGCCGCAGACAGCACCAGCCACAGTTACTTCGTCAACCCTCTGTTCGCCGGGGCCGAGGCCGAGGCCTGAGCGGCCGCCTGACCGTCGACCTTGGGGCTCTCCACCCGCTCTGGCCCCAGTCGAACTGGGGGCTAGCCACCTCCTCGTCCAGCCCCCAAACCTCCCCTTCCTTTCCCCCTCCTCCGGGGGCCAAGGACAGGGTGGCCTTACTCAGTAAAGGTGTTTCCTGCACCTGCTGTCAGCCTGGCTATGCCGCCACCGGCCCCGCCCATGAGGACTAGGAGCCCAGCCTTGCGCCGCATTCGCACTGGGGGACATGGGAGGGGTCTAGCTGGCCACTGCTGGAGGCAGCGCTGGTCGTCACCTGGGCGGCCAGAGGCTGGGATCTGCGAAGTTGAACCCAGAACTAGGAGTGGGGCTTCCCCCGCCTTCCGGTGAGGGGAGGGTGAGGAGCTGGAGGGAGGGGCGGGAGAGAGGCAAGGGGTGGACGGAGCCAAAGGCCGTGCCTGGTGGGGCGGACGGAAAAGGGGTGGGCATCCCTCCTGGTACCAAGCTGCTGGGTGCGAAGGCAGATCATATGGGGTCACCCATGTGCAAGCGTGCGCCACTGCACCGACACAGACAAGGGTCCAGCCCTGTGTGTGCAGCTGCAACTGTGGCAGTGACCACTTCTGTGAAACCAGCATCTGGGGCTGGAGATGTCACCGGCATCCCCAGTCATGGCCTGGCCCCCATTTGGAATCTTCTGCCCAGGGGCCCAGCTTAGCCACCAGGACACGTGCTGTAACCCAGATCAGGGCCCCGTGCTTCGAGGTGCGGCTGTGTTGTGGTTGGAATGAGTCACTCTCAGTGCTGTGCAGTGTCCCGTTGAGTGACCGCCACAGTTCACGTGTGTGCTCCAACAGCTACCATCTCGCATTTTTAAAAGAAGTGGCCGATACTCCCACACGCACTTTTTAGCCACAATTTTCTTTAGTGTCAGGTGCAAACTGGAGAGCAAGCCTGAGCTGACCAGACACCACCTGCCACCCACTGCTCACCCGTCACAGATGGACTGTGCTGGCAGGGACCTGCCTCTGGTGTGGACTGTGGAAGGAGAGATGCTCTGGGCTTCCAGGGGAGCCGCCTGCTGCAGCAGCAGCCCAGGCCATGCTGCCTGGCACAGAGCTCAAGGTCCCAAGTGCCCCCGCTGGGTGCTGGGCTGCCTGCCCTGGCTTGCAGTCTTCTCCCAGGTCCGCACTCTTCTGCAGGGGCCATCACTGCCCTTGTCCTACCAAGGACAACTAGGTCTCAGTGAGTGGCAAATAGAAGCCAACTCCCTGCATAACTCAGGAAACTGACTCCGAGCATTCCCTCAACCAGGGACCACTCACCCTGGCCCAGACCTCCCCGAGAACTCCTGCCTCTTCCTGGGGCCTCTGGCCTACCCCATCCTGTCCCTTGGGGCTGCTGGCAGGGTTGGCGTGTATGGGTGTGGACAGGCAGACCCTCGCGGGCAGCCTGCTCCTGGGGCCCTGGCACTGCCTGGCTGGGGCTCACAGGCACGCTGCCCTCCTCCCTTCACTCCTGCCCCAAGGATGCCCTCTGTTCAGGCTGAACACCCCAACAGCAGCCTTTTGGGTGACCTCCGAGTGAGTTACCCAGAATAGCTTCTGCTGGCGAATAGCATCTTCTGCAAGGTGGCTCCTTCACTGCCTTTTGGAGCTCAGGCACTTCTGGGGCCCAGACACACGGGTGACATGTTACCACATCCAAACGGACCACTGGGAACTTTAAAACTGCCGTCTTCTGCTTTATTGACAGGTAAATTGTTCAAAAATGTTCTCACAATTCAATAATTAATTACAAAGACTGAGACTTACATTAAAAAAGTAAAAACCAGAACCCCCCAGGTGCCCATCCAGCAGAAGGCCCAGGAGGGCAGTGGGGTGGCAGGGCTAGGCGGTGCTGGGCCACTCAGTGCCGACTTGGGGAAGTGCACGTCCTGAACAGCCTTGCCAAGCAGCCGACCGGTGGGAGGACAGGGGAAGCCTGGCCCAAGCTGTGGACAAGCTGTGTCTGCCGCCACAGTTAATCACAAGCCTCTGACGACACAGGGCCACAGAGCTGGTCACTCAACATCTGGTACAAAGGGTGAGGTGAAATCCACGCGCAGGGGATTGCTGTGCCGTGGGCCGGGGCCAGTGTGCAGGAGTGTGTTGGGTGGGTCTACGTGATCATACGGGCTACTAATCACGGGGGCTCCATGCGGGGGCAGGACTGGTGGGGGGGGGGGCGGGCAGGGCGGGGCGGGGTGGGGTATCCCAGTGGCTGCTTCGTGGCGCCCTGGGGCTCTGACTTCCCTCAGCCCAGCAGGCCACAGGGCCTGCCTGCACCACGACACTCGCTGGTTTTATGGCAGGAGGCAGAAGCCGTGGAAGCGAATGGAAAACAGCACAGCTGACTTCACAGTAGTAGATACTGGTGACACTTCATGGCTGCGACCCAGAATGAACTTAATGCACACAGGGACGCAGGGTGTCACTGGTCCTGGGCCTTTGTCCATGACTAGGTGGTCAGCAGGACTTCTGCAGCTGACTGTGCAATGGCTAAATGAAAAAAAGGCCACAGACTAACCTCCACTTTCCTGTCTTCAAAATTCTAGTGACACTGGGAATGCTATAGGACCTCCTACTATTCTCTTAAGGTCCTAGGAAAGTTTCAGGAACTAGGGAAAAGACTGGGTACTGAGGCTGTGTCCCCAGATGTCTGCTTCCGAAGCAGCCGCGTCATGACGGGTTTCTGCTGAGGAAGTGGTGTTGGCAGGGCCCCATATGCCCTCTCGGGTTGTCAGGGGTGGGAGACAGGCTGTATGGGGGTCCTTCATGTGCAGATGGAACAGCATCGCCTCACAGCTGTGCAGACGAACAGATGTGGTCTACTGCCACGAACAATGCGGCATAAAACTGATCAATATTATAATAAAGATTTGTCTTCTTCATCTCCATATCTACAAAGTGATTCTACATTTCCTTGGACAACACTGGAGGGCCCGCTCAGTCTTGGCACTGACGCTGGAGGCCATCTCCAGCTCCCTGGCCCCTGTGGCGAGCTGGCGGCTTCAGGTGTCACAGGCCGGCTGCTCCAGGCCTTCGAGGGGGAGCTGGCTCCTGTGGGGGGAGTTGGGGCTCGGTGGGCCGCTGGGGTTGGAGCTATTCGATGGAGTTGAGTGTTTGGTGGAGTCCGAATCAGGCTGTGAACAGGAAGAGGGCAGGGTGAGCACCCGCTGCCCTAGCCTGGGGAGGCACGCGTGCCCAGCTGGATGCAAATGTTTGCTCAGGGACAACTGTCGCAACTGCTCTTCTCCCTTCATGTTATGAAAACACACACGCTCTACACCAGCGATTCGTGGGGCCCTTAGGCGTGCTGGTGAGAGTCACAAATTGATGTCTAATCCCACTCAAAAATAACATGGTAATTATCATTACAAAAGACAGCAACTCTGTAGTGAAGAAATCAGATGGGGCCGGACGCAGTGGCTCCTGCCTGTAATCCCAGCACTTTGGGAGGCCAAGGTGGGTGGATCACACTTGAGGTCAGGAGTTTGAGACCAGCCTGGCCAATGTGGTAACACCCCATCTCTACTGAAAACACAAAAATCAGGCCGGGCGTGGTGGCTTACGCCTGTAATCCCAGCACTTTGGGAGGCCAAGGCAGGCGGATCACAAAGTCAGGAGATTGGGACCATCCTGGCTAACATGGTGAAACCCCGTCTCTACTAAAAATACAAAAAATTAGCCGGGCGTGGCAGCATGCACCTGTAGTCCCAACTGCTGGGGAGGCTGAGGCAGGAGAATGGCGTGAACCCGGGAGGCGGAGCTTGCAGTGAGCCGAGACTGCACCACTGCACTCCAGCCTGGGCGACAGAGCGAGACTCCGTCACAAAACAAAACAAAACAAAAAAAACAAAAATCAGCCGGGCACAGTGGTGCGCACCTGCAACCAAGCAGTCAAAGTCACAAACGCGACACTCTTTCCTGAGAAAAGCACTAGGAATAGAGGGGAACCTCCTCAACAAAATAAAACAGCTAACCATACCCAATGGTGAGAGACAAAATTTTCCCCTAAGATCAGCCACGGGCCGGGTGCGGTGGCTCACACCTGTAATCCCAGCACTTTGGGAGGCCAAGGTGGGCAGATCATGAGGTCAGGAGATTGAGACCATCCTAACACAGTGAAACCCTGTCTCTGCTAAAAATACAAAAAAAAATTAGCCTGGCATGGTGGTGGGCACCTGTAGTCCCAGCTACTCGGGAGGCTGAGGCAGGAGAATGGCGTGAACCCAGGAGGCGGAGCTTGCAGTGAGCCGAGATCGCATCACTGCATTCCAGCCTGGGCTACATGTAGAGTGAGACTCTGTCTCAAAAAAAAAAAAAAAAGAAAAAAAGAAAAAAGATCAGCAACAAGGCAAGGATGCCTGCTTTCACCACTGCTATTCAACATGGGGCTAGAGGTTCTAGGCAGAGCGATCAGGGAAGAAACAGAAATGAAAAGGATTCCAAGTTAGGAAGGAAGTAAAGCTATCTCTCTTTGCAGATGACATGATTATACACGTAGAAAATCCCAAAGAAAAGAATCCACAAAAAACTAATAAGCTCAGCAAAGTTATAGGGTATAAGATCAACACACACAAGTCAGTTGTGTTTCTATACACCAGAAATGAACACACTGAAAAGGAAACTGAAAAAAAAAATTCAATTTACAACAGCATCCAAAAGAATAGCTAGGAATAGTTTAACCAGAGAAGGGAAAAATGTGTACACTATAAATTACAAAACATTGCTGAAAAAATAGCTTAAATAAATGGAACACATCTCATGTTCGTGGAGTAAAAATATTGTTAAGATGGCTGTACTAGGCCGGGTATAGTGCCTCACGCCTGTAATCCCAGCACTTTGGGAGGCCAAGGCGGGCAGATCACTTGAGGTCAGGAGTTTGAGACCAGTCTGGCCAACATGGTGAAACCCCGCCTCTACTAAAAATACAAAAATCAGCCAGGTATGGTGGCGGGCACCTGTAGTCCCAGCTACTTGGGAGTCTGAGGCATGAGAATCACTTGATCCCAGGAAACAAAGGTTGCAGTGAGCCAAGATCGTGCCACTGCACTCTGTCTCAAAAAAAAAAAAAAAAAAAAGACATTAATTATGAGGAATGTAAATAACGACAACCCATAGAACAAGAGAAGACATCTGCACATCACATCTCTCACAAGAGCCTGGTACTCAGAACATGCCAGGAGCTCCTACAACCCAGCCACAAAAGGACAAACCACCCATTTCAAAAATGGGTAAAGGCCTTGAGTAGACATTTCTCTAAAGAAGGTACGGAAATGGCCAACAAGCATATGAAAAGATGCTAAACATAAGTCTTTAGAGAATGCAAATCAAAACCACAATCAGGTACTACTTCATAGCCACCAGGACGACTATTAAAAAGAAGAAAAACAAGAACAAGTATTGGTGAGGATGTCGAGATATGAGAACCCTCACATTGCTGGTGGAATATAGAATGGTACAACTGCTGCAGAAAACAATTTGGTGGTTCCTCAAAAAGTTAAACATAGAATTACCACATAAATCCAGCAATCCCACTCACAGGCATAAACCCGAATGTGAAAACAGGCACTCAAACACATATGTGCACACACGTGTTCACAGCAGCACCACTCACAACAGCTGAAGGACAGAAACAGCCCAAATGTGCCTCAGGGGAAGAATGGGAAAACAAACCGTGGTCTAGCCATACAAGAGAATATTATTTAGCAATAGAAACGCCAGCACTGATGCATGCTACACAACGGGGGTGAGCCACAAAACAGTATGCCAGGTGAGAGCTAGGCACAAAAGGTCAAACACACTGCCATACGAGAGGCTGGGCATTCCATTTCCACGAAATGTCCAGACAGGGAAATCACAGGAAACTACTGGCTGCCCAGGTGCTGAGGGGAGGGAGGGACGGGGAGAGAGTGCTTAAAGGGCAGGGGGTTTATTTTGAAATGATGAAAATGTCTTTTTTATTATGTTTTAGAGACAAGATCTCACTACACTGCCCAGGCTGGCCTTGAACTCCTCAGGCCATCCTTCCACCTCAGCTTCACTAGTAGCTGGTACTACACACGTGAACCGTGGTGCCCAGCTAGAGTGGAAATGTTTCTGAATGAGAAAGAGGTGGTGACTGCATCTCTGTGGATGTACCAAATGTCACTGAGTAGTTTAAAGTAACTTTAAAGTAGTTATTTTGGGCCCGGTGTGCTGGCTCACGCCTGTAATCTGAGCACTTTGGGAGGCCAAGGTAGGAGGACAGCTTGAGCCCAGGAGTTGGGAGACCAGCCTGGGCAACAAAGTGAGACCCTGCCTCTATATTATTATGAAAATAAAAAAAACAAAAAAATTGTTGTTTTGTGAATTTCACTTAAATTTAAAAGAACAAACAAGGTCATGCAGACGAGACAGGCACTGGCTGCCTCAGGACACAGTACCCTAAGAGGGACACCATGTCCTCTGTATAATGTGACAGCCTAAGACACACTTCAAATCCCATGACCAGGAAACAGCGGACAAACTCAAACTCAGGAGCGTTCTGTAAAGTAACAGCAGTGCTTGCTACAAAAATGTGACTGTCCCACCAGACAAAGACAGGCTGGGGGCCTGCTGCAGAATAAAGGGTGGAACAGTAGGATGGACAAAGGATGGAGAAGACAAAGGACTTCCAGAGGAAGAGACGCTGACCTTGGCAGAACCAGCAACATGTGCAAGGCATCTGCCCGTCCGTTCGGCAGCTGATGTTAAAACATCTCAGTGCTGGGGCTGAGATGTGTGGTGGAGAGATGAGCATGGCCCCTCCGCCTGCATCCCTCCCTCCCTCCCTCCAAGGATGGCGCCGGGGGCTAAGCCCTCAGCTCACTCCTCAGCCCTCAGCACTGCAGCTCCTCGCCTCCCTCGACTGCATTCTCATCCCCATTCCGCACAGGGGAAACTGAGGCCAGAGCAGTGTGGCTGAGCTGCGCACAACAGTGGCGCTTGTCCTGGAGGTGGTCCCCACACTCTGACACCAAGCGCCATCCCAAGGGAGGGGCAGACAGACCAACCAATGTGGAAGGTCAGCCCAGACCAAAGAGACTGCTGATGTATCACATTGAAGTACATAAAACAACACAGGGAGTCCAGAGGAAAGAGGCAGGTTGGCGGGAAAGCTTCCATTCCTCCTGGGGCAGTGTGACAGCCCTGTCCCTAGTCAGCGTTCCCAAAGGAGCTTGGGGTCTGACCAAGAGATTGCTGCACGAGCCTCCTGGGGGAGGGGACAGCCACCCCGACCCCTGCCCCCGTCACCCTCACACCGCAAGTGGGGTGCTCCAAAAGGGCTGTGACACCACCCAGGGCCCCAGATCTTCGGGCTGCTTTTCCTCCTGCAGTGGTGGCTCATAGCCTCAGCACTGGACCTGGGCAAGTCTCACCTCTTTGTCAAAGTCCTGGTCTGGATCAGACATACTTCTCAGAGGCACAGTCACGCTAGGCTCCGATCCACCTACAGAACAAGGACAGCTTTCCTCTTAGGGAGAAAGTCAAGAACGGAATCAAATGCCTGGGGTCTCCCCATTCCAGCACCCCCTACCCCCCACCTCCCCCAGGGCTGCGGGGGCCAGGCTTCCCCTGTACCTGATGAGGGCCACGAGATGTAGGGCTTGTTCCTGGATGGAGGCTGGCGAGCCAGGTTGGTGGGAGCGGGGCCCGGCCTTTCCTCCTGGGAGGGGGGCACAGCACTCTGGGCAGAAATAGCAACACGTGAGCATGCTTGGTTGACACCCGGCAGGGCCGGCTGCGAAGTTTGTGCAACCTACGGTGGCTGTGGCCTCGTGACCTTGATGAGCAAAATGGGGGCCAAGAGGGCTCTCTGGATTGGACAAGGGTTCTGGACAGTCTGGAACTAAGAACTGGCAATAGCAACTTCAGGGCAGGTCAAATCCTATAAAAAGCGTACTTTTTTTGTTTGTTTGTTTGAGACTGAGTCTTGCTCTGTCCCCCAGGCTGGAGTGCAATGACGTGATCTCGGCTCACTGCAACCTCTGCCTCCTGGGTTCAAGCAATTCTCCTGCCTCAGCCTCCTGAGTAGGTGGGATTACAGATGCCCACCATCACACCCAGCTTATTTTTGTAGTTTAGTAGAGACAGGGTTTCTCCATGTTGGCCAGGCTGGTCTCAAACTCCTGACCTCAGGTGATCCACTCACTGTGGCCTCCCAAAGTGCTGGAATTAAGAGGCATGAGCCACCACACCCAGCCTAAAATACATAATTTTTTTTTTTTTTGAGACGGAGTCTTGCTCTGTCACCCAGGCTGGAGTGCAGTGGTGCAATCTCGGCTCACTGCAAGCTCCGCCTCCCGGGTTCATGCCATTCTCCTGCCTCAGCCTCCCCAGTAGCTGGGACTACAGGCACCTGCCGCCACACCCAGCTAATTTCTTTTTGTATTTTTAGTAGAGACAGGGTTTCACCGTGTTAGCCAGGATGGTCTCGATCTCCTGACCTCGTGATCCGCCCGCCTCGGCCTCCCAAAGTGCTGGGATTACAGGCATGAGCCACCACGCCCAGCCAAAAACATACTTCTTAAGTAAAAAAGAGAAAGTATGCTATCTGTTGGTACGAAGGTGTTACTGAGAAATCACCACCTCATGGCAAACGTCCTTAGGAAGCCCTCACAGGCCGAAACGTGGTGGACTCTCACAAGTACCTGCAGCATCACTGCCCAGGGCGGCCCGAGGCCTGTGCACAAGGCCTTGTGACAGGGTAAGTGCTCGTGAACAGAGCTTCAGCGGAGACGGGCTTGTGTGACAGGAGCGCCAGGTCAGAGCACAGCGCCAGCCTCGCAGGCACTGCCTTTGGGACAGTCTCAGCCAGCATGGCTGCCTGAGCGGGGAGGAGGAGATGGGGTGCCCTGCCCGCCCTATCCCGGCCGTGCACGCACCAGAGGCAGGTCCATGAGCACCTGCATGCCGTCGCCTGGGCCCATGTGGGCCACGTGGTTGAAGTTGGTTGGGTTGGATATCATTTTGGATCTCAATTCTGGGTCTCTAAGCATCTCTCTGGGGAAAGGACACACTTTTGAGATTCATGGATACGTGAGAATCCTCTTGGCCCCCTCCCTAGAGCGAGGCCCAGCAGGCCCCGTGAGGCCCCGCTCCTACCGCCTCTGCTGCAGTCTCTCTTCCTCTGGGACCTTGAAGACGAACCGCCTTTTGCTCCTGGTGCGCAGCATCTGCTTCTTGCTGTTGTCGGAGGTGTCCGGCACGTTGAGAACCGCTCCTGCAGAAGCAGAGCGCGCGGTGACGGTGCTGCGGCACCAGGGACACACGCCCCTCCAACTTCCCTTCCCTCCACTCCCGGTGCAGAGGAAGGCTCACCCGAGAACTTGCTCTTGAAGTAGATCAAGCGTGGAGGCTCGCAGTTGAGGAGGTTGAGGGTGCCTTCAGAGTTCAGGGGCCTTATCTGGATTGGAAACCAGGGAGGGACAGTAAGCGCGGCCACGCACAGACTGCACCGGGAGAAGCCCGCCCGCACAGGAGGGCACCGAGGCCGCCTTACCCTCCGCAGGCCGATGGTCTGCACCCACTCCATGGTGCGCACATCAAAGACGTCCACGCCATACTCGCTGTACACCGTGACGTGGGTGGGGCTGCAACCTAGCGCAGACGGAGCAGGGCGGGGTGAGCCACAGTGGCTCAGGAACTCACCTGCCCTCGGGCCGGAGGCCAAGCCTTGGCACTTGAACAAGTGCAGAGGCGGCAGCACTGCCCTCAGCTGGTTCACGTCACCAAAGACTTCATGTTCCCACTCTGGAATTCATCTTCATTTCAAAGTTTAAACAAACACAATCCAATGTTTAAATGCTCCACAATCACTTCCGTAACTAATATTTTGAATACTACAGTACAGATGTTGAAGGTGACTTTTAAAAAGTCTGGTTTTTCATTTAGCTCTCATGAGATGTGATTATCCTGAAAGCTACTAATTCAGGCTCAACACTTTGGAAATTCAGGTAGGGGCCGACTGTTCAGTATGGTGAGGCTAATTCTTCCGTAGGAGATGGCAAGTCCGGTTTCCAGGTAGGTATTAAAAACCACACAGAAACCACTGCTGACCTCTGGGCAACAACCCTGCCTGTCTGCCCTCCACACTAATGACCCTAGACCCCTAGGAACCCGTGCTATGGGGGCGTGGGAAGCCCCTCTGCAGCCCGGTCTGAGGGCATATGCAAGCGAGGCTAAGGGCGTCCTGCAGGGAGCTCTGGGGTCCGCGCTGTGCTCCTCACCTGCTCATCTGTTGGCTTACAGAAGCAACTCCACCCAAGGTGCCACGGATGTGAAACCAAGGACTGCAAAGCCTTTGGCCATTTGGAGTTTAAGGGGCTTTCTCCACGTTTAGAAGAGCAGTGACACAGCTGTGCCACACGACAAGGGAGCGGTGTGCGTCTTCCGCTCAGTCCCTCTGTGTGGGTGGCACGCTCACTGCCCCCACAGCCCCTCAGCGTAGCTTGGCTCCTGGCCATCAGCTTGCAGAAACGCAGAGCTGGGAGGCGGCAAGCCCCAAATGCAAGAGAGCTCCAGCTCAGTGCTCCTTCCTGGCTCTTCTGCCTCCGGAGTTCAAGGTTAATCCTGCATCAGGACACACCTCACTGTCTGAAGATGCATTTTAAAAGCCTTCTGCTCTGTTTCTATCACAGACTCCAAACAGGCTACAAGATCAGGACTTTTCTTCTGAATACAAAAAGGGAAATCAAACAGGGTTTGCAAGAAAGACAAAAGATACTGGCCTGGTCACCAAACTGTCTCAGAAGGAGCATTTCAGATGCACCTGTGAGGCCTCTGAGAACCAAGTCAAAAGCAGCCCCAGACACTGCCCTTCAGGGAACCACTCTCCACACGGGCTTCTGGGAAGGCCCTTGCCTGCCGAGTATGTGGGGATTCGCTTGCAAGGAAGCAGGAAGAAGTCTAGTTTGCTGACTCAGTGATAAACAGATGCCCAGTGAAAAGATTCTAGTGAAACAGATTCTAGTGAAAAGAACATGGGCTCTGGAGCCTGACAGATGTGACATGTGACTGATACAGAGCACGCGGCCCCTGTGGCCTTCAGCTGCCTCCTCTCCAACAGGGCTGATAACACCTGCCCTAAGGGATGGGGAGGGGCAGGGGAGGCCACCCACACAGGGCACTAGCAAAGGGTGCAGAATGAGCAGTTCTGCATCCTACAGGTGATGGAATTACTTTTGACCAGCTCTGAAACTCATCTGCATCTGCACTGTGCCCGCAGGAGAGAAGACCCACCAAGGCGGAGAACCGAGGAACTTCAGGTGTCTACGCCAGACACGTGTGGCCAAGATTATAAATACATTGCACTAAGTGACCTGGGCCCTCTTCAACGTTACGCTTTGCAAAAATGTAAATCCTGTGTGGTTTTAAACCCTGTGCTGGCTGCCTATGAAGAGGACAGGGTGTTGGGGGGTAAGAGTCCAGGACAAGGGGTGCTGAGGCAGCGGGACTGGCCCCTTCCTGCACCTCACCGCAGGCCCACGGCCCAGCCCCACTGCCCACACATGTCTGCTGTGGTGTGGCCATCGGGATGGAGCCGGGACACACTGCAGTAAGCCCGTGGGTGGAGCTGGCCGTGCACCTCACAGGCCTGGTGTCTAGCCACGACGCCCTGGGTATGATGCCGTCTCAGCAAGGCTGACAATGGGGCAGACAAAGGGGTTTAGCTTCAGGTAACTGAGGGAGAATGTCATTCCCCAACTCTTGGCCTGTTACCCCCATATGCGCGGCTCGTCTTCCTCCCGGCCTCCTCTTGATCTGTGGATTTGATGGTGCAGGCCACTCTGATAGATCAGAGGGATTCTGAGGTTTAAGGTTTCCTTTCTGTTTTAAAAGACAGGGTCTCACTCTGTCTCCCAGGCTAGAGTGTAGTGGTGTGATCATGGCTCACTGCAGCCTCCATCTTCTGGGCTCAAGCAATCCTCCTGTCTCAGCCTCCCAAGTAGCTGGGACTACAGGCATGTGGCACCGTGCCTGGCTAGTTTGTTTGTTTGAGACGGAGTCCTGCTCTGTTGCCCAGGCTAGAGTGCAGTGGCGCGATCTTGGATCACTACAACCTCTGCGTCCCGGGTTCAAGCAATCCTCCTGTCTCAGCCTCCTGAGTAGCTGGGACTACAGGCATGTGGCACCGTGCCTGGCTAGTTTGTTTGTTTGTTTAAGACGGAGTCTCGCTCTGTTGTCCAGGCTAGAGTGCAGTGGTGCGATCTCAGCTCACTGCAACCTCTGTGTCCTGGGTTCAAGCGATTCTCCTGCCTCAGCCTCCTGAGTAGCTGGGACTACAGGCGCCCGCCACCACGCCCGGCTAATTTTTTTTTGTATTTTTAGTAGAGATGGGGTTTCACCCTATTAGCCAGGATGGTCTCGATCTCCTAACCTCGTGATCCGCCCTGCCTTGGGCTCCCAAAGTGCTGGGATTACAGGTGTGAGCCATATTTTGTTATTTAGTAGAGATGAGGCTGGTATTGAACTTCTGAGCTCAAGTGAGCCTCCTGCCTCAGTCTCGCACAGTGCTGGGATTACAGGTGTGAGCCACCGCTCTCCACCCGGTTTAAGGTTTTAAAAGCAATCGGACAGCGGGCCAGTCGGGAAGTGTCCACTGGTCCTACCTGTTCCCCAGTGCCACCATTCATAGAGAAAGTCATGCCAACTAGGCGAATTCAGTGACCCAACTGTTTGAAAAACAGCCCCTACCACTTTCAGAAAATACTTGTCCTTAGAGGGACTGTAACTTAAGACACCAGAGGTGAATTATTTTCTGGCCACCAAAACCCCTCAAGCTTGTCTTTACTACTGTGTAAGTTTCTGTATTATCACGAGGAAGGCCTTTTAAATGAGAGATGAATGCCACGCCCCGTTCTCGGTTCGCCGAGCCCTTCTGCCCAGGGGCCTATGCCCGCCGACGGGGTCCTCTGCTGAGGCCTCTGGAAGAACCGGCCCCATGTGCTCAGGGAGAGAGGTTGCTGAGCCCGCCTACTGCTGGTCTGAGACGTGAGATCTGAACCATGCTCTCTGCTGCGGGCTGGCATGGGGCCCACCTCTCCCGATGCTCTGTGACTACTCAACTAAGGGACTGGAAGACAAACCAAAGCAAAATCGAACACATGCTGACTGTCGGTGGGAAAAGCAGCAACAGGGATATGCAACAGAAAACATATACATACTACAGGCGACAGGAGCCGCAGGCCACATGAGCTCCTGCGCGCGTGCCCTCCGGCCTTGCGGGTCCACGTACAGTCCCATGTGGCTGAAGCAAAGCAGGTACTCCTCGCTTTCGAGCTCCACAGCACAAAGGGCATCAAAAGACTGTTGTGAGAGGAACGCAAGCGAGGGGTCATTGGGATTTACCAGGTTTAGAGGCTGCCCGTCCCCCTGGATGCTCAGCAGGCAGAACCCAGAAGGGTAGCCCACACAGAGCCTGTCCCTGAGCACCGCCAGGCACTGCACGCTGCCGGGAGCCACAATCTCATTGAACTTTCTGTGGAATGGCTTCGTTCTCTGGATCTCATAGCAAAGGATCAGCCGTTTCACGGCCACAAACAGGCAGGTGCCAGAGTTCCTCTTGAGTGTGGCCGTGGCCATGAGCTGGCAGCCTTTGGTTTCCGGAAGCTTGATGTCAAAGCTGCCTTCCGCTCCATCAAGGGACGACCACGGATAGAGGTGCACATGGTGGTTCCGGCCACAGAGGAGGATTACGATCTTCTCCCTGGGAGCAAGCTCGATCTGGTGTACCTTCTTACAGTCAGCGGCACGGACGATCACTGTGGCAAGGAGGACAAGAGCGTGAGGCCGACGGGACAGCCAGCAGCTCCCAGGGGCTGACGGCCTTGGCTAAAGACTTGCCTGGAACACTCTGGGGCCCTCCCCTGGGCTCCCTTCCTGTGTGCACAGCCTGAGCCCGGCCCTGAGCCCGTCTCTGCCCACAGAGCCAGTGGCTTGAACGCCCCCCGGAGAAGCTGCCCCACATCCACAGCGCGCTCCTGGGGCAG